>NW_017852933.1:1605929-1927115 GCF_000001405.40 Homo sapiens | reverse complement strand
GAATTCTATCTGTACAGTAGAGCAAGGATTTAGTGGTCAGGACTGAGAAGGAGTTTCTAAACCAGTCATCACCAACCCTGACTGCACGTTAGAATCACTGAGGAAGCTTTCAAAAACCCCAAAGCCTGAGCTAAATCCTCAAGACCAATTACATAAGAGCACCCCAGGTGGCCCCCAGGGAGCATCTTGCACTTGGAAACAGGATAGAAGTGGGAGAAGAGGGGAACTCTGACACAGGATTCTGAAATTATAAAAATCTTTTGAAGCTGGGGCTGTGGTTCTTTTTATTTGGTTTTGTCTTCTTATTTATTTATTTTAACTTTTATTTTAAGTTCAGGGTACATGTGCGGGTTTGTTACATAGGTAAACTTGTCTCATCACCAGGTATTAAGCCTAGTACTCATTAATTATTTTTCCTAATCCTTTTCCTTCTCCCACCTTCCACCCTCCAATAGGCCCCAGTGTGTGCTGCTCCCCTCTATGTGTCCATGTGTTCTCACGTGGGAGCTGTGGTTCTTAATCTAGGGGCCTCCCCATCAACTAGGGAGTCTTTTATGTATAATGCATATATTATGTATATATGCATGTGTTATTTATTTATTTTTGAAAGATGCCCAGCTCCCACACCAGACCCAATGAATCAGAATTTTCTGGGATGTGAGCCCTGGGCAGGTTAATTAAAGTCCTCCACAGATTGTTTTTATGCTCACCCTTGGTTAAGAATCTCATTTAGAAAAAGGAAAACACAAGTTTGACCAAAGTTTTAAGAAGAAGAGAGATTCATTAAAATAGATAGGAAACTATATTATAAAGACGTAATAAAACACTGTAGTGATGTGTAGCAAAGGCATACACATTGATGGAACAGAATAAAATTTCCAGAAATTGACATAGATCTATAAAAGTCAATGTAGTATATGGCATTTTTAATCAATCATCATTATGTTGAGACAACATGATACCCATCTGGGAAAAATTTGTTAGAATCTTAGCCCATACCATACCCCAAAATTAATTCTAGTTTTTTTTAAATTTTATGTAAAAATAAACCATAAGGACACTGAAAACATGGGTGAACAATTTTAGAAACTAGGGATGGAGAAGGGTTTTCTAAGCATGACACCAAATGCAGAAAACATAAAGGAAAAGTCTGTCAAACTTGATTATAACACATAAAAAACAGTAACAACTTATGTCAAAAACCATCATAAATAAAACTGAAGGGCAATTGATACACAGCAGAATATATGTTTGCCATTTATGATGATATCCTTAACATCGAAGCAGCTCCTTTAACTCAAAAAGAAACAATGAATACCCAACAAACAAAAGCACACAGGATGTGAAAATGCAATTAATAATAGAAAAATTATAAACTGGCTGGTACATATTAAGTGTATATGTCACATCACTAGAAATCAAAGAAATACAAAATAAAGCAATAATAAAATGTCACCTTTCTCAAATGAAACTTTTTTTTGAAGTGAATTAGAATGAGCCAGTGTTGGCTAGAATATAGGGACAAGGGAGTTATCATTTATGGCAGGCAGGAGTACAAATTCACCCACTGATCTGGCAGTTCCACCATTTCCAAGACTTCACCCTGAGGGAGTGGTGGATGTACACAAAGGTCGTATAATTTTGTATTGTGTACAGGCTCAATAATGATATTCTTCAGAGTGCCTTTACAACTGTGAAAAATAAATAAAGACTCACTGGTAGGAGACGTTAGCTACCTATGTACTGTTTTCCCTTTGAAAAATGACTGAAAGTGAACATAATAAAATATTAATAGTTGTTAACAGCACAGGGTGGGAGTATAGATGTCTATTAAGTTGTTCTTTGCACTTTTCTAGAACTTTAAATTCTTTCCAGATTGTGGTCAAATATGTTGTTATGGGAGAGTAATCACTGGCATGGAAAATAGTAAAAATATATTTTCAGTGAAAATAAATACAGATTTAAATACAGATTTATTGAGTATATTCTAAATTTTATTTTAAAAACATGGATGCAAAGCAAAAACTTGGTGTGCCAAGTTATTTAGGGGCTGGATAGATACATAATTTTTATTTTCTTCTTTGCGCTTTTCTGTTTTCTGTATTGAGCATGTATTACTTTTGAAATACACTGAAATCATACCTAAACATACTTAGAAGGCATGTCTAATTCCTATGCATCATGATTCTGAACATAAATGAAACTTCTTTTTAAAGGTACCTGCGAAGAGCCAGTTGATGTCACCTTAGAGGTCACATTGAACTTCTCAATGTGAAATATAGGGACAAAGGGAGCAGAATTCCAATTTCTTAAGATTCCTTCCAGCAAAGTTCTGATGTTATCCATTCAATAAGTATTCACTGAGCACCATGTTAATCAGGATTCTTGGGACACTTTTCAAAAGAAGACATATATGCAGCCAACAGTCATTTGAATAAAAGCCCAACATCCCTGATCATTAGAGAAATGTAAATCAAAACTACAATGAGACACCGTCTAATACCAGTCAGAATGGCTAGTATTAAAGAGTCAAAAAATGACAGATGCTGGTGAGGTAGAGCATCAGTCCTCCATGTGGAGAAAAAGGAACACTTACACACAGTTGGTGGGAGTGTAAGTTAGTTCAGTTGGTGGGAGTGTAAGTTAGTTTGTAGAAGACAGTGTGGCAATTCCTCAAAGACCTAAAGACAGAAATACCATTCAACCCAGCAATCCCATTACTAGGTACATACCCAGAGGAACATAAAACATTCTGCTATAAAGACACATGCAATGATATGTTCATTGCAGCGCTATTCGCAATAGCAAAGACAATGAATCAACCTAAATGCCCATCAATAATAAACTGGATAAAGAAAATGTGGTACATATACATCATGGAATACTATGCAGCCATAAAAAAGAACAAGATTATAACCTTTGCAGGGACATGCATCAAGCTGAAGGCTATTATCTTTAGCAAACTAACACAGGAATGGAAAACCAAATACTGCATGTTCTCACCTACAAGTGGGAGCTAAATGATGAGAACACATGGACACATAGAGGGGAGCAACACATGCTGGGGTTTTTTGGAAAGTGGAGAGTGGAAGGAGGGAGAGGATCAGGAAAAATAACTAATGGGTACCAGGCTTAATACCTGGGTGATGAAATAATCTGTACCACAAACCCCCATGGCCCAAGTTTACCTGTTAACAAACCTGCACTTGTATCCTTGAACTTAAAAGTTATAAACAAAAATGACATAAGTTTATCGAAAAAATTATTGGCTCACAAAGCTGATGGTCTAGGGACAGGTGGACCAGGCTCAGATGATCCAAGATTTAATCTCTTTCCATCTCCCAGGTCACCTTTGTGCTGGCTTCATTCTCAGGTAGCCTCTTCCCTAGGTGCAAAGGTGGCCACTGGCAGTTGTAGATGTTTAAATTATATCTCATTTCATTATAATATATTTATAACCATCAAAAAAGAGAGATCCTCCTCTTCACTGGCTCCCATCAAAGTCCAGGGGAATTCTCCTTAGATTTACATGGTCAGGTAATGCCTGAAACCATCCACGTGGCCAGGAAAAATGAACCTACTGAGCCAATCCTGGGTCACATGTTCATTATAAAGCTTGGGAGGGAGATCAGCCCCCTCTAAACGAAGGTCCATGAGAAAGGGAGCAGATTGGCTCCCCAAGGGAAAAACCAGAGTGTAGTTACAGGAATTAGGATTGATGCTAGACAGACAAAAATGGCAGATGTCCTCTTCAAGTATGCGTGCACAAGCTAAATGACTCTGTGCATGGGCAACCACCTGCCATTGAGCTGCCTCTGTTTCTATAATGTAATAAGCCTCAGGAGGTCGCTAGGTTAATATCACATGTTCTTAAAAGTCTCTTGGTAGGGAAGAACTGCTAGAATCTGTGGCCATGGTTTTGTCCTCTCAAATTCCTTTTCTAATTGCTCACCCCTAACACTCCCTATTTCCCTTCCCTGATTTATAGTTTCCAAAGCACTTGTCACCACCTGGTATACTACATACTGCATTTGTTTGTCATTTATCTTTTACCACTAGGAAGTATGCTCCTTAAGAGCAAGTCTCTGTTTTGTTCGTTGCTGTATCTCCAATGCCTAGAACAGTGCCTGGCCCACAGCAGGTGCTCAGAGATATTTGTTGGCTAAATGTATGGGTAAATAAAAGGATGAGCAAATGGATGGATGAATGCAATAATGAATGGACGAATGGGTTATTAAATGGGTAAATGGATGGATGAATGCAAGGATAAATGGGCTATCAAATGGGTACACAAATGGATGGATGGATGGATGGATGGATGGGGATGGATGGAAGGAAGAAAGGAAGAATTAAAGAATTTCACCTCTAATCTCAAAAAAAATCATGCTGCCTTTTAAAGCTTTGCTCCAACATGGATATAACCACCCCAGCCCTGTAGCAGAGCTAAGCTAGCTGGGATATTCAAATTGCCAAGTGCTAAGAGAGAACAAAAGAGAAGCAAACACTAAGAAACTCCCACCCCTACTCCCCCGAAAAATTAGAAAAACACTCTAGCTAAACAAGTAAAGTGTATAATCCTGCCACAGTTAGCTTGCTCCCAGAACTCTTAAGCCTTATAGCATTTCACACACTGTCTTGACACAACAAGATAGTCTCTGGACCACAGAGGTTGGTGCAACTCAGACTCTCCTTCCCTCACCAAGGACCATCTTGCTAGACATCCTCACTGTACATAACAAGAGAACCTGAGCCCAGCCCTGAATGAACCTTTGAGTTCTTTCCCAGTTTCTTCTTCTGGTCTGCAAGACATACCTCTTTTCCAGGTGCAAAGCCCTGGAAAAACCCTGTAACTACACTCCCTGCCCCTACAGAAAGTCTTCCACTGAAGCTTAGCACTATAGTAATGTCTTAATTCAATATAGAAACAATATTCATATAAAGCACTTCCACCAAGGAGTTAGGGGAAGGTGGGAAATTGCTGCTTTGCAAGACCAAAGGGAAAAGATTCAGAGACTACAGAACTGAAAGTCATTCCAAGTTTATTGACCTTCTCTGTTCATAAGTATTTTTCTGACTATTCCCTGATATATAAGGCAGAAAACAGTGGGGAGAAGACCTTAAGAGTCTTCAGGACTGTTTTGGGAAAGGAACTCTAGGAGTAAATTGAATGTTCACCTCATCTTGGCAAGTGGTTCTAGGGATTGTTATATAACAACAAAGGCTATCCGGGGTGATCACTATGTCCCAAGCACTGAGTTATTCACTTTACATACTCAGTGTCATTGAATCCTCTTGGCAAACTGAATCCCCATTTGATGGAGGAGGAAGCTAAGTCATGAAGGTTAAGTAACCTACCCAGTCACCCAGCTAGGCAGTGTCAGGGACAGGATTTGAACCCAAGCCATCTGATTCCAGTTGCCACACTCCTGACCACCATAACTTGTATAAACTTTCTGTGGCCGTCGGTCAGACCTAGGAAGTGCATCCTTATTTTTGTAGTCTCAGGCTGGTGGTTGAGATGAACACAAGGACATCTGGGCTCTATTTGCAGCCCACATCTCCTTACTGATAGTACTCTAACATCATCAGAGAAAAACCAGAGTGTAGTTACAGGAATTAGGATTGATGCTAGACAGACAAAAATGGCGGATGTCCTCTTCAGTATTTCTCACCTCTATAGGTCTCTGGACATCACCAAAGCATTGCACTGGGAAGAGCCCATTGCCTCCACCTCTGTGTGCCTGATCTATTACTTTTCAGCCCCAGAAAAGAAGCAAGGATAGAATTTACAGAAGCGTCACTCTCTAGGACTGCCATACTCCCTGTTATCAAAGTTGCCTTGCAGGCAACAGATCATTTTTGTATTAGAGTGATGGGAATGACACTCTGATGTCTGGTAGCTTAACCTCTGAAGTGGCCCCAAGCAATCAGTTCTGGAAAATTAGCAAACATTCTGTATTAGTTCAGGCTGCCACTACAAAATACCCTAGACTGGGTGGCTTAAACAATAAAAATGTATTTTCTCACAGTTCTGGGGGCTGAAGGTCTGAGGTTAGAGTGCCAGCATGGTCAGGAATGAGAGAAAGAGAACATTAATGTGAATGCTCTGATGTCTCTTCTTATAAGAACACGAATTCCATTGCATGACCTCATCTAAACCTAATTGCTTCTCAAAGACCCCGTCTCCAAATACCATCCCACTGGGGATCAGGGCATCAACATATTTTGGGTAGGCACAATTCAGATCATAGCACACTCCCAAACTAAATAGAAAATCATTCCTAAAACCCAAACAAGGATCTGTATGGCAGAATCATGCCAGCTGATAGAAAAAAAGCTAAGACAGTAACTTCCTGGCTCAGCAAGAAGGCAGTAGTAAATGGCCCCAACAGCTACCAGGTGCCGGGAACGATCTGAAATGTTTTACATGCATCACCTTAAATTAGCATGGTGTCGTTGGTACCATTACATGCCCATTTTACAGAAGAGGAAAGTGGGGTCACAGAGAGGTGGGGTGAACTTGCCCAAGCTCATATGGTTAGTCAGTGGCACCAGGATTTGACGCAGGTAGTCTGACTCTAGAGCCCCACACTTCACTTTATTTGGCTGTCTTTCCACTAACCTCCCTTGGGGAAAGGCTAACCTGATCCTTTCTCAGAACACTGACACATTGAGAGGTGTACCAAAGCATAGAGTCACTCTCCCTGGATTCAAAACCTAGCCCTACTATTTCCTAACTGTGTCTTCTTGGGTAAGTTTCTTAACCCAGCTATGCCTGAGTTTCCTTACCTGTTAAATGATGATAACCAATAGCTTCTACATAATAGGGTCATTGTGAAGGTTTAATGAAATAATAGACAGAAGCTCTTAGTCCTGCACATAGCACGTAATAAGTGCTCAAAACAATTAACTTGAAATATTGTGATTATGCCTTCAGGGAGCCTCTCTGCAACCATTTGAAAAAGTGCCTGGTCACATGTTCCACCATTCCCTGTCTAATGGGAAGTCACATCAGCAAAGCCACTGGAACTGCAAAGCCACTAGGCTCTGTGCTTGGCACCGTGTAGGTGCTCAGTAAACATTTGTTAAATGAATGAATGGATAATCCAAATAACCTCCAGCTCCAATGATAAAGTCCTCTTTCACCCTCCTGGAATGCACATTGATTTGTTCTGGATTTCTTGATAATTAATCTCTTGATGAAATTTAAGACCTGTTAATTACCCCTGATTAATTAGGGTGAACTTTTTAATTGCTTCCCTAAGCTGAAATACACTGTCAATAGGCTCCATAATTAGTGACCCAGTAATCAGTTTTAAACCAATTATCCCAGGGTAACAAGTGAAACTAGGCAAGAAGTGCCCCAGGGGCTTGGGCCAATTTCAGTGGAACTTAGAATAATACAAATTGGCACTTATGTGGGTGAAGAATGCATGTTCAGTGTAATTGGAAATACAGATACTCGGATTCTCTTGGGTATTTCATTTGTCTGGCTTTTCACTGCTGTGTTATTTGAAAACAATAACGTAAGTGTACCTTCCACACACCCAGTGAACAGCCTGGAGCAGATTTTTGGGGCTTCCTGACTGCCTTTGGGCACAATAAGGGCCAGCACATTAGGCTGTGCAGGTTGTGTACTGCATAATTCCAGGGACACCATTCACACTACAGTCTTTGTGAATGGCACCCCCAAAGGTTGTACAGTATACAACCTGGTTGCAATAACCCGTTGTTCACGTGATGCAAAGAATAGGGACTCAGTCATCAAGAATTCCTCCAAAGACAGTGATGGGCTCGGAGGCAAGCTGGGCTTTCCCAGGATGGGAAAATGTAAGTGCCAGGCACTTTTCATGGTCTGTCTAGAACTGTGGAGTTGTATCACATGCACATTTAATTTCTGCAAATCCAACCACTTTGATTTGGGGAAAAAAATTAAGAAAAAGAAATAATAACTTAAATAATACAGGCAATTCTGCCTGCCACTTCATTCAATATGTGCAGACCCCATAGTGAGCCTGAAATGGGGCTTCAAATCTGCTATTGTTTGTGTGCCTCCTACAAACAGAATACCACACCATATGGAGTATTTAAAGAATGGTGCTTTTTTTTTCAGCTTTATTAACTTTTTAAAACAGCAGGACCTCTAATCTAGCCATTCATTTGGTGTCCAACTGAAGAAACAGATTTCTTCTTATAGTGGAGAGAAAATGACTGGGCTGGTCTTTTTAAAATTGATAGAACAACCTCCAACATGGTACCTTCCTAAGTGATTTTCAAGAGTAATTTTGACATTGTAAGTGGGGTTTTTTTTCTTTTTCTTCCTACTTGAGATGTTTTTTCTCTTCTGCTTACCTGAGTCCCTAAGGTGAAGCAGAATTCCAATTTGGGGGAGCTGGGTATTAATTGTCTGGCCAGGGAACTCTTTTTCAATGTGTAAGATTCCTGGTAGACCAGTTGGTTCTCAAGATATGGCTGGACCAATTGCATTAGAAGGACCCAGGATGTTTGTCTTTTTTAGGTACAGGTTCTTGATACCTGCTCCAGATCTGTGTCAGGATAGTTTAGTAATGAGGCCCTGGACTCTGCATTATAAGTTCCATGTAATTCTGATATATATTCTCAACTATAAGCTCAGGTAAAGGTAGGAAGAGTGCCAATGTTATTCATGTCTGTCTTCAGACCCTGGAACAAGCTTACCACATGGTATAAGTTTAAAAAATATCAATTGACTGAAGGAAAACAAGCCTCTGACCCGAATCCTTTGTTTTGATTTAGCAATCCATAGAGCAGGGGTTAAGATAACAGCCCAGCTGGGCCTTACGAAGGAGGAATAGATTCATCTTCTCCCATGTTCTCCTTCTTCTCAGAGTTTCTCCAGGATGAAGGCCTGAGGCCTGCCTTTGTAAACTCTACAGCTCAGCTTGTGCCCTGCCACCTGCTTTATGGCCTCTGTGCAGTGTCTCACAGAAGCCATTAGCCATTCATTTAATGCCTAATCCTCTAATCCAACTGTTTTTTGATTTGCCAAGTGAGGAATATGCAGAGACACAAGCCACTTGTTCCCAGAGTTCTTTCCAGCTGGTGAGTGGGAGGCAGCTGGAGAAGAGACTTTAGGTTTTGTTCCTTGAACCAGGAAATCCCAGAGTGATACAGGGATATAGCTGCTCCATCCGGGCCCTTCTGATGTTGGGGTATCCCCAAGAGTAGTTCCTAAAAAGACCAGGATACCCCAACAGTCCCCGGTGGTCTATCTGCTCAGAAATGCAGCAGGATGGTTCTACATTGAGAATATAATCAGACTGCCACATTTTACCCAAACATCTCATTTATTCAGGAAGCATTTACTGAGCAACTGCTTATGCCAGACTCTGCTTGAGGAACAAAGGAACAAGGCAGATTCAGATCTCTGTTTTGCGGAGCTGCCAACAAGCCTAATGCACTCCCAATCCTGTGTTCCTGCAGCAGAGGATGGATCCTCTCCGAAGGCCTGCACTGCCCACCCCCAGCCAAGTTCCCTTGCAGCTGTCCACCGGGCTGCCCCTAGTGACGGCTTCTTCCCAGGCTCTCCTTCTCCTTAGTTAAAATGTGGGAAGGGCTGGTGACTTGAATGTGACTTGATTTGACTCTGAGAATTGGGACCTGACTCACAAGAAGCCTTAGGAATCCTCAAACATCTGTTGGTTGCATTCCCTATGCCAGATGTCTCCATTTGTCCCACCAGATCTCCTCTCCACTTCCTTGCATCCTCCTCTCTGCCCCAGGGGCTAAGCTGGCTGCATTACATCCATGGGCTGCCATGTCCTCATGTTCCGGTTGGATTTGGCCAATGGGAAGCACCAGGAGCAGGAAGGAAGGTGGTCAGGATATTTATTTATCTGGTTCCATCTCTGAGAAAGTCACTGTACTTCTCAAAGAGGCTTGCTCTGCTCAACTCCTGCTCCCCTCATCCTTTTGATGTGTGGGAGGTGGCAACTCCACCACCACCAGTCCCAGGTCTTGCGCCATGCCTCAGATCCCCCACCACCCTACTCACACTCTTGTGCTCAGTCTCCTTCTTAATAAATCCTTCACAAATTAGACTAACTTGGGTGCGCCATCTGTTTTCTGAGTGCAATCTGACTAATAAACTCACTCTCGTCGCTCTTTTCTCTCATACTCTCTGTGAAGAAGCAAAAACCAAGGTTGCAAGCTCGGTCCCTCAGGCCACATCTGGCCCACAGATATGTCTTGTTGGGCTTTCCATGCTGGGATCTCATATGCTTTTATATTTGAGAGAATAGTTGTCACCACTAAAAAAATAATCAAGATGTTTTACATAAAAAACAAATTTCCAACTTCTCTTGAAAAGTAGAAATGCTGGCAGCACTAAGCCTATGATTCTGCATGGCATCACTGGGCTACAGCTGAGTGTCAGCGGCCCACCCTAAGCCAGGATGTAGCATTTCCTGTTTGCTGCAGCCTCCACCACTCCCTATAGTCTCCTCGATATTGAGACTGCATTTCAGTTCTCATTTATCATTGTACTCGTGTTGTTTTTCTTAGAGTTACAAAAGAAAGAAAACATGTTCTGTTCCTATATCTAGTACAAAAAAAAAAAAAGGAAAATAAAAACTAGATGGGGATAGGCAGAGGACAGAATGAACAGATTTCTTTTTAGAAATAGACTTTTCCTAGTTTTTAATATTGAATTTCCTGCCCACTTCACTCATTTTTGTGTTACCTTTCAAACTCAGGCAAGCATTTGGATTTAGGGCCTTGAAATACAGCTTTAGCTAAATCCCTGTCTTAAAGGCTTCAAATAAGAGCTCAGAATGACAGAAAATAAATGAATTAAGACTGAATCAGGCTAAGGGGCGCTACGTGGGTCTTAGAATAAGTCCATCTATACTCCACATTTTCCCACCCCTGAGCTGCAGCCTCCCTGAAATCCAGATTCCAAGAAAAGAAAAAAAAAAAAAAGCTAGGCCAATTCTAGAAAACTTTGTCATAGTTTATAGAGGATAACTATGATTGATAAGTGTATTAGGCTGTTCTTGCATTGCTATAAAGAAACACCTGAGACTGGGTAATTTATAAAGAAAAGAGGTTTCATTGGCTCACAGTTCTGCAGGCTTTACAGGAAGCATGATGCTGTCATGTGCTCAGCTTTTAGGGAGGCCTCAGGAAGCTTCCAATCATGGCAGAAGGTGAAGGGGGAGCAAGCATATCACATAGTGAAAACAGGGGTAAGCAACAGAGAGTGTGTGGAGTGGGTGGTGCCACACACTTTTAAACAACCAGATCTCATGTGAACTCAGAGCAAGAGCTCACTTGAGGTATGGGGGGTGTGCGATGGCCATTCCTGAGGGATTTGCCCCCATGCTCCAAACAGCTCCTACTAGGCCCCACCTCCAGCACTGGGAATTACAATTCAACATGATATTTGGGCATGGGCCAATATCCAAACTATAAAAGGAGCTGATCTACTCTTACCGTTTATACAGACCTTCATGTATATCACCTTAATTTTTGCTTTTAAAGGAATAGGAGATAACCTTTGTTGAGTGTTATTTGTGACAAGGGTTTTATACATGATCTCTTTTAAACATCGTCAGAATTCTGTGAAGTGGCTGTTATGACTCCCACTTTACACATAAAGAAATTGAGGTTCAAAGAAGTAACTTGGCCAAAATCACACAGCTCATAAGTGATGGAAATGAGATTTAAGCCTTTGCTTTTATAGCTTTATTTCTTATAACCTCAGAACAAATGTTTTTAAGAAGTTATAAGCAAGCTGGGTATTCCTCACTATTTAATTAGTAGAAGCTTTGCTTTCTTTAGTGAATGACATAGTTGTCTTTCCACATCAGCACCTACAGATCCACCTCACTCACATTAACAGCTGCAGAGTATCTGGACATACGATAGATTATTTAACTGGACATTTAGGTTGTTTCTCAATGTTTCCCTATTATGAAAAGTGCTGCAATAAATTGTCCGTCTATCTGTCTGTCTTTGCATACTTTTGTGCATAGCTCTATAAAGCAAATTACTAAAGCCAGAATTGCTTTCTCAATGATATGTATATTTTAAATTTTGATAGCTACTGCCGGATTTTCCTCCAAAGTTGTTGGACCAATTCAGAGTTCCCACCAATGGGAATTGCCTTTTTCACAGCAACCTCATCAACAATGCATACTATTATTAATCTTTAATCTTTGCCAGACCAAGTGAAAACTCAATGGATTATGGTCCTCTTATTTGCATTTGTTATCATTACTGATCACTTATAGTTTGTCTCCCATAATTTGTTTATGTCCTTTGCCCATTTGGGAGAAGGGATAGATAGTAGTATCTATCAAATATATTGATAAGTTTAATTCAGATAAGGTCAAGAGTTGAGAATGACCCCCAAAAGAATTTCAAGAAGAATGTCTGGTCCAGAGAGAGAATGGAGATCTCCCAGATATGTTGATATGGCTGATGAGAATGGATTAATCCAGAGTCCTTACCTGCTGGTCTCAAAAAAAGGATTGACATAAGCCAGGAGAGCCATTCAAAGAGCATCCTGGGACCCTCCTTATAAGTGACAGTAGTTACTCCATGTCACATTGCTTTCCTAACCTCCACACTAGTGGATCTACAGACAGGGAATGTCAATACCATATCAACTCCAGGGAATGCAGTAGGGCTACATTCTAAAATGTACATTTTACATGGGAGAAAAATACAGAGGAGAGCCCCTAAGGACAATGAACAAAGCCATCGCTGCATAAAAAGGCACAGGTCTAAAGACTAAATACCTTATTACTCAGTGGTGAACACTGGTAAACAAACTACCAAAAATGCACCTGTTTTGAGTGAGACATTTTCCCAGAGTTAGATACGGGAAGAAAGAGAACAGTGAAGGGGATTCCTTTTCACATTGGTAGAAGATGATTATTTTTATCTCACTATTGTAGGCAAGATCAAGCCTTGTACTGGTTAAAAACACAAATTCCTGGGCTTCAAACCAGATGCATGGGTGTCAGAATCTCCAGAGAATCCTGGAAAGCTGTAAGCTTGACAAGCACCCCAGGTGATTCACATCAGCAGAGAAGTTTGGGGAATATTGCCCAGAGACAGTGGTTCTCAACGCCGGCTGCACAGTAGAATCCCCTAGAAAGGACCCATTTATTAAGATTCTAGTTGATTGGTCTGGGGCCAGTTCTTATTGTTCGTTTGTTTGATTGGTTGGTTGGTTGGTTGGTTGGTTCGTTGGTTGGTTGGTTGGTTAGTTGCCTGGTTGCTTTGCTGTTTGTTTGCTTGGTTGGTTTATTGGTTGGTTGGTTGATTGGTTGGTTAGCTGTTTGGTTACTTGCTTGCTTGCTTGTTTGGTTGGTTGGTTGGTTGCTTTGGTTAGCTGTTCCTTAGGTTGCTTGATTGGTTTTAGCTCTCCTGCTGACAGTACCATGCCATCCATGTTGAGAAATGCTGGCTAGTATCCTGACATCCAGAGTTGCCAGATGATCACAATCACGTAGGGTGCTGAAATACCAATTTTACCATCTATTTTAATAAAAGTGCAGATTCACGGTCCTCAACTATGAAAAATGCTGATGGAACAGGTCTGGGATGGACCTTGGGAATTGACAGTTAGAATATCCAGTGGGACTACTGATCTAATTAACTCACAAGTTAAAATCCTCTCCTAGGAAGACAAGTCCACATGGTGTATTAACACACAAAAAAATGGGATGTTAGAAGCAACAGCATTCGAGAAATAGAGGAAGAAATGGCCTGTGTGTGTGTGTGTGTGTGTGAATGTTTGTGTGTGTGTGTGTGTGTGTGTGTGTGTGTGTGGTGTGTGGTGAAGTTGGAGCCAAGGAAATCCTTTTGGGAAGATCACCCACTCACCATTTTACATCTTATACACTGGGTTTAGTTTGAACTAACAGTCAAGTTGTTGAATTCCACCACTATTCTGCAGAAGAAGTACAACAAAGAAGGCTTAACTAGATAGAAGAATTTTTTTTCTGGTCTCAAAAATAATTTCTAGTCTAAAAAAAATTCTAGATTAAAAAATTTTTTCAGTCTGAAGCCAGACATGGTGCTGCTCACCTGTAGTCTGAGCTATGTGGGAGGCTGAAGCAGAAGGGTCACTTGAGCCCAGGAATTCAAGGCTGCAGTGAGCTGTGATCATACCACTGCACTCCAGCCTGGGTGACAGAGTGAGATCCTGTCTCTGAAATATAAAAAGAATAAGAAAATAAATAAATCTTTCAGCCTGAAATATTATCATTGATCTATGGAAGGCCCCTCCCCTGTGTATTGGGGTATCCCCTTTTAACCCCACTGCCTTTCCACACCATAGACAACACAGCACTCTTTTTAAGATGTATCCATATTGCTTTCTGTGTGACTAGTCTTCTAACTGCTGTATAGACCTCCAGGCTTTGCCTCTCCATCCTGCCAGTGACACCAGGACTGCTGCCACCATTCATGCTGTGCGGATCATTATCATCCATGTCACCTTTAGGGCCCACTGGTTCAGTGAATATTCTGTTTGCTTCAGTATTGCCAGAATGCTCTGCAGAAGAGCTGTACCAGTCTGTACTTCCTTCAACATACATAAGGCTCCTAGAAACCACCCTTCCCCACCAAAACTTAGTATAACCCAGCTTTCTAATTTTGCCAGTCTAGAGTATAAAGTGATATATTCTGGAATTCTTGTTTTTATTTTTTGTTTTTTTTAAAGACAGAGTCTTACTCCATCGTCCAGGCTAGAGTGCAGTAACATGATCACTTCTCACTGCAGCCTCAAACTCCTGGGCTCAAGCAATCTATCCACCTCAGCCTCCAAAGTAGCTGAGATTACAGGTGCATGTCACCATACCTGGATTTTTTTTTGTTTGTTTTTTGTGGAGACAAGGTCTTGTCTGCTACATTGCCCAAGCTGGTCTCAAACTCGTGGTCTCAAGCGATCTTCCTGCCTCAGCCTCCCAAAATGCAAGGACTACAGGCGTGAGCCACCACACCCGGTCATTGCATTTCTCTTATTACTAATGAGTTTGAGCACCTCTTCACATGCTTGTTCACCTTTTAAATTTCAAAATTTCTTTCACACCAGTCCACCTCTTGTGGGATTAGTATCAAACTGATTTACCTTCCTACCAGACATCATTTCAGAGGATTCTGTAAGTGTGGAATCCCTAACACTCAGAGTCCCATACCTCCTCCCTGACTATGAAAGCTAAGGATAGGTGTGCCCATACTGGTATTATCGCTAATTGGTTTCCTGTAGAACAGAGGCAGATTCTTCTGTTGGTTGCTGCTGCTACTGCCCATTTCTTTAAGCAGAAGGAAGCAGGAAAACAATCTCTGACATCTTTGCATTGTCCAGGTCCTTAGAACTAAATCACCTATCCTAACCAGTTTCATGCTCCATAGCCTGTTTTGCTCCCTGACTCAATTTCCCATGTACAGCCTCATGTCTCTTTGTACCTGACCCTGGGAATTCTTTTGCCCTCTTCCCTGCCTATAACTCATATTTTCCTTCTGTCTGTGTGACGACTCCAATTGCCCATTTATTAGTCAAGTTTTCTGCGTTAGTCCATTCTGGTTGCTATAACAAATTAACACAGACAGGGTAGCATAAACAACAAACATTTATTTCTCACAGTTCTGGATGCTGGAGAGTCCAAGATCAAAGTGCCATCAGATCCAGTGTCTGGTGAGGATCCTTTTCGTGGTTTGCAGAGGGTCATCTTCTTGTATCCTCTCATGTCAGAAAGAGAGCTAGCTAGTTCTTGTGTCTCTTCTTATCAGGGCATTAATCCCTTTCACAAGGGCTCCACTCTTATGAGCTAATTACCTCCCAAAGGCCCTACTTCCAAATACCATCACATTGGAGGTTAGAATTTCAACATATGAATTTTTGAGGAAACAAAAACATTCGGTCCATTGCAGTTCCTTTGGGTGCCAGTAACAGAAAACCCAGTAGGGAAACCATCACAAAACGACTGGGATATCAGGCAGTTCATGGATGTTTCAGACATCTAATCCCCAGCAAGAACAGAAGTCAGGAAAATTTGAGGGCTCTCCATAGTGAGTTTGTACATCTCCCTTCTGGAGCAGTGACCCCCCTCAAAGTGTTGTGCACACATCCTTAGGAATGACAAGATGACTAACTGAGATATAGGAAGGAAACACGCAGATTTCTATTTCTACTTAGTATGATCTCATTTTAATTTTTCCTATTTTTGTATGCTTTATAATATACATAATATCATATTTGTATAATTCAGAAATATAAACATATGCCTATTGTGGCATGTGATCAAAAAATTATTTGAAAAAGAATTATGCAAAATGTTGTCCAAGAACCAGCAGAAGGGGCATCTTCTGAGGACTTGTTGGAAATGCATGACCTCAGGTGTCACCCAGACCTATTTCATTTCCACAGCCCTGTGACTTCCCAAATCCAACTCCTAACTTTAGAATGGGGGACTTCTGTTTCCTCCATCCTCTTCCTTTCTCTGACCTCTTTCCCATATCAACTCCTTCCCCCACCTCCTATTTAAAACAAATTTTTTTTACTGGGTATGTATCCAAAAGAAAATAAATTGCTCTGTCCAAAAGACACGTGCACTCATATGTTCATGGCAGCACTATTCACAATAGCAAAGACATGGACTCAACCTAGGTGCCCATCAACAATGGATTGGATAAAGAAAATATGGTACATATACACCATGGAATATTACACAGCCATAAAAAAGAATGAGATCATGTCCTTTGCAGTAACATAGATGCAGCTGGAGGCCATTATCCTAAGTGAATTAACGCAGATACACAAAACCAAATACTGCATCTCCTCACTTATAAGTGAGAGCTAAACATTGAATGCACATGGACATAAATATGACAATAGATACTGGGGACTACTAGAGGAGAGTGTGCAAGAGGAGGGCAAGAGGTAAAAAACTACATATTGGGTACTGTGCTCACTACCTGGGTGATGGGATTAATCATGCCCCAAACCTCAGCATCATGCAATATACCCATGTAACAAACATGCACATGTACCCTCTGAATCTAAAATAAAAGTTGAAATTATAAAAAATAAAACAAGCTTCTATGGGTGTGAATTGATATAGACAGATGGGGACAGAGTGGTGAGAGAGGGTGGTTAAGGAGAGATTGAATGTTTTATTTACCAGCATTAGCTAGCAAAAATGCCCTATTACAAGTATAAACTTATTATTTTCTTATCACTCACTAGCCCAGGTAATAGGGTCTGGCTTTGTGTCCCTATCCAAATCTCATCTTGAATGATAATCCAAATTGTAAGTCCCATGTGTTCGGGGAGGGACCTCGTGGGAGGTGATTAGATCATGGGGGTGGTTCACCCATGCTGTCTCGTGATAGTGAGTGAGTACTCATGAGATCTGGTGGTTTTATAAGGGACTTTCCCACCTTTGCTCTGCACTTCTTCTTTCTCCCGCCATGTGAAGAAGGATATGTTTGCTTCCTCTTCCACCATGATTGTAAGTTTCCTGAGGCCTTCCCAGCCCTGCAGAACTGTGAGTCAATTAAACCTCTTTCCTTTATAAATTACCCAGTCTCAGGTATGTCTTCATAGCAGCATGAGAACAGACTAATACACCAGGTAATTTGGTTTTCTTACCATGATCAATGTTCCCTATAAAGTGCCACAACTACTCCTGTAGTCTGGTACCTGACCTGGTAGAAACAAACAGCACATTGTATAGGTTTGATCTGTGCCATGCCAGGATATTGGAGAATTCTCATGGGGGCCATTTGTGATCAGGAGCCCCAAAGCCAGTCCAAAGAGCCAATTCACACAGGCACAGGTTTGGGAAGCCATTGATGCCCTATCATCAAACTACTTACATATTTGGTTGTGTTTTGTTGGCAACAAACATAATTGCTTCATTTATTCTAAGTAAATACACAACAATGACCAGTTCAATAGTTTCTGCAACAGAAATACCCTCCCCCGTGCCTCAAAGTGCATCTCCTAAGAAGACTGAAATACCAGCACATTCTTATTATCAAGGTTAGGCAAATGGCATGACTAAGATTGGCTGAGAGCAAAAGCTTCAACTTCTAGGGGCAAGAGTGGGTTATTAGGCCCCAGTGTTTTCCTTGGAGTACAGTTGGCTCTGCCCATATTCCTTTGTGTGGCTCTTGAGGGGGCAGGGACTATTATTAATATCTGAGGCAGATGTGAGTCCTTACATCATGGGCTAAATAATATCTAAACGGATTTAGGCCTTTGTGCCAATTCCACAGCCTAATGATGTGCTATCCAATTAAGCCATCCTTCATCCGCCTGTGGAATCTACTCAACTATCTTCCCCTAACGGATCATATTCCCTGCCTCTTTTGTTTTTCAGTTATGATGCCTTTCAAATTTCCCCTCTGCCAAATGCTTGGCCCCTGAGGCTGTTCCTTGCCATTTATTCCTTCTGCCTCAGGCATACTATACATTCTTTTTCCTTGGCTTCACACTGAGCTTTCTCGTTATGCAGGTAGCCAAGTCCAAAAAAGCCTGCAGATTTTCTCACACAAAGACTTAGTTGACCACATGGAATTAACTTAATTCAGAAGAATGATCCTTACCCAACTCCCATGGTGTCCTTCAGGCAGCAATGACAGCTCTATAATCCTAAACCTCCTTCCAGACATGGTAACTTCCTAGATATTACCTCCCAGTGACCCACAAGCCTCTCTTGTAATGTATAAGATGGACAAGGTTTTACAAACAGACATTGATCTGTCAGGTTCATCCGCAAAAGGCTAGGTTTTAGGAAATGAATTGTCTGTCAAGATTCTTCTTTGACAGTAAGGAAAAAACATATTTGAGAAATGGGCCAACCAAAGGAATCCCAGTTAATGTTAGTGTATCCAGTTCTGAACTCCTAGATTTATACCCTATGCTAGGAAATGTACTCTTCCTATTGGGTCAATGCCTCAATAGTATGGATATACTTCAACATGTGTTCCTCCTCCTATCACAGTTGCTAAATAGAGATTTTCTAGCTACTATCAACTGATAATTTCTGCCCCTATATTGTCTGTGTACTTATAACTCTCATAATTACACCTGAGGTCCAACATTCCAGGATTGGCTAAGCTTTACCTGGAGACATCTGAACGTGGAGGGTTGTTATATCTCCAAGAATCACTTCTGTAGGAGAAAGTAATATTGATCCATCAATTAATAGTCACTTTCCCTACAGATTCATTTAATATAGTTGAAACAAGTGCTGGATACACACCGTCTATTTAACTTAGGGATAAGTATTGCATATTGGTTCATTCTTAACCTCTCAGAGCTTTTCTCCCTTCTGAGAGGCGAACTATTGAAAAACCATCTTCCTCTTCCCAACTTTCATGGCATGATGAACTTCCCCAACAGCTGCCTCCAAACCAGCTTTTACTGGTGAAGGGACTAGTAATCCACTTTCACCTGATTTCACTAAATTGGATAAAATAAATCTCAAAAAACAAAAAAGACCTTTTCCCAACAGCATTATTTACATCAATTAACTAAGAAGTTTAGCTTAGCCCACCATTTAAGTGCTCAGTACTTCCTAAGGCCATAAAAAAGAATGATCTCATGTCCTTTGCAGGGACATGGATGAAGCTAGAAACCATCATTCTCAGCAAACTAACACAGGAACAAAACCAAACACCGCATGTTCTCACTCATAAGTGGGAGTTGAACAATGAGAACATATGGACACAGGGCGGGGAACATCACACACCAGAGCCTGTCAGGGGTCGGGGGCAAGGGGAGGGACAGCATTAGGAGAAATAACTAATGTAGATGACGGGTTGATGGGTGCAGCAAACCACCATGGCACATGTATACCTATGTAACAAACCTGCACATTCTGTATATGTATCCCAGAACTTAAAGTATGATAATAAAAAAAGATGAATACTAATAAAAAACAATGATCTGTTATTTTACAGGATAATTTCTCAAAATATTTGTTACAATTATTCTTAATAAACTCAGGCCTGGGTCTTTTGGTCCAGCATCTTATCTTAGAAGCAAGCAGGATTGAGTGTATCTTCTATTCTACTGACCACCATTATACATGCTTTCATTAAGAGAAAAACAAAGTCCTTTTCAGTTCTTTTTGGTTCTCAATTTTATGGGGACGAAATAGCTACGGAGTCGTGCAACTACAACATGTACCTACTTATTCAATAAGCGTTCATGTTGAGGACTGCCCAATGCCACAGTCCTGAAAACAAAGACGGAAAAACCTGGTCTCTGCCTGCAGAAAAGTGACTTCCCAAACCAAACTATGCCTCAGACTTCCCTGGAGCATTTTTTAAAAATACAGATTCCAGGCTGGGCACAGTGGCTCATGCCTGTAATCCCAGCACTTTGGGAGGCCAAGGCAGGTGGATCAACTGAGATCAGGAGTTAGAGACCAGCCTGGTCAACATGGTGAAACCCTCTCTCTACTGAAAATACAAAAATTAGTCGGGTGTGGTGGTATGTGCTGGAGTCCCGGCTACTCGGGAGGCTAAGGCAGGAGAATCACTTGAACCTGGGAGGCGGAGGCTGCAGTGAGCCGAGATTGTGCCACTGAAACTTCAGCCTGGGTTCAGAGTGAGACCCTGTCTCAAAAAATAAATAAATAAAAATAAAAATACAGATTCCAGATTCTCACCTGATTCTCTAGAGGTGCCATCCCCAAAAATGTTTTAACAGAGGTCCCAGTGGATTCTGACACAAACAAGTTTAGTGATCACTATAAGACAAAAATCTGTATCAATGGGAATAGGAGGAAAGAAACATTCAGGACAATGGAAAGGATCCTTTAGTAGCCCTGTGTATGAGGTTCTGTGAAAGAGAAAACGGGCTTCTCAGTCAGGGTCCAGTCAGGAGACAGGAGTCATACTAGTTATTGGAACAGGAGGAATTTAGTGTAAAAAATCTTTCATGCTATATTTTCTTTTATATTGACATAGAATAACTGTATATGTTTATGGGGTACATGGTGATGTATTTTCAACAGGATATAAAGGTGATGACTAGGTAACTGCAAGAAGATAAACAAAACTCTTGAGGTATCACAGAAGTAGCCCTTGCAGGAAGCAGCTGCCACCAGAGACTGGGGCACCAAGAGAAGAGATAGGAATTATTAAAACTCAGACATGGGCCGGGTGCAGTGGCTCATGCCTGTAATCCCAGTACTTTGGGAGGCCAAAGCTGGCGGATCAACTGAGGTTGGGAGTTCGAGACCAGCCTGACCAACATGGAGAAACTCCGTCTCTACTAAAAACACAAAATTAGCCAGGCATGGTGGTGCATGCCTGTAATCCCAGCTACTCAGGAGGCTGAGGCAGGAGAATCACTTGAATCTGGGAGGCAGAGGTTGCAGTGAGCCAAGATCACGCCATTGCACTCCAGCCTGGGCAACAAGAGCAAAACTGTCAAAAAAAAAAAAAAAAAAAAAAAAAAAACTCAGAAACTCAGAGGAGAGTTCCTCTGGGTCTGGGACCCAAATCTCTGAGGAGAGGGGGCAGCTAGCCAGCTGGTGCCGGTGTTAGAGTCTCCAATGAGACTGGTTTTGTGAGCTTAGGAGCAACTATAGGCTGGACCTGGGATGAAGAAGCTTGTTAAGAACATGCTTGCAGCATCAGGAAGCCAACAGAAAGAAGCAGGTCTCTACTTCCTCTTCCCACTTCATGGTCTCGCACTAGTGCCCCTTATGGACTAAGCCTCACAGGGAGCAGCTGACACTGCAGAAATGTGAGTCTCAGTCCCAGCAGCACAAAGCTGAATATAGAAAGTTGGGTTTGGAGCCAAGAGACAGTAATTTAGTAGCTGCACAGTGGATGAAAAAAGAAAGGGCAATTTACTAGGCAAGCATCATGCTTTACAAATCCTTTACGGGTGGAATTTTATTCAAGTCTCATAATCCTTTGAGGATGAAGCCCAGAGAGGTCAATTCACCCATGAAAGGTCACACAGAAGTAACTAGTGGAGCTAAATGACCCTATTACGTGAGTTGGCTCCAGCTGTCACAGACGACACAAATTAAGACCTTGTCCTCCCTTCCCTAGTTCTTTTCCCTAGAACTGGCTTTCATTCCACTCTGCCCTCCAGAGGGGCTGCTCCCCAGATGTAATTTGGTTACATAAGAGGTAAGTTTTCCTTTTCTGATTTTCTAAGTTTACCAGGTGTATTAGTCAGGATTCTTCAGAGAGAGAGAACCAATAGGATAGATGACTAAATGGATAGATGACAGATAGATAGATGATGATAGATATAACAGATGTTATTATATATAGATAGATACATAGATGATAGATAATGACAGATATAATAGATGATATTATAGATAGATAATAGATGATGAGAGATATAATAGATGATAGATAGATAGATAGATAGATAGATAGATAGATAGATAGATAAAGAGGGGGTTTATTAGGGGAACTGGCTCACATGATTACAGAGGCTGAGAAGTTCCACAACAGGCCATCTGCAAGCTGGAGACCTGGGATACTGGTTGTGTGGTTCAGTCCAGGTCCAAGAGCCCCAGAACAAGGGAAGCCAAAGGTGTTGACATGGCTTCTATTTTGAAACATTCTCTTCTGTTCGCTTCCAAGACTAGGATGTGGATGTAAGTCCATTTTACCTTCCAGTTCTTCATCAGTGAGGGCTCTTTAGTTGCAAGCAACAAAAACAAACACTGGGTGTAAAATAAACTTTTCAGGTTTTGAAGTAGCTCATGGCATGTGGTTGATCCAACAGCATGTTCAACTCCCAGCCCCTCTCTGTATCCACAGTTTTTGTGACTTTGTGGATTCTCTCACTTGCTTTGGCCAATGAAATGCTAGCAGTGGTGATACAAGCAGGAGCTTGGAAAGGCCCTGGCAGTCCTTTCTCTTGCTCCTCTGCCTGCATCCTGAGAACATGCCCTGCTAACTTGCTAGAGGATGCCACGATGAACACAGCTGAGTCACCCCAGGTGTCCCAGTGAAGGTTATCCTAGAACTGCTGACCCAATTCCCAGTTGACCCCCTACAAATGTGATAGGGTCCAGCCAAGACCAGTAGAGTTGTTTAGTTGACCTTCAGGTAACTGCAGATTCATGAGTGAACCTAACCAAGACCCAAAAACCCACTTGGTGTTCCTTATATTCATGAGCTAAGTAAACGCTTAGTGTTTTAAGTCACTAGATTGGGTGATGGTTTGTTACACAGCATTCTTGTGGCAATAAAAACTGATATATGACATCAAGGCAAAACTGAAGAAGTAGGCCCCTAAAAGGACAGGAAAAAGACAGCACAAAGGATCCACAGGTAGGAAATAGTCAACAAATTCCTGTCCACTGTCTACCGTCCTCAGAATAAACCAGCTCTACCTTTTTCTTTTGTTTTTTGTTTGTTTGTTTGTTTGTTGTTGTTGTTTTGTTTAGAGGTGGAGTTTTGTTCTTGTTGCCCAAGCTGGAGTGCAATGGTGTGATCTCAGCTCACTGCAACCTCTGTCTCCCGGGTTCAAGCGATTCTCCTGCCTCAGCCTGCCGAGTAGCTGGGATTACAGGCACATACCACCACGCCTGGCTAATTTTTTGTATTTTTAGTAGAGACGGGGTTTCACCATGTTGGCCAGGCTGGTCTCGAACTCCTGATCTCAGGTGATCCGCCCACCTCAGCCTCCCAAAGTGCTGGGATTACAAGTGTGAGCCACCATGCCCAGCCTCTTTTCTTTTTTCCTTGGGATTGGGAGTGTTCCTCCTGTCATTCTCAACAGTTAAACCCCAGAGAAGTACTCTTATTGGCCCAGCTTGGGACCTGCACCCTCCTCCAGCACCTTGACTGACAACCCCACCAAAACCACATTCCATGGGAAAGGGATGGTTTACTAAAGAAATACTGAAGGGCAGTTAGCAAAAACTGGGCATGAATTCTGGGCAGGCAGGAGCAACAGAAGTCCACTACAAGCTCTGGCTCTTCCTCCAGGTTTTATAACATCCACTTTGTTTGTGAGCCAGGACACTAGGAGTGCTGGCCAGTGTTTGGTGACAGACGGAGCATCCAAAAGCTTCTTGAACAATTGGAATCATGGCACAAAGCTAGCAAGATGAAATTCAATACAGATTAATGGGAAGGACTATATTTGAGCCCAAAGGAAATAACAGGTGGTAGAGGATAAGGTAGGAGTGTTGACACTTAGTGATGGCTTGTGTAGAAAAGACTATAAGCTTGAAACAAGTCGACAGTGGGAGAAGATGGCCAAGGAGGGCAGATTGATGCTGGAATGGCCAACGAGGGCAGATTGATGCTGGAATGGCCAACGAGGGTGGATTGATGCTGGACCAAAGAAAGGGTTAGGGAACTGCTGCAGTTTGGATGTTTGGACCCGCCAAATCTCAGGGTGAAGTTTTATTTCCAATGTTGGAGGCAGGAGGTGTTTGGGTCATGGGGACAGATCCCTCATGAATAGTTGAATGGCCTCCATGCAGGGCAGGAGGGGTGTGAGTTTTTGCTCTATTAGTTCCCATGAGAGCTGGTTATTTAAAAAAGAGCCTGGACCCTCCCTCCCCTCTCTCTTGCCTCCTCTCTCACCATGTGGTCCCTGCACACACCAGTTCCCTTTCCCTTGAACCATGAGTGGAAGCAGTCCGAGGCTCTCACCAGAAGCAAATGCTGGCATCATGCTTCTTGTACGTGCTTCTTGTGCCATCAGCCAAATAAACCTTTTTCTTTTCTTTCTTTCTTTCTTTTTTTTTTTTTTTTGAGATGGAGTCTCACTCTGTCGCCCAGGCTGGAGTTCAGTGGCACGATCTCGGCTCAATTCAAGCTCCGCCTCCTGGGTTCACGCCATTCTCCTGCCTCAGCCTCCCGAGCAGCTGGGACTACGGGCACCCGCCACCACGCCCGGCTAATTTTTTTGTATTTTTAGTAGAGACGGGGTTTCACCATGTTAGCCAGGATGGCCTGGATCTCCTGACCTCGTGATCCGCCCGCCTCGGCCTCCCAAAGTGCTGGGATTACAGGTGTGAGCCACGGTGCCCGGCTAAACCTCTTTTCTTTATCAATTACCCAGGCTCTGGGATTCCTGTACAGCAACACAAAAGGACTAAGGCAGAAACAGTGCTCTCCTCTTGAGCACTACCTTTAGTTCTGTGTGGCTCACTTGGAATAATAATCGCCCAAGATGGATTGAGAACCTACTGTACACCAGGCACTGTGCTACATGCTTTACCCGGATTGTCTCAGCAAATCAACACAAGCACACAGTGTTATTATTGCCATCTTACAGGTGACATATGTGAAGCAAAGAGAGGTTACATAACTTGCCCAAGGTCAGACGGCTTTGATGAAGCCAGCTTTGCACCCAGGCAAACTACCCCAGTCATAATCACTAGCTAGGCTGGCTTTCGGGAGGTGGGACTAGGACGCTCTGTTTTCACGTGGGAGGCAGAAGGAAAGAGTACTTACTTTGTGCTACAAACTTAGAGCTTTAATGAGCACTAACTTAGGCCTTCCTGGAAGATAAGTATTTGATTCCTCATTTTAAACATGAGGCTTCCTAGGAAAAAAACTAGGGCATCTTTGGATCAGTAGCTGAAGTAATTGGTGCAGTTTCACCTAAATGAAACAGAATTTAGGACACATTTGGGAGTGGGGCAAATATGTGAAGGTTGTTAGGATTAAATTTGTTTTGTTTAGTTTCAGGAGGATGGAGTTAGGACAACAGATAGAATTTATAGCAACATAACCTTGTCTCAAAGTTATAAAGGTTTTTCTGATATGGATTACCAATTCTTGTAATCATATTAAATATAATAATACAAATACTATACCATTTACTGAGCACTCATTATGTGCTAACAATGTCACATCATGATATATAAAGCCAGTTTAGTAATAAAATCACAATAACAGTTGTAACTAAGTATTTATGCCAATCACTGTGCAACAACTTTAAATGGTAGATGCTATTATCTTTATTTTATAAATGATAAAACAAAGCACAGAGAAGCTGAGTAAATACACTCAAGGTCACACAGCTAGCAAGAGATCGAATCTGTACGTGAATTCAAACTTCCTGACTCTAGACCAGAGTTCCTAACAAGCATGGCTTCACTGTTCCCCCAAGGAAAGCGGTGAGGAATGGTGGACGGATTGTTGGGAAACACTAGAGTTCCAGCAGCATCCAATGTGGGATTGCCCTGGTGGAAATCTAAGGCTTCTCCCACACTGGGAATCTAAAGACCAGGAGCAGCGACCTGGGCGAGTGAGAACAGATGAACTTACACCAATGGGCTGTGCAGGGATTCTTCCCCCAGGCCCCTGGGTCCAGGCTCCGACGCTGTGTGCACAAAAGCTCCAGCCCTGCTGAGACCAGTGTGCACGTGTTTTATTAAAAGGAAGTGTTTACCCGGCCTACTCCTGGCAGGGCTGCGGCAGCAGTTTATTAGGACTTCATTTGGAGTGTAAATTGATGCCGGTTTATAAAAAGGCTCTGCAGAGCAGCTCCTTCGGGATGGCCCCAATCCGCAGCACTGGGCAGGCGAGGCTTTAACTAAATCATTGATTTCCCTCCGGAAGGAGCAGCCCAGAGATGAGCCACTCATTTTGCTGCTTAGCTGCTGTCTCCTCGGCACCTGGAGGGCAAAGGTGGCAAGATTCCCCCTTACCTCCTGTCTCCATCTCTGTACACACACACACACACACACACACACCGCTAATTTCTCTGAGTGCCTATACCATTCTGGTGCATTGACTCTAGAAGGCCAGTAAGGTCTGAAGATTACCCGGCTCCAAGGGGCATTTGAAAGCATGCTGCCTGTTGGTTGTGTGGGTGTTTTAGGTACAGTGTGTGGTGGGGATGGCAAGCCTCATCTCCAGCGTGAAACAGCTTTGGGTTCAAAGGTGACCTTGGACATGGGTTGCCAGATTCAGCAACTAAAAATACAGAATACACAGTTAAATTTGAATTTCTGATAAACAATGAATAATTTTTCGGTATAAGTATGGGACAAGTTTAACTGAAATTTGAATTTCATCTGGCAGCACTACCGTGGGCAGGGGATGGTTCTTTAAGCCTTAGTTTCCTCATCTGTAGAATCTCATGCAAGATAATGTCTGTAAAGTACTTAACACAATGTCTAGCATGTTGTCAGTGCTCGACAAATGTTATCTGCTATGTTATTATTAGTTATATTTTTATATAATCCAATCTGCAGCCTGCTGTGGTCATTTGTTTACATCTTTATTATTAGACTGTGAACTTCTAGACTCACTAGAATACCAAGTCTATCCTAATTTTTATATCCCTAAAGTGTAGAGAGCTCCTGGAACAGATTAGGTGTATATGCTAAATAATTTAATTGATTATGACTTTAACTGTTGCAAAAAAGCAAGAGCCAGTGAGTGAAAAATCAGTGACCCTAGGAATATTTACTCCAAAAGTCAAAATATCCAACTTTTTAAAAGAAACAGAAAGATTTGCTTTCTGTTGACACGCATTTATAGTATCACAGTTAAGATATTATGGACTCCTGAGATTGTCTGCCATGGTTCAAGTTCTGATTCCTCCTCTTCTCTGTGATTCTCAGTTTCCTCATCTGTACAATGGAGATAATAACGGTAGCTATCTCATAAAAGTTTGTGCACATTCAAACATATAGAATGCTTATCACAGTGCCAGGCACATAGAACTTGATGCTCAATGAATGGTGGCTATTAATTCATGCCAGCTCTTGCCCTGTGTTGCCAGGAAGAAATTGGCAGGACCACAGCGAGCACAGGAAGGAGAGGGCACAGTGGAAAGGGGGGGGAACTACAGGATCGGTTTGTCCACAACCTGGAGGCCATAGCAGGGATAGCCCAACTATGTCCTCAGACGGAAACCAGAGACTGCCTTAAGGAGGCCTGAATAATGAACATGTTGTGTTGACAGCAGAGGCCCATGACACCTATCGCCATCTGACATATTTGCTTAGTGTCTATCTCCCCCTACAAGAAAGTAAACTCAGTGGTAGAAGAAAGTTTTTTTATTTATTTTTGTTTACTGGAATATTCTAAAAGAACATTGGGCACAGAGTGGGTGTTTCAGTCAGTTACTGCCACAGTCACCATGTTGCACAACAAACTACCCCAAAGCTCAATGATTTATTCAAGGAACATTTATTCTCAAGCTCATGAATCTGCAACAGGAGTTCAGGTTACCCGGAAAGCTCTGCTTCAGCCTGCAGCTCAGCCTTGCTTGGCTCCAGGCTGTGCATGAGTTTAGGTCTGACCAAGCGTACTTGTACTGGGGCCCAGGAAAAAGGGGCAGCAGCCATGTGGGAGAAAGCTCTTGTCATGGTAAATCACTGGTCACAGTCAAATGCAGTCACATCAATGGTGCAACCAAGTACGGAGCCTCAGCTTACATCAAATCTGTTACTTCCTCATTGGCAAGTCACATGGTCAAGTTCAACATCAATGAGGTGGAAAAGTAAACTCCCCTGCAACAGAGGGAGGCAGATGAGAGTAAATGATACTCCCTAATATACTCCCTAAGAAGTATTTGTTGGATGAATGAGCTAACTTCAGAGGTAAGAGAAAATTCCATTCCCTCCTTCCTTACCTACAGGACTTCTCTCTTCATTATTTGCTAACTCTATTTCTTCCTCCACCCTTTCCCTACATCCTCTGTAGACATTCTCATCTCAAACTCAAAGGGAGGGAAGAAGGAAAGCGGAGATGAGAGAGGAAAGAAAGGAAAATTAAAATACAAAATCTCTCACAACCTTACTTTATTGTCCTTCCCTTAAAGATGATTGTTTATAAAGATATGCAATCTAAAACATTGACAAGCTGTACATTTCACCCACCAGACTGACAAAAACAAAGACTTTGATAGAACAAGATATCCCAAGGGTGTGAAGTCATAGGCATACACATTCCTGGTAATGAGGCAGCCTCTTTGGAGAGAAGTCTGAAAATACCTCTCAGAATTTAAAATACACTTACCAACAGACTCAGCAATTCTCCTTCTAGGAATTTGTCCAACAAAAACCCGTACATGAGTATTTTTTAACATTGTAGAATAATGGTCATTACAACAATATTTGCAAAAATAAAAAGTTATCCATAGTATGATATGGCCATATAGTAATATACTACTTAGGCAATAGAAGAATAAAGTTGATCTATATGTTGTGATTTAGAAAGTTCTCCAAGGTACATTAAGTTGGGGGGTGTTGAACAGTGTAAAGACTGTGCTGTTGTGTGTGTATATGTTACATATGCTGTTTCCACAAGGATGGATGAGAAACTCCTTATAGCGGTTGCCTCTTGGGGAGAGAACTGGAGAAGAAGGAGGTTTCTGGAATGAGAGACAACTTTTCATTGTATGGCATTTTGTTTTATTGACTATTGTGCCATGTGCATTAATTACTGGTTTAACTTTTAAGTAGTGTTAAAAATATTTGGGGACCAACCGAAAATATTTTAAATGCTTTTTTCTAATTACAAAATAATACATTCTGAGTGAGTGTTATTAAAAAGTCAAAAAATACAACAGATGTCAGCGAGGATGCAGATAAAAGGAAATGCTTATATGCTATTGGTGGGAATGTAAATTAATGCAACCTCTATGGAAAATGGTACGTAGATTTCTCAAAGAGTTAAAAATAGAACTACCACGCAATCCAGCAATCACTACCGGATATTTACCCAAAGGAAAAGAAATCATTACATAAAAAAGATATCTGCACTCATATGTTTATTACAGCACTATTAACAATAGCAAAGATAGAGAATCAACCTGAGTGTCCATCAGTGGATGACTGGATAAAGAAAGTGTGATACATATATGGCTAAAAAAGGAATGAAATCATGTCTTTTGCAGCAACAAAGATGGAATTGAAAGCCATTATACTCGGTGAAATAACTCAGAAACAGAAAGTCAAATACCACATATTCTCACTCATAAGTGGGGGCTAAACAGTGGGTCCACATGGACATACAGAGTGAAATCATAGACAATGGAGACGCAAAAAGGAGGAGTGGGAAGGCAGGTGAGGAATAAGAAATTACCTATTGGGTACAATATACATTATTCAGGTGATGGTTACACCAAAAGCCCACACTTCACCACTACACAGTGTATCCACGTAACAAAACTGCATTTGTACCACCTAAATCTATAAACTCTAATAATAAGAACACATTCTGACAAAGAAAAAGAATGCAAAACAATTTTTAAAAACAAGAAAAGAAAAGGCACTAGCCAGAACCATTGGGGTCAGGCTCAGTGGCTTATGCCTGTAATCCCAGCACTTTGGGAGGCTGATTCAGACAGATCATTTGAGGCCAGGAATTCAAGACCTGATATAACCATTTAACCATGGTAACATTTTGGTTGATATTCTACTGTTTCTGTATATATATTTTTTGAGACCGGGTCTCACTATGTTGCCCAGGCTGGCCTTGAACTCCTGGACTCAAGTGACCCTTCCTCAGCCTCCAGAGTAGCTGGGACTATAGGCACATGCCACTGTGCCTGGCTTCTACTATTTCTTTTTCAATGCACATAAGCTTTTTTCTACAAAATGCTAATGTTTGTATATCTTTAAAAAATTAACCATATATTGGTCACAGTTTCTCACATCATTAAAATAAACTTCTAAATCAGTGGTCCCCAACCTTTTTGGCACCAAGGACCAGTTTCATGGAAGACAATTTTTCCATGGACTGGGGCAGGGTTGGGAGAGGATTCTTGGGTGAAACTGCACCTCAGATTATCAGGCATTGGATCCTCATAAGGAGTGTGCAACCTAGATCCCTCGCATCCACAGTTTACAACAGGGTTTGCCCTCCTATGAGAATCTAATGCTGCTGATGATCGACGGGGACGGAGCTCAGGTGGTAGTGTTCATTCACCCGCCGCTCACCTCCTGCTATGCAGCCCGGTACCGGTCCCAGGGGTTGGGGACCCCTGTTCTAAACTTTGATGGTCACAGTAGGGATATCCTATAATGTAATTTAATTAGACCCTTACTGTTGGACATTTGGTTGTTCCAGATTTTTTAAGTGTTATAAATAATACGGCAGTAAACATCTTGTATGTGCATCTCGGATTATTTCCCCAGTGCAAATTCTTTGCTGTGAAATTCTGGGTCAAGAACTAGATGTATCTGTTTTAATCTACATTAACACAGAAAAAAAGTTTATGTTAAGAAAAAACAAGATGAAATAACATGATTCATTTTTGCATATGTATAAAGAAAATACACAATACACAATTGATATATGTACATATATCTCTATGTATATACCTATATATGTATCTGTATATAGATATAGGTATCTATGCCTTTACCTATATATTTATGATATAAAAGATTTAGAAGATACACACCAAAAAGTTAACAATCCTCTTCTCAACATGGTGCAATCTGGAGTCATTTTTATTTTCTTCCTTTTGCTTCTATTTTCTAAGATGTTTATTCTGGTGGATGCTGTGGTGTGCCACCCAGATCCCCACTGCTGGCCTGATGAACTCCTTCCTCAGCTGCTGGGAACATTAGCCACTAACAACTCTCAGCCGAAACACTTTCCAAGAATTGTCCTCAGCTGAGAGCAGCCTCACTCAGGGTCACACACCTTTCTTGGGGATATCTACATCCAATAACTGGTCCCTTTCCCTAATCCCAGTTCCCGAGTTTTCCCGCGATCAGCTTAAGCCTCTGTTGCAACTGCATCACAGCCCAATTTCTTCCTCTGCCAGGCCTGCTTTCCTCCCTCCCTGAGTTGTGTGATTCCAAGGGTACTCCCTAGTAAACTGTATGCAAATTCCTCTCTTAGAGTCCACCTTCCAGGTTAGCCAAACTACAACATGTAAAAGGAACACTTACTAATTTGGCAATGAGTAAAACTTTTAATTAAAAAATTATTTTTCTTTAAAAATACCCTCCTGGTTTGGGTCTAGATGACCTTCCACTATGAAAAATTGTCCACTCTCCAAAGTGACCAGTGATGTAGTATGATATCTTCCCCAGGTCACCCTGGGAAAAGTACTGAAGGCAATTAATCAATTAGTCTCTTCATCTTCCAATAAATCCCCTCCCAGTGGTGCCTGACCCTGACCAGCTGACATTTCCATAATCCACTTGCCATCTTACGTGTGTTAAATGACTTCTCGTTGTCCCAAACTTGGAGATTTTAATCTCGTATATTAAGCCAGCAGGGCCCAGTAATTCCCTGAATGCATTTTTATTGACTTTGTAAATCAGACTTCCCCACATCAGGGCCTGTGACCAGGAAAGAGGTGTTTGTCTGTGAAATTGGCTGGACACAGACCATTGACTGTGATGATAACCAGTGATTTGTGAAGCCAGATAGACAAGCCACATGCACTAAGCAGATTAAAATATAACAAAACAAAAAGGTTCCATTACCAGGAATACTGTCAAAGGGCAGCAGGATGTTTGTGATAAAAGACGAAAACAAACTAATTCCAAGTCTGGAAGGAAGCCCAAAATAACACTTTGCTGTCTCTTCAGTCTGCCAAAGAGAAAGTGTGGGAATGCTAAACACAGCTAAGTAAACCAATTTCTGAAAGCTCTTTAGCAAAAGTCAGAAAAAGCTTGGCTCTCTCCCTACCTGGGCTCTCATTCACAAGGTTGTTCACACCTCCTTGCCTTCTGTGACAGGAATTGTTTACAAAAAGGTGCAGTAACAATTTTAAACAGGTTCAAAGAAGGACACTCTTCTGCGGGTCTCCCTCTCACTGAAGATAAAAATCAAATACAATCTTAGTCTGTCACCAGTTCTGACTTCATCTTCTGTTATTCTTACTCTTAACCCACTCCTTGCCAGCCACATTGGCTTCTTGGCTGTTACTCCACTAACACTAGCACATTCTGGCCTCAGGGTCTTTGAACTTGCTGTTCCTCTTACCTGTCATGCTCTTCCCACAGACATCTCCAATTCTACCTTACTCACGTCACTCTGATAAATGCAATGTCAGGTGATTTTGTCATTGTGCAAACATCATCGAGTGTACTTACGCAAACCTAGACGGTAGAGCCTCCTACATATCTAGGCTACATGGTATATAGCCGATTGCTCCTAGGCTAAAAACCTGCACAGCATGTTGTGGTACTGAATACTGTAGGCAACTGTAACACAATGGTAAGTATTTGTGTATCTAACCAAAGAAAACGTGCGGTAAAAATACGGTATTATAATCTTATGGGACTATCATCATACAAATGCAGTCTGTCATTGACCGAGACATTGTCATGCAGCACATGACTGTACTTATTGTGAACTGATATCGTATTACAATATTTGTATGCTTGCTTGTTTATTTTAAGCCTTGTTCCTCCAGAGAAGAGAATTGTCTCTTTTGTTCACTGCTATATCCCCAGTGCCTAGCACAGTAAATGCTCAAATATTTGTTGAATAAATGAATTATGTATTTTTTACTTCCTTTTCTTTTATCTCCATCTAAATGGCCTAATTCATTCATATATTTGTTCAACTAATGTTTGTTGAGCACCTACAACAAGCCAGGCATTGTGCTGAGTGCTGGCTCTTATAAGGATTATATGATGATATGTATAAAATTGTAATGCTCACTTAAAATTTAAGGTGCAACTTGGTAATAGTGTCCAAGACAGTTGTTGAAAAGAATTGTATTTGTGTCTTTTTGGTAGACTAAATAGGAAGATAAGTATCTTGCATTTAATGACAAAATGATTATCCACAATTGCTTAACCTCCTCCTCTGGATTAACTATTTACACTCTATTACATCCTGGACCTTGTCATGCCTGTACCATCTCTGATCATAACTTCTGGTCTTTCCAAAGCAGAGGCTGCTGACTGTCCATCACTGCTAATTCTCTGCAGATACTTGGCTGCTTAGCTGAGATGACATCTACACTTCCCAGCATCCCTTGCAGGTTGGTGCCTACACATGACTAATTCCTGCTCAATGGATGTGAGCTCAAGTGACGTGTACATTTTTTAGTTGTCTAGACCAGCACTGTCCAACAGAAATATAACATGAGCCACATATGTAATTCTGAATTTTCTAGTAGCTGTATTTTTTAAAAGTAAAAAGAAACAAGGGAAATTAACTTCAATAATATATTTTATTTAACCCAAAATGTCTAAAATATTATCATTTCAACATGTAAGCAATATAAGAAAGTATTAATCAGATACCTTATATTGTTTTCTTCCACGCTCAGTCTTCAAAATCCAGTGGGTATTTTACACTCACAGCACATTTCAATGAAGATGCTACATTTTCATTAGAAATAGTTGATCTGGGCTGGGCACAGTGGCTCATGTCTGTAATCTCAGCACTTTGGGAGGCAAAGGCAGGTGGATCACCTGAACCCAGGAGTTCGAGATCAGCCTGGGCAACATGAGGAAACCCCGTTTCTATAAAAAATACAAAAATTAGCTGGGCATGGTGGAGCACACCTGTGGTCCCAGCTCCTAGGGAGGCTGAGGTGGGAGGATCACCTGAGCCCAGGAGGTCAAAGCTGCAGTCCTCTATAATTGTGTCACTGCACTCCAGCCTGGGTGACAGTGCAAGTCCCTGTCTCAAAAAGAAAGAGAAAGAAAAAGAGAAAAAGAAAGAAAGAAAGAAAGAAAGAAAGAAAGAAAGAAAGAAAGAAAGAAAGAAAAGAAAAAGAAAGAAAGAAAGAGAAAGAAAAAGAAAAAGGAAGCGGGGGAGGAAGAAAGGAAGGAAGGGAGAGTTGATCTGTATTTCAGTTTTATACAATTTGTAGTTGAAAAAGCACATTCAATATATCCAAGTTATTCAAACATCCTTAAAAGTTATTCAAACATCCTTAAAAATAAGTGAATGGAGTATGATTTTTCAAAATGTAAATTTAAACTAATTAGAATGAAATTAAATACAAAATTCACGTCCTCATTCTCACTTGCCATATTTCAAGTGCGCAATAGCCACAGATGGTCGCCATGGCAGACAGCTCAGGTGCAGATCCTAGAAAAGGTAGCCATGCACTGCTCTGTGCAATCCTTCTTCCCATTGGCTGGGAGGTGCTAACAACTGGAGAAGCTGGGCTAGAGATGGTAACTATGTATCGGGGTTGGCAAACCCTTCTCACCCACCTCTGAACTGTTATGTGGGAAGAAATAAACTTCCATTCTGTTTAAACCTCTGTATTTTCTGGTCCTTCTGTTGCAGCAGCTTCTCCTATACCTTCCATAATACACCTTTCAGCACTTTTGTTTCAACTGTTTCCTAAGCTCCCTGGAGACTTCCAATACCTCCCACTCCCAAACCTTTATCTTGGCTTGATCTCTAAAAGCAATAATTATTAGTAGTAATATCATCAGTACTAGTATTTCCCAGCTTACACTTCCATTAGAGCATTACTTCAATCACTCCACAATATTTCAGCCACTATCTCAAAAATTGCTCAGCCTCAGACTCCAATGGGTAGAGATTGCCTGGGTTTGAATTGAGGCTCCACCACCGTGATGGTTAATTTCATGCATCTACTTGACTGGTCTATGGGATGCTCAGACATTTGTCAAGCATTATTCTACAAGTGTCTACGAGGGTGTTTCTGATGAGACTGACATTTGAATAGGTAAACTGAGTAAAGCAGATTTTCCTCCCTAATGTGGGCAGGCCTTGTCCAATCAGTTAAAGGCAGAAATAGAATAGAAAGTCTGGCATTTCCATAAGTGAGAGGGAATTCCTTCTGCTTGACAGTTCTTTCAACTGGGACATTTGTTCTTTCCTATCTTCAGACTGAAAGTGCAGCATGTGCTCTTTCTGGCTATAAAGGTTACCAGCGTTCAGACTGTAACTACACCATCAGCTCTCCTGGATCTCCAGCTTGCTGATAGCAGATCTTGGGACTTGTCAGCCTCCATAATCACATGAGCCAATTCTGAATGAGTGAATGAATGAATGAATATCCTATTGGTTCCATTGTTTCTCTGGAGAACCCTGAGTAACACTGACTACTCACTGACTATGTAACCTCTCTGTGCCTCAGTTTCCTCATTTTTTAAATAGGGAAAATAATAATCCTCTATTAAATGTTAGTTATCATTATTGTTGTTGTTATTATTACAACATACTGCCAAGCACTGCTAGGGGAAAAGCATACATCATACAAGCACAAATGTGGAGACTTCAAATTCAACTCCAGTTTTGCTGGGTCACTCAGCATTCAGGGAAATCCTTTTTTTTAAATTTGAAATAGAGATAATTTAATTTATGAAGTCGTTTATGCAGATGTTAGAAGAGCTCATAAGCCTCAGGTAAGAGGAGATGTTTTTGCCATTCTTTCACTACAGGGGGAAAAGCAGAAGGCAGAGTTACTGGACGGGAATAAATGAGGACAACCCGGAACTGCGTGGAGGAACCTGGAGTCATGGAAGAGAAGTAGCTGCTGATGGAAACCACACTTAAAGCACAGGGAAAAAAAAGGGAGAAATACTCGCCTTTTTGCCTTATTCTGCCTTCCAAGCTCCAGCCAGTTCTTAATAGGGGCCATATGCTGCCAAGATTTAGCTGACAAGGTAGCCTGGGAAACACTACCTGCAGGGGTGAAGACCTGCCATACACATAGAGCAAGGGAATCACGAAGAATGGATCAGGAAGCACAAGGCCATGCACTATGTAGGCATACAATAGTTGTCTCACACTGAGCAAATGCAAAACCTACCTGCTGATGTTTATCCATGATCCTACTTCGCTCACAATTAGTGCGTCTCAGTGGAAACATCATCTTTTTTTTTTTTCACTTTTTTTTTTTTTAACTGTACTTTCAGTTCTGGGATACATGTGCGGAATGTGCAGGTTTGTTACATACGAATACATGCGCCATGGTGGTTTGCCACACCCATCAACCCATCATCTACATTAGGTATTTCTCCTAATGCTATCCCTCCCTGGGAAATCCATTTATACTCCCCTTGTCATCTCCCTCTCCTGTACCCCTCAGCAGCTGATGAGCTTGAAACCCACGTGATCACTTCTCTGTCCCCTAAGTTGGCCCCAGCCCCCTTGGATTGGACCCTGCCTTCCATTTTGTAGAGAAAAGTATGGCTCTCAGGCATGAACTTGTTAATTAATTTTGTTTCATACCCTTATCCTTTTCATCTTGCGCCCTCTCCCTCCTTAGGGACATTCTTCCCCCATTAACTTTTTGGTTTTTTTTTTTTTTTTTTTTTTCCTTTTTGACACGGAGTCTTGCTCTGTCATCCAGGCTGGAGTGTAGTGCAATCTTGACTCATTGCAACCTCCTCCTCCCAGGTTCAAGTTCTTCTCGTGCCTCAGCCTCTGGAGTAGCTGGGATTACAGGTGTGTGCCACTACACCCGGTTAATTTTTGTATTTTTAGTAAAGATGGGGTTTCACCATGTTGGCCAGGCTGGTCTCGAACTCCTGACCTCAAGTGATCTACCCGCCTTGGCCTCCCAAAGTGCTGGTGAGAGGTGACAGCGTGTTGGCAGCCCTGGCAGCCCTCGTATCCCTCGTTTGCTCTCAGAGCCTCCTCGGCCTTGGTGTCCGCTCTGGCCATGCTCGAGGAGCCCTTCAGCCCACCACTGCGCTGTGGAGGCCCCTCTCTGGGCTGGCCGAGGCCAGAGCCGGCTCCCTGAGCTTGCGGGGAGGTGTGGAGGGAGAGGCACGGGCAGGAACCGAGGCTGCGTGCGGGGCTTGCTGGCCAGCGCGAGTTCCAGGTAGGCGTGGGCTCAGCGGGCCGGCACTCGGAGCTGCTGGCCAGCGCCACCGGCCCCGGGTGGTAAGGGGCGTAGCACTCAGGCCAGCAGCTGTGGAGGGTGCGACGGGTGCCCCAGGAGTGCCCGCCGGCCGACATTGCACTCAAATTCTCACCAAGCCTCAGCTGCCTCCCCACGTGGGCTCCTGCGTGGCCGAGCCTCCCCGACAAGCTCCGCTCCCTGCTCCACGGCACCCGGTCCCATCCACCGCCCAAGGGCTGAGGAGTGTGGGCGCAGGCTAGGCGCGGGACTAGTGGGCAGCTCCACTGGTGGCCCTGGTGCGGGATCCACTGGGTGAAGCCAGCTGGGCTCCTGAGTGTAGTGGGGACTTCGAGAACCTTTATGTCTAGCTAAGGGATTGTAAATACACCAATCAGCACTCTGTGTCTAGCTCAAGGATTGTAAATGCACCAATCAGCACCCTGTGTCTAGCTCAGGGTTTGTGAATGCACCAATCAGTGCTCTGTGCCTAGCTAATCTAGCGGGACTTGGAGAACTTTTGTGTCTAGCTCAGGGATTGTAAACGCACCAATCAGCACCCTGTCAAAACAGACCAACCAGCTCTCTGTAAAACAGACCAATGAGTTCTCTGTAAAATGGACCAATCAGCAGGATGTGGGTGGGGCTAGATAAGGGAATAAAAGCAGCCAGCAGCAGCTGCCCGAGCCAGTAGTGGCTACCTGCTCAGGTCGTATTCCACGCTGTAGAAGCTTTGTTCTTTGGCTCTTTGCAAAAAATCTTGCTGCTGCTCAGTCTTTGGGTCTGCACTACCTTTACGAGCTGTAACACTCACTGCCAAGGTCTGCAGCTTCACTCTTGAAGCCAGCGAGACCATGAACCCACCATGAGAAATGAACAACTATGGATGTGCTGCCTTTAGAGCTGTAACACTCACTGTGAAGGTCTGCGACTTCACTCCTGAAACCAGCGAGATCACAAACCCACTAGAAGGAAGACACTCCGAACGTATCCAAACATCAGAAGGAACGAATTCTGGACACATCACCTTTAAGAACTGTAACACCACGAGGGTCCGCGGCTTCATTCTTGAAGTCAGTGAGACCAAGCACCCACTAATTCTGGACACACGGGGACTACAGGCATCAGCCACCGTGCCCAGTCCACTTTTCCTTCTTTTTCAGGTTCTAGCCTCTCCCTTTCCCATTGCTCCTTCTACTTTAACCAAAAATCAGGCCTGAGGCCATCATGTTAGAGGCATGGCTGGGTCCTCCTCCTCCCTGGTGCCCGATTCTCCTCCTACCCCACCTGTCAAGCTCTCTCAAACGCTGATCTGCACCTGCCATTTCCTGGCTTTAGTGCCACTCCCTCCAGAGCAGCTGGTGAAAGGAAATGAGCCATGCAGATTGCTGGGGTCGGAATATTCTAGACAGAGGGATCAAACTGCGCAGGTTCGGAGGTGGGAGTGTGCTTGGTTTCGTTGAGGAACAAACATCCAGGCCAGTGTGGAACAGAGGGAGAAAGGAAGAGCGTCTTGGCGGTGAAACCCAGACAGCAGCTGTGGTCCAGATGTGGCAGCAGGGAGTTGGCTTTGACTCTGAATGAAGTGGAGAGCTATGGGGGCGGTGGGGGAGGTGTGTGGTTAGAATACAAGTGGTGTGCTCTGACTTACATTTTAAATGTCTCCTTTGGCAGAGAGGCAATAGCAGAAACAGGGAGACCCATCAGAAGGCAATTACAATAACGCAGGCAAGAGAAGACAGGGCTTAGATCGGAATGGAAGCATCGCAGGCATCGAGAGATGCAGTCTAATTGGATATATTTTGAAGGCAGAGCCAAGAGAATCATCTGGTTCTATGGACATGGACTGTCCGAGAAAGAGAAACATGAAGGATGCCCCCAAGGCTTTGTCCTTCCTCACCTGCCACCCACCCATATTGCTGCCACCTGCGGCCACCTGGCCTCCTTCCCCAGGGCTGTCATAAGCGTTGCTTTTATAACCGCCTAAAATGTAAAACTCTAGCCTAAATTTGTCCCTAAAATTGCAAAGGTAAATATATATAATAAGATAATCATAGCAGGAAGACAGGGAAGAGAAAAAAAATGTGGCCGGGCACAGTGACTCACGCCTGTAATCCCAGCACTTTGGGAGGCCAAGGCAGGTAGATCACCTGAAGTCAGGAGCTTGAAATCACCCTGGCCAACATGGCGAAACCCTGTCTCTACTAAAAATACAAAATTAGCCGAACGTGGTGGTACATGCCTGTAATTCCAGCTACTGCAGAGGCTGAGGCAGGAGAATCACTTGAAACCGGGAGGCAGAGGTTGCAGTGAGCTGAGATCCTGCCATTGCACTCTAGCCTGGAAAACAAGAGTGAAACTCTGTCTCAAAAAAAAAGAAAAAGGAATGTAGTGAAAAATTAGTTAAATCCTCATCCGTCATGGCTGGCAGTCAATACATAATGTCCACAATTGATAAATCAAGAAACAACAGTTTTTGCATATTATGTAGAGATGTGGAGGTAACTACTAGAAGAAATATTTTGACCGGGTGCAGTGGCTCACACCAGCACTTTGGGAGGCCAAGGCGGGCAGAGCACATGAGGTCAGGAGTTCAAGACTAGCCTGCTCAACACAGTAAAATCCTGTCTTTACTAAAAATACAAAAATCAGCCTGGCATGGTGGCATGTCCCTGTAATGCCAGCTACTCAGGAGGCTAAGGTGGGAGGATCACTTGAACCTGGGGGCAGAGGTTGCAATGAGCCAAAATCACGCCTCTGCACTCCAACCTGGGTGACAGAGCAAGGCTCCATCTCAGAAACAAAAACGAAAAAAAACTATTTGTATTGTTTTGTTTCTTCCCCTCCACCCTCTTTTTTTTTTTTACAATGAACATATATTATTTTCGTTTAAAAATTTTTAAAAGCTCTTCTAGTCTAACAATTCTTCAGCTCAAGTCTCGTCATATCCTCCTGTGTTTAACCAGTGGTTACATTTCTTTATTTATTCAGCCTTTTTAAAATTCCCTTTATTGGCATTATAATGTTGATCTTGCCATAAATTTTTTAAAGAGCTTCAGCAAAACAGAAATGCTTTAGCTCCCAAATGACACTGCCTGTAAACACCGTTTATAAGCTTGTTTCCTGTAACATTTTTTGAGTAAAAGAGCTTAGAGTTTCAGATCAAATGAGCTGTTTGTATGTTTTGGGTTTTCTTTGACATAGCTCATGGCATATCTGTGTGTGCTGAATTTGCAAACGTGGCATGGAAACGATGACAGAGAACTAATTGGCATTGTTTCCAATTATTAAGCTGCTTGTTAAATATTCATACAAAACAAAACCAATCTTGGATGGCTCTGTGATTCCTAAAGCCCGAAGTGACTGGCTAAATGGCTTTTGCAATCTGGACCTACAATCTTGTCCTATGTCACTTTACTAATCATACCCTTCTTCTCCATTTCTGCTCACCCTAAGCCCTTTGTCACTCTGGACAGTAAACACTTTCCACCCTATAGGCTTTACCTGTGCAAGTTCCCCAGGCAGTCTCTTCATTCAAGGCCTAACTGAAACATCCCCTTTTCGGGGATCAGCCTTTTAGTGTAAAGCTTAGTGCCACTGTTCCCAGCCCAGGCTGGTTCCCTGGGCTTTTATTCTCTCAGGCTTTAGACCCTTGGGTCCCTTTATAACTGTCACCACCTATTCCATCCCCAAAGGCTGACCAATGAATGAGACCCTTGAGCTCTCCCTTTCTGTGCAGCCCCTGAACGTATTCATTCATTCATTCATTCATTCATTCTATAAATCTTTATGGAGCACCTATGGTCTTGCAGGCACTGTGCTAAACATAAAGACTACCATAGTGAGCAAGTTGCCGAAAACACAATCTAATGAGCAAGGTGGATGCTAAAGGAGAAATGACAACAGTGTCATGGGAACTTAAGCAGAAGATGTACCATGTGCTGAGAGAATATATAAATCAGAATAACTAAACAGAGAAGCAGAGAGAGTTGAAAGGAAGTGACATTTTAGCTGGTATCTCAACTTTGTGTAAGAATTTGGGAGGCCAGTGGGGGAAGGAGAAAAAAGACTGTCCCAGAACAGTAGAGCATGTGCAGAAGTCCGGCATGGCTGGAGAAAGAGGGAATGCATGATCAGAGTGGTGCAGGGGTGAGAAAGCAGGGTCAGGAGATGGCAGAGAGACAGGCAAATCCAGGTCATCAAAAGGCTTGTATTAAGTTGGTGCAAAAGTAATCACAGTTTTTGCCATTACTTTTAAAAGCAATGACATTGGTTCTGTTTATGTGATGAATTACATTTATTGATTTGCATATGTTGAACCAGCCTTGCATCCCAGGGATGAAACCGACTTGATCGTGGTGGATAAGCTTTTTGATGTGCTGCTGGATTCTGGCCCATCAATGATAGACTGGATAAGAAATGTGGCACATATACACCATGGAATACTATGCAGCCATGAAAAAGAATGAGTTCATGTACTTTGCAGTGACATGGATGAAGCTGGAAGCCATCATCCTCAGCAAACTAACACAGAAATAGAAAACCAAACACCACATGTTCTCACTTGTAAGTGAGAGTTGAATGGTGAGAACACATGGACACAGGGAGGGGAACATCACAAACTGGGGCCTCTTGAGGGGTGAGGGCCAAGGGGAGGGAGAGCACTAGGACAAATACCTAATGCATGCAGGGCTTAAAACCTAGATGACACTAGATGCAACCTAGATGATGGGTGCAGCAAAACACCATGGCACATGTATACCTATGTAACAGACCTGTACGTTCTGCACATGTATCCCAGAACTTGAGGTAAAATTTAAAAAGAAAGAAAGAAATCTATAGCAGGACAGAGCACTCCTTATTTAGTGAATACATTGTAATATATATATAATTAGAAAATAAAATATAAATAAGTTTTTTAAAAAGCAATGGCAAAAACCACAATTACTTTTGCACCAACCTAATAAATCTGCCTAAGGATTTTGGACTTTATTCCAAAGCAATGGAAAGCTATGGAGGGATTTAAAGCAGGGGAGTGACATGATCAAATATTTTCTACACATCTGTTTATTTCTAAGAAATACTCATGTTTTCAGAAAGGAAAAGAAAAATGCATTTTTAAAAAGGTACATATTATTTTGTAGCCTGCTGTTTATTTAGCAATACATTTTGGACACTTTTCCACGTTCGATAAATATTTGTTTGCTGGCCGGAAGCCCTGTTGGATTCTAACCTCCAGTTTTATTTTATTGAAGCTCAGACTTACAAAACCTCCCTGATTGCTCTTACCTCAGAAACTCTTACTGCTGAGAAAGTTATTCTTCTCATTTCTTAGGTCTGAAAAAGGTAGAAAAACATGGCCCTGTGTTTTAAGTGGCATTTTAAGAAGTCCAAAATGGATACTTTGTTCTCTCAGCTGTTTCTGCTGTGAAAGATCTCTGTGAATCTCCTTGTGGAAACTTAGTAATGTCCCTACCAGGAATAATCAACTTTTCCTTCCACTCTACATCCATTTAGGTTTGTGTGTTTCTCAAGCCTACATTTATTATATGGTATGCCAGTTACTTTTCTCTGTCTTCTTAGTTATTGCTATTCAAAAAATATCTATGAACACCTTAACTATACACCATTACTTAAACCATGAGGGTTGATGTAAAAGGAATCAGGTTAGAGTCTCAGTGCTCACATAGCTTACAGATTCATGAAGGCTACAGAGAAGTGCCAACAAATGTAATACTGAGTAATAATTATTTCATTAGGTGTTGAATACAGAGTGTTATAGCAGGGCATATATGAACATAAACTCAATCAGGAGGTCACGGGGCAACTAAGGCAGTCACACACAGCTCTCTGGAAGAAGAGACAGCTAAGCTCATTCTTTTAACCCACTCAAGTCAAAGGTCTGCCCCTATCACTCTAGTGAGACCGCTACTGCTCTTCTCAAAGTCACTAAATGACTATTTATAGTGACTATAGAGTCACTATAAACGACTCTCTTTAACCCAATGACCTTGCATCAATCTGCATTCTACATGATTTCTCTACAGGACTTGGCAATGCCCATTGTTCACTATTTTGTTCATTTATTTATTTGCCAGATATTTATTGAGAATATTATGTGCTGACCATGAGGATGCAGTAATGGGGGGGGTTGTTTGTTGTTTTTTATTTTTTGCTTTTTGTGACCACATATCTCCTGATTGCACACCTCACACCCTTCCTCCTCAACCTCCTTAATGAATACATTCTCTCTTCCTCCACCACCCCAGGTTCCTGTCTCCCATGTTCTCCCGCCAATGCCAGTTACTCCAATATCTTGAAGAAGTCACTGATGAGTCACAAATCTCCACCTCCAAATCTAACTTTTTCCCAGTCTCCAAAAGCATACTTTCAATTGCTTGCTGGACATTTTATGCAGAAAAAAATTGTTTTGTCTAGAGTTTGCCAAACACTGTGTGGATTCCTAGTAATAGAAGGATGAATGAGGCAAATTGCCTCCTCTCAAGAAGCTCACACTAAAGTGAAAAAGTTAAATCTAAATATCATCAGTTATACTAAGCATACATCCAAACGTATACATCACTGTCCATTCTTAAATACGAGAATTCTGGTGTCTGACAAGGTTTGTGTGATTTCATTGCACAACCCCACAGTTTGTCATTTACATAGTCTGCAGTATAAATTAGACTGTCTACAGTTAAACAGTACACAACCTATACAACCTTACATGACAGCTTCCACTGGACCCCATGTACAGCTAAGAAAATGATAGGCTGGAGCTGTCACCCATGATGGCTCACATGGTGGTTTCCCCAGTGGTCACTCCCTGTTAGGTTGATGGGTTAAACATGGATTATGTTTCCACACTTTACTTATCGAGTCCTTCAGGAGCAGAGCTCTGAAAATACCAGTCTTCTCCCAATACGGAAAGAAAAACAAAGCCCTGAGGTTGAGGGGCCCAATATTTAATCTTCCCTCCTTTTGTGAGGGTCCCAAGTAGATGTAAATCACTGAGATAAAATAATTTCTTTGCCGGACGCAGTGGCTCACACCTGTAATCCCAGCACTTTGGGAGGCCAAGGCAGGCGGAACACCTGAGGTCAGGAGTTTGAGACCAGCCTGGCCAACGTGGTGAAATCCTGTCTCTACTAAAAATACAAAAATTAGCCGAGCGTGGTGGTGGCTGCCTGTAGTCCCAGCTACTCGGGAGACTGAGGCAGGAGAATCGCTTGAACCCGGGAGGCAGAGTTTGCAGTGAGCTGACAGAGTGAGACCCTGTCTCCAAAAATAAAAATAAAAATAAAATAATAATAATAATAATAATTTCTTCACTCTGCAATCTAGACTCTATGCTGCAAACTGGTCGGCTATAATGTGTGTGCTTTGATTGGCCTTCATACATATTTTGAATTTAGCTGCCAACTAATTTCACATAAATATCCAGAATTTCAGCTTCATTGGAAAAAGTCTGAAAGACAACACTAGGCCCACATTCCAACATGGCTAGAGTCAGCTGCAGCTGACAGGAAATATGCTTTCTGTTTTAAAACACTCTTATTTTAGGTTCAGGGTTACGTGCACGGGTTTTGTTTTGTTTTGTTTTGTTTGTTTTTTGCTTTTTGTTTTAGACAGAGTTGCACTCTTGTCACCCAGTCTGGAGTGCAATGGTGCAATCTCAGCTCACTGCAACCTCCGCCTCCTGGGTTCACAAGCAATTCTCCCACCTCAGCCTCCCGAGTAGCTGGGATTACAGGCGCCCGCCACCACGCCCAGCTAATTTTCGTATTTTTAGTAGAGACAGGGTTTCACCATGTGGGCTAGGCTGGTCTCGAACTCCTGACCTCATGATCCGCCCACCTAGGCCTCCCAAAGTGCTGGGATTACAGGTGTGAGCCATCGTGCCCAGCCCACGGGTTTGTTATATTGGTAAATCGCATGTCACGGTTATTTGGTGTACAGATTATTTCATCATCTAGGTAATAAGCATAGTACCACATAAATAGTTTTTCCATTCTAATCCTCCTCCTACCCTCCACCCACAAGTAGGCCCTGGTGTCTGTTGTTCTCTTCTTTGTGTCCAGGTGTTCTCAACATTTAGCTCCCACTTATAAGTAAGAACATGTGGTATTTGGTTTTCTGTTCCTGCATTAATTTGCTTAGGATAATGGCCTCCAGCTCCAACCATGTTGCTGCAAAGGACATGATCTCATTCTTTTCGATGACTGCATAATATTCCATGGTATATATGTACCACATTCTCTTTATCCAGTCTACCACTGATGAGCATTTAGGTTGATTCCTTGTCTTTGCTACTGTGACTAGTGCTGCAACGAATATACGCATGCATCTGTCTTTCTGGTAGAATGATTTATTTTCCTACGCATATGAAAAACTGTTTAACATCACTAATTATTAGAGAAATGCAAATCAAAACCACAGTGAGATACCATCTCACATCAGTCAGAATGGTTATGAAAAAGTCAAAAAATAACAGATGCTGGCAAGGTTGTGGACAAAAGGGAATGCTTCTACACTGCTGATGGGAATGTAAATTAGTTCAGCCATTGTGAAAAGCAATGTGACGATATCTCAAAGAACTTAAAAGAGAGCTACGACTCAACCCAGCAATCCCATTATCAGGAAATCCACTTTCGGATTCTCCTCAGTGACACCCTGACTATTCCCTTCCGCGACCCGGCTGGCCTCACTCTGTCACCTGCTTAACCCCTGTCATCAGTCATATTAACTTCCAATTTTAAAAAATTCTTTTCACCCAGAAATGTCCTGTTAATTATTTTATTGATTTTCAGAGTCCATTAATTTATCGAATTTTCTAGTGATAACAAGTCTCTCGGCTATAGAATAAAAAATAAAAACCTACAACAGAACAGATTCCAAGAACTACTTTTCACATTGCACATGGCCAACCAATTAGTCCTGAAGAAGAACAGGTCCCTCCCTCATTTCTCCTGCAAAAGCCACCCAGCAATGAATACATTTTCAAAAGTCGTCTCTGATCTACCTTGGAATGAGCTCAGAGATCTCCCAGAGCCAGTGTAATTAGTTGTATCTCCCCTGCAGGGAGACCTGCCATTTTAAATTAACCCACTGCAGCCTGAACAGACATTGATGAAAGAGAAAACAGGATTCACAAGCAAGCTCACAGAAGGAAGCGCAAATCCAAGGAATAAGATACAATATTTTCATCCCAAAAAGTAGCAGACGTCCCAAAAATACCCAGCAAAGGAACAGAGCAGGCATTCTTGCTTATTGTTTTGAGCAATATAAACTGGTTTACTTTTTTGGAAAGGTTTTTTGTTGGTGGTGGTGGTGGTGTTTTTTGGTTGTTGTTGTTGTTTGAGTTTTGCTCTGTTGCCCAGGCTGAAGTGCAGTGGCATAAGCATGGCTCCCTGCAGCCTTGAACTCCTAGGCTCAAGCAATCCTCCTGCCTCAGCCTCCTGAGTAGCTGGGACTACAGCCACAGGACACCATGCCTGGATAATGTTTAAAAATTTTTTGTAGAGAGAGTTTCTTGCTATGTTGCCCAGACTGGTCTGGGAAAGGCTATTTAGAGGTTCATTTCAAAAGATCTATTTTGTGTGTGTGAGCACAGCTTTCTAGCTCCTCCACTCACCGGTGGTTAATAGAAGACACAGATGGGATGCAAGTGACATAGCAGGAGTTTCAAGGAATTTCTGCACAGTGCAGTGTGGACAAAACCAGACTAAAAGAGTTCTTTGAAGTCTGATATGCCATTACCCTTCTGGAAAAGGTGGTGTACTGGGGACATAATGGGGAGAACCTGCTAGAAACATCCATCCACCCCCCAGTCCCTGAAGTATCTTCTAAGTTGGAGGGGTTTGGGCTGCAGGCAAGGGCAGGGTGAGAGGCTTGGTTCCTGTGAAACCACCTTTGCAAAAACTTTAACAGTCAGAAAATTATGACAGTGAAAAAGATCTGACCTGACTCCATTTTGCTTCTAACCTCCAAGCTGTCCTTGTTCACTCCTGGGCATAGGCCAAATTACTTTGGGTTGAACTTATTATAGTTTAACTTTGAAACAAAGAGTATAGAAGCCCTTTCCCAAAACAAACACCCTTCTTGCTTGGGGACCAAACTGCCTTTGTAAGGTAACAAATTAGCCACAAGATTAGAAATTATGGTTTAGGAGTCACACAGCTGGAGGCCACAAGATTTTGAAATTCCCCAATTGCTCCTAGGGATAACATCACTATTGTAAAACCTAAGATTGGTGCTCAAGATATTTTTCAGACCCTCCACTCAATGAATTAGCTGGTGCCACCCAGATCAAAGAAATGGCTCATCTGGTCTTGTGGCCCCCATCCAGGAACCAACTCAGTGCAAGAAGACAGCTTCAACTCAGCTGATTTCATCTGACCGTACGAATCGGCTTCAGCACTCCCCAGTCCCTGGACCCCTACCCACCAAATCACCCTTTAAAAACTCTGGTCAGTCTCCAAATTTTCAGGGAGACTGATTTGAGTAATAATAAAACTCCAGTCTCCTATTCAGCCGACTCTGCATGAATTAAACTCTTTCTCTATTGCAATTCACCTGTCTTGAGAAATTGGCCCTATCTGGGCAGTGGGCAAAATGAACCCTTTGGGTGGTTACACCTGTAGCACAGGCTTCCTTGGGCTGTGACCAGCCCCATGGACTAAATTCCATGGATTCAGCAGGGGAGGTTGTCCTCCCCCACCCTACGAAGAAGGGGTGGATAAGAAGCCCAAATAAGTAACCAATTTCCCCAACCCATCCTGACCGATGCTTGGACAAACCACCTGGTTTTCACAAAGGAAGTTAAAAAAACAAAACAAAACAAAACAAAAAACACCACTCCCTTCTACAAGGGCACAGCTGATGCTCATGTGCTGGTAGGTGTTTCTTAATCTATTCCTCCTCCCCCTCATTACCTGCTCCCCCAGCCAGGAGAGTCTGTGATTCTAGAATTAACTTTACCAAAAGGCAGAATCTGAATGAGTCATTCCTCCCTTCCAGCTCCACCCTTCAAGGAAGCCCTTCCAGGGCCCCCCAACCTTGCTCTCAAGAGGAAACCTAGGCCCATAATTATGACACAGCATCTGGACCTCTGCCTCCCCCCACCTACCCTGCAGCCTTCCTCCTGCACCTGCACTCCAACCACAGGAGCTGTTTATTCAGATTCCTCAAATAGTCCCCGCTTCCTCCCACTGGGAATACTTAGCTTGCAAACATCCTCTGCCTTGTGTGCCCTTCCCTCCCCATCCCCACCCACTTAGTTCACTTAATTCCTACTCACCCTTCAGATCACAGCTCAAATATCACTTCCTCTAGGAAGCATCCCAGATCTCCCTGCCCGCTCCCAGTTACACACTCCCAATTTGTAATTAGCCTTTATTTGCATTTATTAGTATCATTCTTAGATTAACGTCCAACTAGTACCCCATAAATTGTAATCTCCTTGAGAGCAAAGACTCACCACTGTAGCCCTGGCACCTACAGCAGTGTCACTGAACATATTTTTGGGTATACTTAAAAGGGCTGAAGACTAAGCTTAGAATCCGGCTTCCCTAGATGAGCAGGGATGGGAGAGTGGGTTTCAAAACCCAAACTCAGGACTTCCTGGCTGAACCAACTCTCAACTGGTGATTGATGGAGTAAAACCTTTTCTTTGCAGATCCATGTTTGGTGAGATCCTTTTATATTGTTGGGGAAAACCTCTGTCATCTTTTATACCTTGTGTTATACACATGACACCTCTGGGTCCAGGATGTAGCATAGAGAGACTTGGGTTTCGTTTGTAGCATCTATGACAAAGCCCCATACAGGGGTCTCCCAAAGACTCTATTCCTTCCATTATTCTTAAGTCTTCTCTCCCCACCAGGCTCAATACCTCCTAAGCTTCTGAATTCCTCTGGGTTTTGTTTTGCCTTTTCTCCTTAAGTGTGGACTGGAAGGTTCCTCTTATAACCATCTGGGGAAATAAGAGAAGTATGAGGCATAGAAAAACATTTTGCAGTTCAAAGGAAGGAAACCTCTCTATAGAGTCAAGGAAAACTAACTTACTGCCCAAAAACAAAAGAGAAGAAAAAGAAAGAGGAAGAAGAAGAGGAAGATAAAGGTGAGAGAGCGGAAGGGAAAGAGAAAAGCACCTTTTTAATATTTGATGTGTGATCTCAACAAGATCCAATAAGTCTTTTTAATCTATGGAACTGGAGCGTGTAGTCATAATGAGAAATTAATTGTAGGTCAGGAAGGATTATCTAAAGATGAAAAGCACAATAATCTAATTAGAAGCCACTTTGGAGGTTGCACATAGGAGAGAAGGCCACACAGAAGACAGAATCAGTGAAGATACACTTGAGAAAACTCACTCCCCTCTCGCACTAAACTCGGAGGAAATAGCAAAGTGACAAAAAGTATGAGCAAACCCAAAAACAAATAACAAATCTCAAAAGGAGAAAACACACTACCAAATAAAAGAAGAGGAACTCTGGATCTAAATGAAGACAATAGCTTGAAAATGAAGACTGGACTTTTGCTTAGGCAAATAAGATCCACATGTAGAAATAATTGGGAAAAAGTTAACGCCAACAAGTATTCAGGGAGCAATATCATGTTGGCTTCAGACTTGCATTCTGCAATACTAAATGATAGAACAAAAAAAAAATGAAGCATTATTTACAAAGCACTAAAGAGTTATGACCAAAGATTTCTATGTCCAGCCAAGTTGTCATTTGGGGAGAAGTCATCAAAGAGTTTTCTGAAACATTGGCATGCAAAGATCCATCCTGAATAAAGTTCTTGAAGACCCACACCAGAAAAATGAAATAGCAATCAAAGATAAATACTCAAGAATAAGGAAACAGTGGCCAAAAAGAACATGTTGTGAGTACTGAAGCCAAGTTTAATAGAATAGACACAATAACTCCAAAATACTGTTTCAGTGTGGATACAGTGGAATAGACACAATAACTCTATATTGTTTTAGTATGGATACAAAGTTGATTTCCCTCCAAATGGTTTTTTAAATAATTTTAAAAAGTGATGGAATTAAAATCACAGAGACTGGGGAAGGGAAAAGTCTCAAAACTAATTTCTTATCTTCTATAGAAAGAAGACCCCCTAAATTGTAGTTCTGAAATTGATTTTGATCATTTTATAGGTTTAATTTTTTATTTTTCAATTTTAAAGGTATTTACTGATGGGATTACAATCAAAGTGCATGCCTCCCAAGGTTTTTCAAAAGGCAACAGAAATCAAAACAGTTAATTGAGGAAAACAATAAAATGAAAAAGAAAAAGAAAGAAAACATTGGCCAGGTGCAGTGGTTCATGCCTGTAATCCCAGCACTTTAGGAGGCTGAGGCCAGAGGACCGCTTGAGGCCAGGAGTTCAAGACCAGCCTGGGCAACATAGTAAGATGCACCATCTCTACAATATTAAGAAAAAAAATCAGCCAGGTGTGGCGGCATGCACCTGTAGTCCCAGCTATTCCGGAGGCTGTGACAGGAGGATTGCTTGAGCTCAGAAATTGGAGGCTGCAGTGAGTTGTGATCATGCCACTGCACTTCAGTCTGAGTGACAGAGTGAGACCCTGACTCAAAAAAAAAAAAAAAAAGAAGCATTAAAAACAAGATGACAAAACACAAGTAGGGTCACCAGTTAGAAAATGGCTGTTGCAATTGTCATGAGTCTGAGAGGGCCAGAACTGGGGTAGAGGCAGTAGGGATGGAACTAAAGCCCTGTCTGAGGGCCATTTAAGAACTAGCACCCAATGACTTGATGCCCAACTGGACATACGTGTGGAAATTGAAAGAGAGAGAAGACATCAAGGATCCCAGGCTCATATCCTGAGTGACCAGGACAGTGGTGCCACCGATGGAAAAAAAAAAAAAAAGCTTCAGAACATATTTCAGTCCAGCCTTGGACATATTAATCTGATGTGCCTGAGACATCTTAATGGATCTGTGAAGTAGGCTGTTCAGATATGTTGCTTGGGCAACAGAATTTTCACTACAATAGCAGAATAAATAGGGTCCACCCTGCCAAGATTTCCACCGATTACTATACCTGGAGGGATTTTTCAGTGCAAGACTTTACGAAGACCACAAAAAGATTTATTTAGAATTATATAGTCTCCACCAAGGAATGAGAACTATATACATTTTGCTCCAAATGGGGAAATAACCAAAAACAACCGAAGTATGAATGATTTACACCTGCAGTTCTGATTTTTGTTTCTATAAAAGAAATAGTAAAGGATAAGACGGTGGCATACTCAGCCCCCAGGCTTTTTTTCCAATTCTGACGCTACCACATAGCAGCTATTGTGCCTTGGTTCCCTCGCTGGTATGCTGGAGATAATTCCTATGTCACTGGGATGCTGTGAGGGTTGATACATGTAGAAGTCTCATCCCGTGCACAAGACTCAACAAACATTACCTGGTGCTGGTTTTATCAAGGTCCAGTTTGGGTTCTGTTTGTTTTGCCATCCAAGTTCTCTTCATCTTCCACTTCACTGTTTTCAATTTAGGCCTTATTGCTTTGTTTTGTTTTGTTTTTTTGAGACAGAGCTTCGCTCTGTCACCCAGGCTGGAGTGCAATGGCATGATCTCTGTTCACTGCAACCTCTGCCTCCCAGGTTCAAGCAATTCTCCTGCCTCAGCCTCCCGAGTAGCTGGCATTACAGGCACGCAGCACTATACCCAGCTAATTTTTGTATTTTTAATATAGGCAGGGTTTCACCATGTTGTTCAGGCTGGTCTCAAACTCCTGACCTCAGGTGATCCACCTGCCTCGGCCTCCCAAAGTGCTGGGATTACAGACGTGAGCCACTGCACCCAGCCAGGCCTTATTGCTATTTGCACAAATTATTGTTTATTGCCCATGTACTTGCTTAAAAGTCTGATTAAGTACCAACACTTTATTAATGGTTTTACTTCTCTCCCACAGGATTCTAAAAGCTTCAACAAAATACTAAATATACTTGACTAAAAAGTATGTTGATCAGCCAGGCACAGTGCCTCATGCCTGTAATCCCAACACTTAGGGAGGCCGAGGCTGGTGGATCACTTAAGCCTAGGAGTTTGAGAACAGCCTAGCCAACATAATGAGACCCTGTCTCTACTAAAAATTAAAGAAAAAAAAAACTTAGCCAGGTGTGGTGGCATGAACCTGTAGTCCTAGCTACTCAAGAGGCTGAGGTGGGAGGCTAGCTTGGGCCCAGGAGGTCGAGGCTGCAGTGAGCTATGATTGCACCACTGCACTCCAGCCTGGGCAACAGAGTGAGACCCTGTCTCAGAAAAAACAACAACAACAACAACAACGAAAAGTGTGTTGATCAAAATATCTAATTACATATCTTTGTGTGTGTGTGTGTGTGTGTCTGTACATGTATGGGTTCTTCTATTAATTTTCCCCAAATTACTATACTATTGGGTTCAAAATATGATGTCAGTTAAACATACCCTCCAAGATGCTCTACAGAATGCTGCCGCCCATTCCATATCCACTATGCATGGCGCTAGCCTTCTGCTTGTGATCTCACTGTTCTCTATGAGCCCCTCCCAAATTTCCCTGCAGACCCTCTCTCACAGTGGATCAGGCAAGTCCACATTTTGTCCTGCCTGTGGTTAACATTTTCTTCATTAGCTTGTGACACGTGTCGGTATAATTTCATTAATGGGAAGCCAGTCTTTGTAATCTGGGAGTGGTATCCACACAACTTGACAAGACCTGGGCCTTCTGTTCCATATGGATGAACTTCAGCTGTGTCCTTGTCTTACCTCATTCTTATGATTATAGAAAGAAATTCCCCAGAGCTTCCTCTTCATCTCATGGTAGTCTTCAGCTCTCTTTCCAATCAAGACTTGTCCTTTCAAACTCACTAATATTCCTATACTTCCATAGTAGAAACCCAGACAACATGCAGAACATTCCTCAAGTGGCACCGCCAAACCATCAAACCTTGTATAAATTACTTTTTACAAACATATTTTTTTCCCTACTGCATTTCCCTCTTCCAGTATTACAGATTTTCTTTCTGGTCAATAGTACCCATTGGGGCTGTCATGATACTTCATATAAGACAAGGTTATCAATTCCCCCAGGCTAATGGCTATAGAAGCTCATGGGACTTCCTATTCCATATCATCTAGCTACCTCCGCTTGTACCAATTCTCTCCATCTTCCTGGGTTGAAAATAAGATCCTACATTCTGTTTATTGGTTTTCTTTTTTTAACTAAAGTTCTCTGAGAACTAACACAGTGGCAGACACTTGCACTTCTGACTGATCTAATCTTTATGGCAACCCAAAAGTTAGATACTATTATTCATCTCGACATTTTAGAGCTGGTGGGGAAATAGAAGGACAGAGAGGTTAGGTAGTAACTTGTCCAAGGTCACACAGCTGGTAGTTAATGGAGCTGGATTCAAAGCCAATTGGTCTTCTCATACATTTGCCCTCCAGCCCTACCTGCCATCATATCTGTAAACCCACCTCTACCTCCCAAAGGCCCTTGTCCACCTTGTTCAACAAAACACACATTGCACCTCTTACACAGTAATACTTAAGAAACCCAAATATACCATCTGAGCTATACTGGCTTCCGCTGACATCCTGATTCGATGCAGTCAGGCATTCTTCAGTTTGTGTGGGTTTGTTTTATGTACCTTTGGAACAGTGGGGACTTTCCATTTAGAGCTCCTCTGATTCTAAACCCCATGCTCTTAATAATTTCCATAACATTGGAGGTGAGTTCTAGACAAGGCTTGGTGTGAAGTTTGGGTTAGAGATAGTCTGGCAGGAGGCTGTGGGTGGGGCTGTAGGTACAGATGTACAAGCATTGGGAACACATGTGGGCACTGGGCTATGTGGCATGCCAAGGATTATAGGATTATTTCAAACAGAGTAGATACAGGGGCATTGCAGACAGTACAGTATATATCTCCTAGCCCTTGTCATGAGCTCTACTGGGAACATCACTGTTTACTAACCACAGCAACCCAGCTGCACCCTTCAGCTGCAAAGCAGCTACTGGAAGTTGGGTATTTGCCAAGCAGCAGTGTCCATCCCACAGTCCCCTCACCTGAGACAGGGCACCTTAGCCATCAGAATTGAATCAAAGTTTTTTTTAAAATACATTCCTGCCTCTAACTGGGCATTGCATGACAGGGGCCCAGAGTGGCAACGTTAACAGATGACTCAAGTGCTCTATTTCAATCTGTTCCAAGTGCTGCAGTGACAGTCGATTTTTTAAGCCTTGTCATCTTTCAGAGCCATTAAGTCAGCAGGCACAGTTGTCTGGCACTGAGACATAGCTCCAACTTCACAAGGCTTAACAGACAATCCATAAAAGGCATTTTTTCTCCACTCAGTACCCACCCACCTCCCACCTCCAGCACTTCACATTTAAGAAAAAAAAAAGAAAAAAATGATATCGCTGCCCAAAACATAAGTAAATAAACAATAAAGAGTATGCCTTCAGTGCCCTGAATACGGTACTGCAAGAAGAATCTGCAAAGACATCCAAGTTATTCTTAGGGTTTTAAGTCTAAGGATGCAATACATGGTAATGTTTCAGCATGTGCACTCTGGCATCAAATTGCCTGGGTCCAAGCCCCAACCCTGACTCTTGCAAACAACGTGATTTCAGGATGTTGCTTGGCTCCTGTGAGCCTCAGTTTCCGCATCTGTGACATTGGTGGTATCAACAAAATTTACCTCCGTAAATTTTCAATTAAATGAGATGATGCATGCAGCGTGTGTGGCTTAGGGTAAGAGCACCATCAGCTTTAGCTGTTATTAGGAAAAGGCAGGGAGAGAGATTAACTGGATGAAAATCAGCAAAAATCCAAATTCTCAAAAGAAATGAAATGGAGTCACATGTACCCTAAAACTTAAAGTATAATAATAATAAAATAAAATAAAGAAATGAAATGGAGTCAGGGACAAGGATCTGGGATACAGTGAAGGGTGGAGCTACCGAGAGCTGGATTTCCCTAGGTTGCCGGAAACCCTTTTGTGTAATTCTTCTGCCTGTTTTAAAAGTAAAAATTAAAAGGTAGTAAGTTTCCTGCCTACTTCACAGCAAGGTGAGAAGATCAAACTCCTTGTGTGAGCTCTCTAGAGAAAGGGTTTACCTAAATAAAAATTATTTTGTATATCTTTATAGGCAGTAAAGGTAAAAGACTTTCTTTGAAATTAATTACAGAGTCAGAACTGGCCCTGTTTTCAAGTCCCTTTTTGGCCTCGTAAAAATGGAAGTGAGATTTCCCTGCAGGGCAGGAGAAAGAAATGTTTTCTTTAGCAGGGAACGGTGTGCCATTTCTCATTCAGTCTCCTAAGGGTGAGAATCCCAGGTATTCAGACCTCCATTTAGAGAATCTCAATGGGGAAATAATCATAATGTATCTCTGTTCCTCCAAGGTTATCAAGTGTTGTGCAGATATTAGCTAATTAATTCTCCTAAGTCAGCAGAGAAAACAGCTTCCGAAGATTTCTGAGCACTCTTAAAACGTAAATGAAGTCTCAACCTAGACTGCCCCTTCCATGCTAAAAGCATTCCAATGGCGATGAGTACACCTGGAATAAAAGCAAAACTCTACTTAGGAGACGTCAAGAATCTGGCTCCTACTCACTCCCGTTTCATCACAGGCTTGCAGCTTATTCTGCCTTGGGGTTTTAGCTCTTGCTGTTCCCTCTGCCTGGAATTCTCTTCCCCTCACTGTTCAGGTCTCAGCTCAGACGTTACCTTCTCAGAAAGGCCTCCCTGACCGCTCCTTCCCGACCACAATTCCTTGCCTCTGTTTCATTTTCTGCATAACACTTCTTGTCAAGCTAAATTGTCTTATGTGTTGATTTGTTCATTGGTTCTCCTACTAGACTATAAGATCCAGGAGGACTCCTGTTTGCTGCTGTAGCTGCAGCCCCTTTTGCTCTGCATGGCACATAATAGGTCCTCAATCATTTTTCCATGAGCAAATAAAGGAAAGCAAAAGGAATTTGATCTATTGGCCCATGCCCAAATTAACAGAGTATTAATAGGGCATTTTATAAACAGAACACTCTTCTCAAAAATGCTTAAAACTCCTACAGATGTGGCTGGGCACAGTGGCTCACAGCTGTAATCCCAGCACTTTGGGAGGCCGAGGTGGGCGGATCACCTGAGGTCAGGAGTTTGAGACCAGCCTGGCCAACATGGTGAAACCCCATCTCTACTAAAAATACAAAAATTAGCTGGAAGTGGTAGTGTGCACCTGTAACCCCAGGTACCTGGGAGGCTGAGGCAGGAGAATTGCTTGAAGCTGGGAGGTGGAGGTTGCACTAAGCTGAGATCATGCCACTGCACTCCAGCCTGGGCAACAGAATGAGACTCCATGTAAACAAACAAAAAAAAAACCGCCTACAGATGTTATCCCCTCGCTGATCCTGCCCCAAGCCTTCTTCCTTCGCCTTGAGTAGATTCAGAATGCTCTCATGATGTCAAATCCATGCCCTCAGAGGACAAAACACTATCCCCAAAGACCATGTGTCCTCTACCTGGCCCCCAGCACTCAGTCTGCTTTGGAGGTTGACGTTATAGTTCCACTTCACAGCATGGAATCTTGGGGACATGAAATCACAGGTTACTTACTGGGCTTCCAGAGCTGGAGCCTTGGAGATCCGTCCAACTCTTTTGATGTTGAGGAACCAAGATCAAGTGTAGGAGGGACTCACCAAAGACAAGTCCCTAGTGAGGCTGGATTAGACCCCATATTCCCTTGCTCCATTAAACCAGGAGATTCCCCAGGAAAGGAGACCTTTACATTGCTGCCCACCTACTATGTACCATGCACCAAGCTAGGCGCTGCACATACTTAACCTTGCTAAACCCTCCCAACATCCAAGTGAGGTGTTATTGTGCCATCTTTAACCAATAAATAAACTAAGGCTCAAAGAGTTCAAGTCAACTTGTCCAGATCACCAAGATGTCAAGAAAGGTAGCCATATTTCAATTCAAGTCTATTAAACTTTTAATACTGTTATTTCCATCCTCACATCCTCTTCCTCTCTCAGGGTGATGTTAACACGATCTTAAATGTCAAGTTGTATGAGCCAAAAATTCTCGCAAACACTAACATATTCCAATAATAATATTAAAACAAAAACAAGTGGCAGGGTGTGGTGGCTCACACCTGTAATCCTAGCATTTTGGGAGGCCAAGACAGTAAGATTGTTTGAGGCCAGGAGTTCAAGACCAGCCTGGGCAACATAGCGAGGCCCCCTATCTACACAAAAAAACCTTGAAATTTAGCTGGGCACAGTGGCATGTGCCTGTAGTCCAAGCTACTTGGGAGGCTGAGGTGGAAGAATCGCTTGAGCTCAGGAATTCGAGACTGCAGTGAGCTATGATCACAGCCACTGCACTACTCCAGCCTTAGCGACAGAGTGAGACCCTGTCTCAAAACAAAAAAACAAGTGATCTACATTATCTCAATTAATTCTCACAACAGCACTAGGAGGCTGAATCCAGGTTGCCTGGGTTTAAATCATCACCCTTACAAGCTAGGTAAGTGTAGTCAGGCATCACCATCCCTTTGTGTCTCAGTTGCCCCATGAGTAAAATGGGGGAAGCAATATTATCAACCTCATAAGGGTATTGTAAAGATTAAATTAGTTACTACACATAAAGTGCTTAGAGCCATGTCTGGCACATAATAAACATTAATTAATGTTATCTACTATTACTCATCATCATTAAGCAGAGGTCTGAAGAGAAGCACAAGGGCTTCCCCTTCATGTGGGTGACCTGTAGGAACCTCAAACTTAGAACATTGAAATGGAGTTCTTTACTCATCATTCCTCCCACTCTGCACCTGGATTCTGTGCAGCTGCCCAAACATGAAACATCCAACACCTGCTCTCTTTCCTCCCTCTCCCTCTCTACATTCAGGTGGTCACCTAGACTTAGGCAGGTCTTTTCAATCCACCCCTCCTCTCCATCTCCACTGCCTTTGCCCAAGTTCATGGTAGAGCTTATGCCCTATTCTCGTTATGGATCCTTCAAAATCAGTTTGACTCCTTGAGGCCAGCCAGCCCTTCCCACACAGTCAGTACTGGGATCTCCCTAGAAAACAGACCTGGTCCTATGGGCCAGCCATGTCCTGCTGCTTACAGACCTATGCTTGTCCTTCTCCTGCGAGCTGGGTTTCTCCAGCTTCCTGATCTCTGACTTATGGCCGGGTTTGGCCAGTGGGAGGCATGGGTGGGAGAGTCACGGTGGGAAAGGAAGAAGTCAGGGCATTTATCTCCCAGCCTCAGTGCACCAGGCAGTGACTCTGGAAGCTGCTGCATCTTTCCCAAGGTTTAAGCTCAACTGGACAGTCCCCACTGCAGTTCTAGTTCCTACTAATGCCTACTGGACAGCCCTCATCATATATCTAGTTTATAATGGCTCCTTCCAGACAGTCCCCAAGTGAATCTAATCCCACTGACCAGCCCCAGCTCCTAGATTCTACTAACACCACCTCCTCCCTCAGCATTCCCCCAGCCCAAACGGTGGTACTGGCTTCCTACTGGTGATAATAATCTATGAGTTGCTTCACATGCCCTGGTTGGTTTCTCCGCTCTTCCTTCACCTGTGTAGCTAATTCCTTCCCTTAAATGGCCTCTGTTAGAAGTATCTAGGGAGGTTTATGTTTTTCTGCTTGGATCTTGAGCAACTGATACTCCTTATAAATCCCCTGCTTAAATACTTTGCCAGAATCTCTATCTTTTTCTCCACGATTGCATTCAAACACCTTGGAATGTCCTTCAGGCCTATTGCAATGCAGGACTGGGTCACATTTGTAGACACATCTTCCTCTAGGCACACTAAGCTCCTGCCCCCCTGAAATTTCTCAGTCCCCCAAAACAAGCTATGTTGATTCCCAGCTCAGGGGCTTTGACTATGCCATTTTCTCCCCCTGAAATGCCATTCTCTGGCTGGCACATTCTGTTCACATTTCCAAGTCTGTCCCCGCAGTGCAGTCTTCATAGAGTGATCAGAGTGACCCTTTTAAAATTGGATTGTGTTATGCCGCTTCTTAAAACTCCAATATAAGATCCCAACTCTTTGCCATGACCTAAAGGATCTTGAATGACCTGACCTGACCTCCTCTCCTGCCACTCTCCCCTTCGCTTGCGCTGCTCCAGCCACCCTGGCCTCCTTGCCACTCCTTGAGCAAACCCAACATGGTTCCTCATAAAGTCCACGGCACCTCCTGTCCTCTCTTCCTGGGAGGCTCATCCCCAAGCCCTACCCATGGCTCCTTCCTTCTTGCCACTCAGGTCTCAGCCCAAAAGTCCTCTCCTCAAAGCTGCCTTCCCCTGACCACCCAGTCCAATGTTTCAGGTTGAATATCCAACCGAAATGCTTAGGACCAGAACTGTTTCCAATTCTAGATAATTCAGATTTTGAAACATTTGCATATGCCTACTAAGATACCTTGGAAATGGGACCCAAGTCTCAACATGAAATTAATCTGTTTTACACATGAAGAAATGCTCATCATCACTGGCCATCAGAGAAATGCAAATCAAAACCACTATGAGATATCATCTCACACCAGTTAGAATGGCAATCATTAAAAAGTCAGGAAACAACAGGTGCTGGAGAGGATGTGGAGAAATAGGAAAACTTTTACACTGTTGGTGGGACTGTAAACTAATTCAACCATTGTGGAAGTCAGTGTGGCGATTCCTCAGGGATCTAGAACTAGAAATACCATTTGACCCAGCCATCCCATTACTGGGTATATACCCAAAGGACTATAAATCATGCTGCTATAAAGACACATGCACACGTATGTTTATTGCGGCACTATTCACAATAGCAAAGACTTGGAACCAACCCAAATGTCCAACAATGATAGACTGGATTAAGAAAATGTGGCACATATACACCATGGAATACTATGCAGCCATAAAAAATGATGAGTTCATATCCTTTGTAGGGACATGGATGAAATTGGAAACCATCATTCTCAGTAAACTATCGCAAGAACAAAAAACCAAACACCGCATATTCTCACTCATAGGTGGGAATTGAACAATGAGATCACATGGACACAGGAAGGGGAATATCACACTCTGGGGACTGTGGTGGGGTCGGGGGAGGGGGGAGGGATAGCATTGGGAGATATACCTAATGCTAGATGACACATTAGTGGGTGCAGCGCACCAGCATGGCACATGTATACATATGTAACTAACCTGCACAATGTGCACATGTACCCTAAAACTTAGAGTATAATAAAAAAAATTAAAAAAAAAATAAAATAAAATAAAAAAAAAGAAATTAATCTGTTTTATATACACACCTGATACAATTGTATATCAGATAAAATATACAATATTTAAATTTTATACAATATTTTATTGTAATTTTATGCAATATTTTTAGTAATTTTGTGCTCCCATCCGCTGAGGTCAGGTGTGGAATTTTCCACTCGTGGCATCATGTTGGTGCTCCAAAAGTTTTGGATTTTGGAGCATTTCTAATTTCAGATTTTTGGATGTGTATTTGTTAGTGAATCCTCTGAAACCCAACCCAAAGTTGACTCAGATCGCTTCCTCCTCACAGATGTACAGAACTCTGTGTATTTGCCATCATCATCATAATTACTAAGATTGGTTGAACACTGCACTTCCTATGCATGACACACTTTCTAAGAACCTCACGTGCATTATTTCATTGAATTCTCACCACAACTCTATGACCAGTACTGTTATCATCCCTTTCACAGAAGGGGAAACTGAGGCACAGAGAAGGCGGTAAAGTATCTACAGTCACTCAGGTGGTGACGAGCAAACCCACCGGATTGGGGACATCCCAAGGGTAGGGAAACTGTCCACATTCCTTCCCTGTCAAGCATTTATTGAGCACCAATGGTCTGCCCTGTGCTAAGCACTGGAGATACGGTAGCAAAAAAGACATAATGGCCTCTGCTTGCATGAAACTTGGGTTCAGGAGGGAACACACAATAAACCAAAGTTATTTACATTGTTAATTACATTTGAGCTACATGCCTGGAAGGAGAAGTACAGGGTGCCCAGTGAGTAAGGTGTACGGGTACTGGAGGCTCAGGGAAGGCTTTCCTAAGAAAGAGGCCTGGATGGCAGAAGAAAGGAAAAGGCTTTTCAAGAAAATAGAACTTCTCCATGCAGAGGCCTTGGGCAAAAGGGATCTAGATGCTTTAAGGAACTCAGAGGAGACCAATGTATAATAGCTCCAAAGGAAGGCAGTGGGAGAGAGAAAGGTGGAGGGGGAAGTCATGCATGATTATAGGCATTTCAAGGCCTTCAGGCTTCATCATTTCTGTAACCTCAGCACATGGAACACAGTGGGCACTCCATCATGGTTTGCAGTGGTTGTTAGTGTTTTAAATGAACAAAGCAACCATTGAAAGAATGAAGAAGTGATTTTGAGCATTTGGGCTGCCAGCAGCTATTCTACCTACCAGTTTTCCAAGTCAGAAATATTTAAAAGAGAAGAAGACTTTAGATTTTGTTTAAAAAAAAAAAAATCCCACCAGGTAGAAATTGGCTTTCGAAACAAAAAAGACTGGTCTTTTTGCATTGGGAAGGGTTTATACTTACATTATTGGTATTTTGGACAGTCGTTACCAAAAACCATAGAAAAAAGGCTAACAGAAATCTATAGCTATGGATCTTTTTTCATTTTTACTTTTTACTGAATCTGAGCTCAACTGATGCTCATTGCCAACAAGAATCTATGGTTTGGGGGGAATCTTTTATTTGTAATTATTTGGTCTCTGAAATAGGTCATGTGATTTATGGGATAAGTTGATTAGGGAAATAACTGCATGAGCCCTGAAGAGAAGACCAAGTTTGTATCATTTGCCCTAGAAAGTAATGGAGATTAAGAGATAGGCTGGGCACAGTGGCTCATGCCTGTAATCCCAGCACTTTGGGAGGCCAAAGCGGGCCGATCACTTGAGGTCAAGAGTTCGAGACCAGCCTGACAAACATGGTGAAAACCTGTCCCTACTAAAAATACAAAAATTAGCCAGGAGTAGGGGTGGGCACCTGTAATCCCAGATACTTAGGAGGCTGAGGTAGGAGGATTCGCTTGAACCTGGGAGGTGGAGGAGGTTGCAGTGAGCTGAGATCGCACCATTGCACTCCAGGCTGGGTGACAGAGCAAGACTCTGTCTCAAAAAAAAAAAAAAAAAAAAAAAGAGAGAGAGAGACAGAGAGTGTGACTCCCTGTCTATAAAGCCCTATTTCTGGGCTGGAGATGCATCACCTCTACAACTGACCAAGAAAAATAAATGTATTCTCCTTAAAGCCCCCAGAAGGAATGCAGCCCTACCCACCTGTCGGTTTCAGCCCGGTGAGACCCACTTCAGACTTCTACACACCTATTCATTTGTGTTGTTTCAAGTCACTAAATTTGTAGTAATTTGCTACAGCATCAACATGAAACCAATATAAGAAGCCAGATGCAGTGGCTCATGCCTATAATCCCAGCACTTTGGGAGGCCGAGGTGGGTGGATCACTTGAGGCCAGGAGTTCAAGACCAACCTGGCCAACATGGAAAAATCCCATCTCTACCAAAATACAAAAATTAGGCCAGGCACAGTGGCTCACACCTGCAATCTCAGCACTTTGGGAGGCAAGGCAGGAGGATCACTTGAGGTCAGGAGTTCGAGACCAGCTGGCCAACATGGTGAAACTCCATCTCTACTAAAAATACAAAAATTACCTGGGCATCATGGTGGGTGCCTGTAATCCCAGCTACTCAGTAGGCTGAGGCAGGAAAATCACTTGAACCTGGGAGGCAGAGGTTGCAGTGAGCCGAGACCACACCACTGCTCTCCAGCCTGGGCAACAGAGCTAGACTCCATTAAAAAAAAAAATACAAAATACAAAAATTACCCAAGCATGGTGGCACACACCTGTAATCCCAGCTACTAGGGAGGCTGAGGTAGGAGAATTGCTTGAACCTGGGAGGTGGAGGTTGCAGTGAGCCAAGATCACGCCACTGCACTCCAGCCTGGGCAACACAGAGAAACTCTACTAAAAAGAGAGAGAGAGAAAAAAAAGAATTAGAAAGAAAAAGAAAGAAATCAATATAGAAAGTATAGGGGAGACAATAATCTGATTGGCATCACATTTTTAATTAACAACAAATATTAACTGGAAAACAATGGAGCAATATCTTCAAATCTGTGCAAGGCCATGGCAACAGATTTAAATATCAAAGGGAAATTGAAGAAAGTCTAACAAAATTAAAACTTAAGTAATTGACCAAAGAAGAAGAAAACCTAAACAGATCAATAACATGAACGATTGGAAAGGTCAAGATCTACCATTTTAAAAATCACCACACTTGCATAGATTTACATCCAAGTTTACCAAGCCTTAAAAAAAAGATAATTCTTCCTATATTATTAAAGTATCTTAGACTACAGAAAAAAATGAAACTCCCCAAGTTGACTATGACTTCGAAGAAGTTAGCAAAGCACTTTGCACAAAGCTCTTAGAACCATTCTGCCTTGTTCAAGTCATGGCTATAATACTTACTGGCTGTGTGACCTTGGGCAAGTTATTTATTCTCTTCCTTTCTCCACTCCCTTCTCTGTTAAATGACGAGGAAACTCTACTTCATGGAGATTGTTGTGAAGATTAAGTGAGTTTATAACTATCAACTGCTTAGAACAGTGTCTGGTGCCTATTAAGGCCCACATGCATACATATTTGATATTACTACTTTTATGAAATTAGAATCACCTTATTAGTTAAGCCTGATGAAGAAAGCACAAAAACAGAAAGCCACAGACAAATTCATTTATGAATACAGATACACATTTGTAAATAAATATTAGAAAATTAAGCTCATCAGTTCATCAAAAGAATAATACACTTATATTAGGAGCACAAGAATGGCTTAACATCATAGCTGGGCATCATGGTGGGCACCTGTAATTCCAGCTACTTGGGAGGCTGATGCAGGAGAATCTATCACTGTGATCCATTATATCTACCACTTAAAGTAGAAATTTCAGATGCTGTATGGTTGTAAGATAAACCTATAAAAATGAAGAGCTTTTCTATCAGTAATTATCACATAGTACTTTTTATTTTATTTATTTATTTTTTTGATACAGGATCTCGCTCTGTTGCCCAGGCTGTAGTGCAGTGGTGCAGTCACAGCTCACTGCATCCTCCATATCCTGGGCTCAAGCGATCCTCCCACCTCAGCCTCCTAAGTAGCTGGGACTACAGGCGTGCCACCGCATCCAGCTAATTTTTGCATTTTTCTTCGTAGAGACAAGGTTTCTCCATATTGCCCAGGCTGGTCTCAAACTCCTGGCTCCAGTAATCCTCCAGCGTCAGCCTCCCAAAGTGCTGGTATTATAGGAGTGAGCCACTGCGCCCAGCCCCACATAGTACTTTTAATAATTAAATAAACTTAGCAAAGTCAGTGTGGGCAATATGAGAAGGTCATGGAATGCTAGTCCAAGAAATCTGGTATTTATGAAATATATAGCAGGAAAAATTCAAGATGCCAAATAACATAAATAGGTCTATGTCTTTGGAGATGGATAGCAGTGAGGATTCTGAAGACAGAGAGACCCTTAGGAAATTATTGCAATAGTCCAGTCAAATGGTAGAGGAAAATTGAGCTGAGACAGAGGTCTTTCCAGAGGAATAATCGCTGGTACTGCTTTGGAGAAATAAACAGAATTTGTTAACTAAAGTCCAGACTGGGTAGACTGTTTTTACTACTAGGCTAAGGAACACGGGTGAAGAGAGTATTTCGGGAAAGATGACATTGAGTTGAGTCAAGCTGATTTTGAAGCACTCCCAGAACACCCACTGGTTAGAAAGGCAGATCAGAAGCTTCAAATAAAAGCAGGGACTAAAAAATTAACAGAGAGATTATTTAAGAAGCAACGATTCTGGAGCTACGAGAGGACATGAGGTCACCCAGGGAGAATGTGTAGCCTGCAAGGAAGGCTGAGACAGAACCTCAGAACATGCTGACATTTAAGGGATGGAATGAAAACAGCCGGTCAGTAAGAAGTTCTAGTGGTTGTTGGAGAGCCAAGAGCATGCAGAGCCCCATAAACTAGTGAAGAGATCCAAAAAGGATCACAAACCCAGCAGTTTGGAATGCCAAAGCAGGATCAAGGCGGAGGAGGAGCATTCAGCAAAGCAGCCTGCAGGTCCTTAGGAGAAACAAGTTCAGTGAAATGGGCATCTTGCAGCCCATTAAGCAGAGATAGAAAGTAGGTGGACTAAAGAATCCAAACGGCTTTTCAGTAAAAGTGGGTAAGAGCTTCAATTTGGGGATCAGGTTAACATGGATTCACATCTCAGCTCTACTGTTGGACATTTGTCAATCATTCCATATCTCTGAGCCTAACTTTCCTTATATGTAAAATAGGATAGTCCCAGTACTATCTTCGTAGGAGTTATTGTGACAATGGAGATAATCCATTAAAGGGGCTTAGATTGGCATCTAACATAGTTAAGAGGTCAGTAAACTTGGGGGTATTTGCGGGGCACAGTGGCTCATGCCTGTAATCCCAGCACTTTGGGAGGCCAAGGCTGGTGGATCACTTAAGGTCGGGAGTTCAAGACCAGCCTGGGCAACATGGTGAAACCCCATCTCTACTAAAAATACAAAAATTAGCCAGGCATGGTGGCGCAAATCTGTAATCCCAGCTACTCAGGAGGCTGAGCCAGGAGAATCGTTTGAACCCAGGAGGCAGAGGTTGCAGTGAGCCAAGATCGTGCCACTGCACTTCAGCCTGGGAGACAGAGTAAGAGTCCGTCTCATAAAAACAAAATGAAACAAAACAAAACTTGGGGGTATTATTGTTATTTCAATAAAATAGATGATGATCCCATCTGCTGAGAAAGGGATGAAAGCAGGTGGAAAGGGAGGAACAGCTGCTTACGTGTGTTTAAATAGACTACTTCCCAAAGCTTTTTTTTTTTTTAAATAAAAAATGACCAGACAGCTGAGATGAACTTGAAATAGACCTGGCCATCCAACCCAGCCAGACCACTCTTCCCAGAATCACTCACTGACTGAGCACTGGAGTGGTGGGAGCGGAAGAAATAAATTGTTGGGAGAATTGTTGGCTTGAAGAATGGCAAGGGTTAAAATGATCTGGTGTGGGAAAAGGACAGGATTTGAGCACAATAGGGAGAGCTCACTTAGACTTGGAGGCCGGGGCAGAGTTGTAGGAGTCATACCAGGGAAAGATCAAGCTAATTTATAGGAAGGAAAAAATCTAGAAATGAGGAACTTGAGTCGGAGGGGGTGATTCAGAGAACTGAGCATATAACCAGTCATGCTTCTTCCATTTTTTCGTATGGTCACTCTCTTACCTAGATACCTATGATACATTCAATAATCATTACTTTGGCCAGACACGGTGGCTCACACCTGTAATCCCAACTCTTAGGGAGCCCAAGGCAGGAGGATTCCTTGAGCCCAGGAGTTCAAGATCAGCCTGGGCAACATGGTGAGACCCTCTCTTTACAAAAATTTTAAAAATTACCCAAGCATGGTGGCATTCACGTGTGGTCCCAGCTACTCAGGAGGCCACTTAAGTCCAGAAGGTCCAGGCTGCAGTGAGTCATGTTCATGGCACTGCACCCCAGCCTGGGTGACAGAGAGAGAACCTATCTCAAAAAAAAAAAAATCATCATCATCATTTCTTAAAACAACATTAATCATAGGTCACCTTTTTAGAGGCAAGCAGGCATTCTGTTAAACACAGTCCCCATATCAATTCTATGGGTCAAGAAGCCCTTGATGCCCATTACAGGTAAGTAAACTTTCACAGAGTGACAGGACTAAGATTTGAACCTGGGCAATCTGAATCCCAAGGCTGAGTAACCACAGCACATAACTACAAGCAGGGCATTTCGGTACGCAGCTTCTTGGATGACCTCAATACTCCCTGCCTCCTGGTAGCCCCACTCTTGTGTAATTCCCTCCCCGCTTGTGTGTGGGCTTTATTTAGTGGCCGACTTCTAGCAAGCAGAATGCAGAAGAGGAGAGATGTCACTTCTGGAATTAGATTACAAAGAGATGGCATCTTCCGTCTGGAGCACTCTCTCACTCTCACTCCAAGGGAAGCCAGCTGCCATGTTGTGAGCTGTCCAAGGATCCCAGTGACAAAGAACTGAGGAAGTCCTCTGGCCAGCAGTCAGCAAGAAACCGAGACCCTAGACCCTTAGCTCCAACAGCCTACAAATAACTGAAACCTTCCAAAAACCATGGGAGGGAGCCTAGAAGCAGATTCTCCCCAGCTGAGACTTCACATGAGACCACAGCTCCAGCATGTACTCTGACTGCAACCTGGTAAGAGACTTTGAGGTCTGACTGCAACCTGGTAAGCAACCTCAAGCCAGAGATACACAGGAAAGCCATGCCCAAATTCCTAACCCACAGAAACTGAGACAATAAATGTTTGCTGTTTCAAGCTGCTAAGTTGTGGAGTGATTGGTTATGCTGCAATAGTTAGTGAGTGCATCTACTCTGTGCCTAACACTTCCTAGATGTTAGGAATAAGACTTGGTCCCTGACGTCTGAGCATTTATAGGGGAAACAATGATATAAACAAATGATTCCAGCACAACATGGCCCAGGGTGGAGAATTGCACTAGTGGGCAACTGTAATGGAGGGAAACCAGAAAATATTCACAGAGGAGGTGAAATTTGGTTTGCATCTTGAAGGATGAATCAAAGCTAGCTAGACGGATGAAGGGGAATGGATAGTCAAAGCAAAGAGAACAGATACATGCCAAAGTACAGAAGATGAAACAGCAATTAAATATTTGTGGTTGAGTGTAGCTGACAGTAGAGACAACCAAGTAATGGAAAATCTTGCATGCTTTGCAAAAACCTCTGAACTTTCAAAAGACTGTCATGTACAATACATACTTGATTTATTTGAGAAGCTGCACTCTTTAGAAGTCATTTTTAGGTCAGAGGTCACAAGCTGGCATCCCTTGGAGAATATGGCCAGCACACATGCTTCTTTGGCCCTCAAAGTTATTTTACTAGTTTGAATTAGTTATTAACATTTAACAAATAAGAGATTTCAGATGAAGATCCACATTTCCAGCTTTGATTAAAATATCAGAAGATCCCAACAGGTGTGGGGATCACACCTCATTCAAGCTCAGGAGTTCAAGAACAGCCTGGGCAACATAGCAAGCTCTTGTCTCTACTAAAAAAAAAAAAAAATTAATAAGCCAGGCATGGTGGTGCATGCCTATAGTCCCAACTACTCCGAAGGCTGACTCAGGAGAATCACTTGAGCCTGAGAAGTTGAGGCTGCAGTGAGCTGTGATCATGCCACTGCACTCTAACCTGAGCAACAGAGTGAGGCCCATCTTAAAAGAAAATATCAGAAGATCTAAACACTGGGATAGCGTTTCCATGTAGCAGTTGGCTGGAGTGAAATGGTAGCTGTCCCTTTTAGACAGAACATGCACACTCTACCAGAGTTCCCATCTGGCCAACTGAAGGGATTTGACTTTGCATCTCCTGCACAGAGAAGATAAATGTGTACTCAATATAAACATCGCATCTGTGAAGGGATGCATTGGTGAACTCCCATCACCTCAGCAAATGAGTGACCGCTTGGAAGGATCAAGCAGAAAAAGTATTGATTTTGGGCAGTGATTCCTAGACTTTAATGTGCACACAAATCACCTGGGGTCTTGTTAAAATACAAATTCTGGTGCAGTAGGTCATAGTGAAGCCTGAGATCATGCATTTCTAACAAGCTCCCAGATGATACTAATGCTGCTGGTCCCAGGACCACACTTTGAGTAGCAAAGGGCCAGGGGGCCTTGGCATTGCACTCTACCCTGAGAGTCAGGGTTCTTCTGGGACTACAGCTTATCCTGTCTGCTGAAACAGAGCCTCTTCTAATTGGAGTCAGCCCTGGATTGGGGCTGGCATGGGGATGGAAGTTGAGAGAAGACAAAATAATCAGTGTGCTATTCCTTCCAGAGTTTTGTAGAACTTGTGGAAAGTAAAGTGACATTTATTGACATCTTTCATGTGTTCCAGGTTATCTCAATCAACATGCACACACACCACCACCACCACCACCAATGACAACAACATCTATAAGGTAAGAAGAGAGAAAGGGTAAGAAAGTGCACTCTAGAGCCGAACTGCCTGGGTTCATATCCCAGTTCTGCCATTTATTAGCTGTGTGACTTTAAATGTTACTAACAGCTCTCTGCCTCAGTTTCCCATCACCAAAATTGGGGATCATAATAGTACCTACCTCATAAGCTGCCGTGAAGATTAAGTGATGACACATGGATAGTGCTCAGGACAGTGTCTGGCATCTAGAAAGTGCCCAACAAATATTTGCTATTAATAATATCCCTTCCTTGTGAATGAAGAAAACAAGGCTAGCAGAAGTTAATTAATGTGGGCAGAGATTAAGTAGGGGGGCCAGTTTTTGTCTTTCCAATGACCTTAAGGAGTAAGGCACATGAAGGCCCAAGTGAGACCATATCTGGAGAGAAAAACAGTCCATACCCTTCCTTGAGGCCCTTTTCTATCCCATTCTCCAGTTTAGTCTTGTCTCGGAGACACTGGCTTATGGTAATAATTATAACACGTAAAAGTTATTGAATGTATACATCATCTCATTTAATTCTCACAACAATTTTGTGATGTAGGCACTACTGCATTGTTATTCCTCAATTTTGCAGATGCATGTTCCCCAAGCTCACATACTTGGCAAGTTCCAATTCTGTATAAAGTCATCCAGAAAATAGGACAGGGAAGAATACTCCCCAGCTGACTCTATAAGACCACTATCACCCTACCATTAAAATCAGACAAAGATATTACAGGAAAAGAAGGCTGCAGATGGATATTCTTCATGACTATACATGTAAAACTGCAAAACAAAATATTAGCACATTGAATCCCACAATACGTAAAAAGGATAATACATTATGATGAGTAGTGCTTCATCCCAGAAATGCAAGGTTGGTTTAACATTCAAAAACAAATCAAGTAGTTTACCAAATTCACAAACTAAAAAAGAAAAAAAAATTATCTCAATAGATGCAAAAAACTCGTTTGCAAATATTTAACAACATTCGTTTCTAATAAAAATTTTCAGCAATGTAGAACCTGAAGAGAACATTTTCAACTATGTAGCATCTTCAAATAACCTATAGCAAACATCATAATGAAAGAATAAGTGCTTTCCTCTGAGGATAAGAACAAGGCAAGTATGTTCACTATCACTGCTTCTATTCAACATTGTACTAAAGGTTCTAACCAGTGCAGTAGTGCAAAGAAAAAAGTGGCATTCAGATAGGAAAGAAGTAAAACTCTCTTTCTTCACAGATGATGTGGTCATCTATGCAGAATATCTGATAGAAGCAACAAATAAGCTACTAGAACCAATAATTGAGTTTAGTGAAGTTGCAGGATACAATCTCAAGATACAAAAACCTATTATATATCTATATGATGCCAATAAACAACCAGAAATTGAAATTAATAAACAATACCATTCACAATAACATCAAAAATATTAAATACTTAGAGATAAATCTGGCAAAAGATGTGAAAAACTTATACTATGAAAATTACTAACTACTGCCAAGAGAAGTTAAATACCAAAATAGGCCAGGCATGGTGGCTCATGCCTGTAAACCCAGCACTTTGGGAGACCGAGGCAGGTGGATTACTTGAAGTCAGGAGTTCAAGACCAGCCTGGCCAACATAGTAAAACCCCATCTGTACTAAAAATACTAAAATTAGCTGAGTGTGGTGGTGCATGCCTGTAATCCCAGCTACTCAGGAGGCTGAGGCAGGAGAATTGCTTTAACTTGGGAGGCAGAGGTTGAAGTGAGCCCAGATGGAGTGCACCACTGTACTCCAGCCTGGGCAACAGAGATACCATCGCAATAAATAAATAAATTAAATAAATAAATAAATAAATAAATAAATAAATAAAATGTTGGTCTTGAACCTATACTTATAGGTTCAAGAAAACTCAATATTGTTAAGATGGTGTAAATTTTCCCAACTTGATGTATAGATTCAATGAAATCCAAACAGAAATCTCCAGGAAGCATTTTTTGTAGAAATTGATGCATCCTAAAATGTATATGGTACTGCAAAGGACCTAAAATAGCCAAGATACCTCTGGAAAAAAAAAAAGGAACAAAGTTGTAATGCTAACACCATCCAAGACTTATTACAAAGCTGTAATAATCAAGACAGTGTAATACTGGCATAAAAGATGATAAATAGATCAATGAAATAGAATACAAAAATCCATAAATAGCCCCATATATATGGACAGCTGATTTTTAACAAAAATGCAAAGGGAATTCAGTGGAGAAATTAAAGTTCCTTCAAAAATGTACTGAGAAAATTAGATCCCAATATGCAAAAAGAAAAACGAACTCCTATCCATACCTCACATCATATATAAAACTTAATTCAAAATGGATTGTAGATCTAAATATAAATCCTAAAATTATAAAACATTTAGGGCATTGAAAAATTTAATCTTGATCTAGGCAAAGATTTTTTAGATTCATCATCAAAAGTATGACCCAAAAAGGAACAAACCGATAAACTGGACTTCATCAACTTAAAAAATGTTTGCTCTTTAAAAGACATTGTGAAGAGAATACAAGACAAGCTACAGAGTTAGAGAATCATATGTCTGATCAATCATATAGTTTATAAAAAATTTATATCTCAAATACATAAAGAACTCCCAAAACTTAAGAAAACAAGCCAATTTTTAAAATGGCCAAAATATTTGAACAGACACGTCACCAAAGGAGACATACAGACAGGACATATGTACATGAAAAGAGACTCAATCATTAATCTTTAGAGAAATGTAAATTAAAATCACATATCACTCCTATGCCAATTAGAATGGTTACAATAGAACTTTTGGCCGGGTTCGGTGGCTCATGCCTGTAATCCCAGCACTTTGGGAGGCCAAGGTGGGAGAATTGCTTGAGCTTAGGAGTTCAAGACCAGCCTGAGCAACATAGTGAAACCCCGTCTCTACCCAAAATATTTAATACAAAAAATTGGCCGGGCATGGTGGCATGCACCTGTGGCCCCAGCTATTGGGAGGCTGAAGTGTGAGGATCACTTGACCCCAAGAAGGTCAAGGCTGCAGTGAGCCAAGATTGTGCCACTGCACTCCAGCCTCCTGGGTGAGACCCCAGGAGTGAGATCCCATCTCAAAAAAAAAGAAAAAGAAAATAGAACTCTTATATACTGCTGGTGGCAATGTAAAATGGTACAATCACTTTAGAAAATGGTCTCTCAGTTTCTTAAAAAGTTACACATGTACTTACAATATGAACCAGCCATTCTACTCCTAGGAGTTTACCCATGAACAAATGAAAGCATATGTCTTGCAGGAAAACAGTCTGTTGCATGGCAGGAGTGTGACACCATCTTGAAGGGAAACCACCACGATGACCAATGTGCGACTCCTGCCTACCAAGATGTTCTTATAGCTTAGATAATCCTTCATAAAGACATTTATCTAACCTATCCAGTGGTCAAGAGTTTTGCAAGAAAGTCTGAGACATGACTAGCTGCACATGTTTTATCAAAAAAGCTTACTATAGGAAGAATATGTTTTTTAGGGTGAATGCAGTGAGCCAACATCTTGTGGCTTCCCAAGACATTGCTCCAGTTCATAAGTCCCTGTTAAATGTTTCTTCCTGAGAAACTGGATTTGTCAGGCTTGTTCTTTGACCTCTCATTGTGTAACATGTTTGTACAAAAAGCAAGTTTATTTTTAGTATCCAAGAACTGTAAATGACCCAAATGCTCAACAACAGGTGAATTTAACTGTGGTATATCCATACAATGGAATACTACTCAGCAATAGAAATAATGAAATATTGATATATGCTACCATGTGGATAGATCTGAAAATAATTATGCTGAGTGAAGTAAACTCAACAAAAACTAGTGAATACTGTATTATTCCATTTTTATAAAATTGTAGGAAATCCGGACTAATATATACCAACAGAAGCAGATCAGGGGTTGTCCGGGAAGGTAGGTGGAAAGAATTAGAAAGGACCACAAGGAAACTTTTAAGGGTGATGCATAAGTTCATTATCTTGATGGTGTCAATGGTTTCACTGGTGTAGACTTACGTCAAAACTTATCAAATTGTACACTTTAAATATTGCAGTTCCTTATATGCCAATTATACCTCAAAAGGCTGTTTTTTAAGGGTAAAAAACATTTTTTGTTGAGACAGTGTCTCGCTCTGTCACCTAGGCTGGAATGCAGTGGCACGATCTCGGCTCACTGCAACCTCTGCCTCCCGGGTTCAAGTGATTCTCCTGCCTCAGCCTCCCGAGTAGCTGGGACTACAGGTGTGCGCCACCACACCCAGCTAATTTTTGTATTTTTGTTAGAGATGGGGTTTCACCATGTTGGCCAGGATGGTCTCGATCTCTTGACCTCGTGACCCACCCGCCTCTGCCTCCCAAAGTGCTGGGATTACAGGCGTGAGCCACTGCGCCCTGCCAGAGTAATAAAAATTTTTAACTGCATGCAATTTTTAACTAGATGCATCACTGGCTCAATTTCTGCAAACCAGGTGGGTGGCTGAGTGGGTGGATGGATATGGTTGCCTTCCCTTCACTTGTGGCCTAAGAAACAGGATGTTTCCCCACTGGGTTTTTTTCAACAAGCCTTTCCTTCACCTTGGGGCTCATTTTTCGTACAGTTCATAGCACATTTGTTGTCTGCCTCAACTCCTGCCACTTCTAAGGACCAATAGCTTGATCACTAATTCCATCGCCATTGGATTGATCTCCCTCTGGGACTGGATGACATTTATTAGTTCAGAGCTTTTCATTTTCTTACCTCATCCTGGAATCTGCCTTAGCACACAAAAGGCACTCAATAAAGATTTTCTGGTTAATTGATTTACTGATTAATTCATTGGAAAAGCTATCAATTCTATAAGGCATGTATAGTTTTCAAACTCCAATGGGATTTAGGTAAATTGGGTTTTTACTAACCTGCTTGCCTTCCAAAAAAAAAAAAAAAGATGGGATTTTTGACTTCCTTATTTTTTTATAATTGCCACGTAATGCATTTATAATCAGAAAACCAGCTCTAAAAATAACTAAACAAGGAAATATGCCACTTAAAATTTAAAAACAATTGCCCCGACAGATTCAGTGGTGACTCTGGCTAAGTTAAACTGGGTCTTTCCAGTGCCCATGTTTTTCCAGAGGTTGGCATCCTACCCTCCTCTCCTCCCTAAGTCTTAAGTGGTTCTGGAAGATTCAACTAGAAACCACAGAGTGCACTAAAACAACAGATTCATGGAACAGGGCAATCAGGAAAAAGGGCCAAAGCCAGCCAAAGTTGTCTGCTTAGGCAAAAGCCCTGACCCAGCACATTTCTCAGAAGGCTCCATCTATATTTATAGCTTTGAAAAACTTTTGGGAACATGGAACTTTCAGGCTGGTGGAATCCTGGCTCTGAGCGGTACTGGGAACACCATGTTCCCTTCTGGCTTGGATCACAAAAGAGCCACGTGTTGGGTACATGAGTCCTTTACTGACCTCAGGGGAGACATCCGGCTCTCTGTGCCTTCATTTCTTCCTTTGTTTAATGGAATTTATTTTGTCCCACTTGACTCATAGAGCATACAAAAATAAAGGCACCATTTACTTAGTACTTATTACACCAGAGGCACTGGGTTAAAAGTCATTTCATTTTCACAGACAGCACTATTTTTTAATCCCCATTCTACAGATGGTATAACTGAGGTTCATGAAGATTAAGGAATTTACCCAAGGTTCACACAGCCAAGTAAGTGGTGGATCAAGGATTTGAACTCTCAAGCCCTAGGTTTCAACCCTTAAACTGCTATAGGGTTCAGATTTGTGATTAAATGTAATAAAGAATAAACAGAAGAGTGAAGAGAACGACCATTTATTGAGCCTCTATTATGAAGCCAGCATATTACATGAGTCACAAATAAGAATTGCTCTCAAGTTGAAAAGTGAAAGTAAAAGCATGTTTCTCTGTCTGCACCAAACATAATCCAGTTCAAACACAACCTCATACCCCAAGAGAACAAGGTTATCAAGAAGTTGAGTTACCAGTCATTTATTAGGCCGCTCCCAAGCCAGGTGTGGTGGCTTATACCTGTAATCCCAGCACTTTGAGAGGCCAAAGTGGGAGGACTATTTAAGGCCAGAAGTTTGAAACCAGCCTGGATAACAAAGTGAGACTCTTGTCTCCAAAAAAAAAAAAAAAATTTAGCCAGGTGTGGTGGTGTGATCCTGTAGTCCCAGCTACTCAGGGTGCTGAGGCAGGATTGCTTGAGGCCAGGAGTTAGAGACTGCAGTGAGCTATGTGATTGAGCCACTGCACTCTAGTCTGGACAATAGAGCAAGACCCCATCTCAAATAAATAAACAAATAAGTAGATTCTCCCCATTATCTCGAAGCCCACATTCCTCTTTCTGTGATCCTGGAAAGCCCCAAATCACATTCAGTGCCTAGCCTCCCACTGAGTATTCAAAGGTGCCATAAGTTCTGTTACCCACTTGGGAGAAGGTAGTGGCCAGCAAACCCAGGGGTCACCCACCGTTCAGAGCCTGGCCTCAGGATATCCTCATATGATTCACAAGCCCCTGCCCATAGCATCTGGCTTTTCAGAGAAAACCACCCAGACACTGCTTTTGAGCAAACCTCACTAAGGAGCTAAAATCCTTTCTTCCTTCCTAGACTCCTGAGATCCAACAGCCTAAGAAAAATTCTGTTAACCCTTCCCACAGAGGAGACAGTACAAACTCAAACCTTAAGGACACAAAGACCCATTCATCCCCCTGGGCAAGAGAAGAGAAAGAACATCTCATCCTTCTCTGATGAACATCCAGCTGAGAAAATAAGATACAATTCGTTCCTCAGCAGGCCATTCTGCCATGTTAAATTCCTAATGAGTGGTCCTGCTGCACCTACATTATCCCATTCAATCCTCACCTACATTATCCCATTTAATCCTCACAACAGCTCTGAGCCATTTGCTTGCAGGCGTGAGCAAGGATGCACTGCTTGATCACACTCTACCCAAGAGGAAGAGCCTCAGTATGAGAAGGTCACAAGCCCTTCTGATCACACTCTATCCCAGAGGACACAGCCTCAGTATGAGAGGTCACAAGCCCTTCAGCTCAGTGAGGCACAGTTTTGGGAGGAAGAGTTCTGCAAGAGAGAGGAAAGAAAGGGAGCCTTCCGCAGCCAACCAGCCAGATCAGCCAAAACCACCCAGGTTATCAGGGATGGTAAGAGGTATCATTGCCAAGTAGCAGCTAAGGTCACTGTTAATATTTATTAAGCATCTCCTATATCCAGGTAAAATGCTACCTTCTTAATTGTATTACCCCATTTCATCTCCCAGCCACCAGGAAACAGAAGTATTATTGCTCCAATTTTATAGATGAGGAAACTAAGGTTTATAGAAATCAGGGAGCTTTCCTAAGGTCTTGGGGGCAGCAAGTGCTAGAGGTAGAATTGGACCTCAGGCAACCATATCACCTTTACCACCCAAACCCATGAGGCAGCCGTTATTACCCCCTTTTTACAACTGAGGAGGCCAAAGCAGGAGGATTGCTTGAGACCGGGAGTTCGAGACCAACCTGGACAACAATGTGAAAACCCCATCTCTTAAAAAAAAAAAAAAATTAATTAGCCAGGTGTGGTGGCGTGCACCTGTGGTCCTAATTTGAAGAGGTAAAATAATCTGCTCAGATCAGTGATAAAGCCAGAATCCCATTCCTCACTAAAGTCAGTCCACTATCACACCAGCTCACACTAAAGGAAAGTACTTCGAAAAGCTCAGGAGAACCCAAACCAATTTTCCCCCCAGATTTCAGTGTGTCCTTGCCTTTAAGAGAAAGTATATAAGACTTTTCTCAGGCTGTTGGACCACAGGGGTTAGGAAGAAAGAAAAAGATTGCAGTTCCTTGGAGGACTTCATTCACACAGTGACCACTTGATCTATGCTAGAAAAAAATTGTAAAAATCTCTGAAAATAATAACAGCAAATTTTTATATGGCGCTTACTTTGTGCCAGGCTCTGTTCTAAGCAATTTATAAACATGTTAACTATTCAATCCTCCAAACAACTTTATTAGGTCAGTACCACTGATGTGCTCTTAAAAGTTTAACAACCAGCTCTCAATGGGAAAGCTTTGATTTGTAGCACTTGCCAATGTCCCTGGTGTAACTACTCCCACTGTGGCCAATTCCAAGCTGTCAGTGTAATGTCACGATCTTGGCGTTGGGAAGAAATGCCTATCATATATCACCGGGAAGATGCACATCATGTATCATCGGAAAGGGACGTACATTACGTATCATTGCCACCATGCAGACACAGTAGACATAAGTAGCCCCAAGAGCATAGATAGTAGTAAAATGGAGTAAAATAATTAGGAATTAATGAGTTTGGAGCATTTATTACCTTTGGTTTTAATTGCAAGCTTATAAAATTTAATTTTTAATAAAGGCTGTATTTAACAACCAGCTTGCAAAATTTCTGATAATTAAACAGTTGGCTTTCACGTGTCTGCTCTGGCTTCAGCATATAACTGGTTAGTGCTATTATTGCCTTTTTATAGAGGAGGAAACTGAGGCACAGAAAGGCTACATAATTTGCCAAAGGGTACATGGCTAGAAAATGGCAAAGCCAGAATTCAGACCTGGGCAATCTGGCTCCAGAATCTGTGCTCTTAACCACCCTATCTATGGCTTCTCTTGCAAGACTGCTGTGTCTTTGTCCAGACTGTAGCCCATAGGTTTCCTTTGTGCTCCTCTCAGTATGTGCATTAACTGCATTTGACAGTGAGTCACAGCAAGGCTGTTAGTGCAGTTTCTTTCCAGGACCTTGGGAAAGAGTTTAAGGCATCCACTTGCACCCTCAGCAAAACGTCTGGAGCCTTGTGACTGGGCTGCGGAGGATGACACCTAGCTGTGTTCCTGATCTGGCCGCCTAGGCCTTGCCCTCGAGGCCTGGCTGAGCCTGCGTTCAACCACACATCCATTATGGAAAGGAGGGTCCCTTAATGTAGCGCAAATTATAGCTGGAACACAAGCAAATTGCCGGCTTTTACTAGCACATAAACTGAGCGGAACCTTTGAGATAGATCCGCATTACCCTAAACGGCATCCATAATTCATACCTGCAGCAGAAATGCTTCCCTCTCCCCAGGCTGGAGCCAATCTATTATTGATGGGCCCCTTAGAAGGCCACAACAGAGTGTTTCTCATTCTCCAGCCATCTGCCGGCGTGGTCAATTCCTCAGGCGGCGGCAGCACATTTATTCATCAGAATCAACTCCCAATTAGTTTCCTAGCAGGACCCAGGGGGGTTTTATCTGAGGAATCAAAGTGAGTGTTTCTAGAACAGTACCCCCAGTCCCACCCCTGGGACGCTAATCAATACATACAGAACCAGCCAGCAGCAGGCGAGCATTCGTTTTCACTCAGAAATGCTGCTGCCTTTGTAAATCATGGAGAGTAAAACTAAAAAGCAATGCCCCTTCCTCTCCACCAAGAGTCGGATGGCCAGGAGTTTCTTGCTGTCTATGAAGAAGTAAGTCACTGGATCGTCAGAGCACAGGATTTTTTTTTTTTTTTTTTGAAACAGAGTCTTCCTCTGTCGCCCAGGCTGGAGTGCAGTGGCACGGTCTCAGCTTGCTGCAGCCTCCGACTCCTGGGTTCAAGCAATTCTCCTGCCTCAGCCTCCCGAGTAGCTGGGATTACAGGCATGCACCACCACCCCCTGCAATTTTGTATTTTTAGTAGAAATGGGGTTTCACCATGTTGGCCAGGTTGGTCTCGAACTCCTGACCTCAAGAGATCCACCCGCCTCAGCCTCCCAAAGTGCTGGGACTACAGGCGTGAGCCACCTGGCCAGAGCACAGGATTTAAATGACTGCCAAGAGCAGAAGTTTCCCACCCCACCTGGGTGGTAGAAAGGAAAGTAGCAATTCTATTCACAGCTTTTTATGAAAGATCTAATAACAACCCTGTGAGACAGGTATTTATTATTCTCTCCATTTTGCAGATGGAGAAACTGAGGTTAAGTAACTCACCCAAGGTCACACAGCTAGTAGATCGCAGTGACAAGACTTGAGCGCAGAAAACCTGATTCCAAAGTCCACGGGCTTAACCACTACTCCATGCTGCCATCTGCAGGAAGAGGAAAGGGAACCGACAAGCTATTTCCAGGGCGTCACAAACACCTAATGAAATGTGGACATTTCGCTACAAAAGACAGCTGGCTCACAAAGACCCAACCAACTAGTTAAATAAAGGGAAAGCACTGTTTTTTGTGTTATTTCTATTTTATGTTGTGATGTATTGCTTTATTGAATGATTAATGTTTAAATGACCACATGCATTAATGGCTATTAATAAATATAGCTGGTTTTAAAAAGCTGCATCTTTTTTGAGTGAGTATTTGGTGGGGAGGGAGGCAGAGGATGGATCATGAAAGGGGTACAGGAGTACTCAGCATTTGAAAGGCCATCAGGGTTTAGAGCTGAAAGGAAACATTCATCACTCACATCTGAGAAACACCTTCCCAGGTGTCAGGCTTTGTGTCTGACCCTGGGGATACAAGAATTGATAAGATGAGAGACATGTGAAAAATTAACTATGAGTTAAGGCAGAATAGCACAGGGGATATACACCAAGGCTTCCCTCAACCATGCCTTCTCTTTCCCCATCCCAGAGGAGACTGAGCCATAGTAAAGCAAATCACACCACACTGTGAACTGGTGCAGCTCTACATACAAACTCTTCAACCTCTGCAGAGCTCTCATGCTGCTATGCCATCCTTTCAAGTGCCCCTGGTCAGCTCCCCCTTCCATATCTTCAAGGTGAGTTCTTAAGACCCCACATCTTCTTTCTCCTATAAAGCTGTGGCCAACAGTAGGAAGAGCTTAAAGCTTCCACCGCTCCACCAGCAAACTTCTCTGCCTCTACGTCTTCCATTCTTTGTGTCTTATCTTCATCCTTCCTCACTGTGGGGAAAACCTCAGAGATGATCCAGTTGGTCTGAGCTCCATGAAGGGCCCAAGGCCATGGAGCTACCAATGAATAGAAACCAAGATGGCATGGAGAGCTGAGAGTGGAATAGGAAAGGAGAGGATGTGGAGCTAAGGAGGAGGTTTGAATAACAAAGGAACATCAACTAGGAGGTCCAAATGGTTGCCCCAGTGATGAGGCAGCCCAGTTTATGGAATCAGGAATGGAAAAGACAGGTGAGCAGTACAGTGGGTCAGGTAGGCAAGTGGATGGCCTGAGATGGGGCTGAAGTATAATAGAGTGGTTATAAGAAGGGTGCTCAGTATCCACAAGGTACCAGTTCAAACCCAGGCTCTGCCATTTATTTGTTGAGGGACTTTGGGAACGTCTTTCAACCCCACCACCCCCAGCCTCAGTGGATGCATGTAAACTGGAGATGATAGCACCTGACTCATAGACCTCAGAGGGTGGAGGGGAAATTAGGTAAGGAATGAATTAAACAGCTGCCACATAGTGCAGAAATCAATGGTGGTTGCTGCCCTTTGAGGACAAATACCTAAGGCAAAGATGTTACCTCAAGTTGGCATTTAGACAAAACCTCAATCAAAATGTTTGTGCTGAGAGCCAGCCAGAGAGTGGACATATACATTCTGCAGGGATGGAGTCGGACTTTATCAGGTTTATAATGAGAACGACCTTGACCCAGTCTTGTTTCTAATACAGGAGGCAGATTCCTCCAGTAGGGTGATTTTACATTCCAATTCTCCTGGACAGTCCCATGCCTGAACTAAATCTATTCATACCTATTCAGTATTTTTAGTGCTTTCTTTTGCTCCCCCAAAGTGTCCCACTTACGATGATAAATTACATGGCTACCCTCCCAAAACATTTATCTAACCTAGAGTGATGGTTACCAGAGGCTGGGAAGGGAAGGATGATGGGGAATAGGGGGAGGGGAGGATGGTTAATGTCTACAAAAAATAGAAAGAATGAGTAACATCTAGTGTTTGATAGCACAATAGATTGACTACAGCCAATAATAATCTAACTATACATTTTAAAATACTAAAAGAGTATAACTGGATTGTTTGTAACACAAAGGATAGATACTTGAGGTGATACATACCCCATTTACACTGATGTGATTATTACACATTGTATGTCTGTGTCAAAATATCTTATGTACCCCATAAATATATACATCTCCTATGTACCCACAAAAGTGAAAGTTGTAAAATAAAACAATCTAAAAAATTATCTAGCCTAGATCCTTAGCAGCATTCCACTGGCAGAGACCATTAGCTGCCACTAATTTCTTCTCCTCTGCCTACCTTAGAAATAAACACTCATTTTTAGTTGATGAGCAGATTCCCTTGCTACTGGGTATTATGTGACTAAGTTCTGGCTAACAACATGTAACTAGGGTTATGTGTGACTTCGGAGAAAGACAGCACCTTCTTTGATCCTTCCTCCCTACTGCTGGCTGGAATGCAGATGTGATGGCTTCATGTGAGCTGCCATCTTGGATCATGAGGTAGCAGTCGTCTGCTGAGAATCACAGAGCATCAAGGTAAAAGGGGCATAACACCAGCTCTAAACTGCATACCTCTGGACTTCTTTTTTAGAGGAGACAAAATTCCACCTTGCATAAACTACTTTTATTTGGGGTTTCTGTCACAGACAAACATGATCCTAATGGATATACTCAGGGGCTAAACAAGGACTCGCAAATTCTCTGTCTCAAGTTACTGGAGATGGATGCTGGGCTGACGTGGGAAAGGTTATAGTGGCTGTGCGGTGGTTAGGAGCTTATGCTCAAGTCAAGCAGACCTGAGTTCCTAATTCTACCTTTTAATAGCTACATGAACTCGGGCAAGTTTCTTAACCTCTGTGAGCCTCCCTTTTCTTATCAGTAACATGTGGGTAATGTTCTAGCAATTATGTTCTAGTTTAGTGTGAAGATTTAATGATATAATATATACGATGTTCTCAGCATAATGCCTGGTACACTGTAAGCCCCCTGTAAATGGCAGTTCTTACCATTGCTGTTATCACTACTGTTCTTGATTATTGTTATTACTGTTGCCTAGGTTCCCCTGGAAACAGCCCCTCTTTATTTTGATATATGACTGCATCAGGGCCAGGAAGCTGGGCTTGGAATCACCTACGAATTTCTCTTGTATGGGAGCAGCAGACATGTCCATGGCCAACTTCTGTCCTCAAGGCATCCCCTGACCTGCAGGAGCTGTCAGCAAGAGGCAGATATGCAATTTCACAACCAGGACCTCATGCACTGCTCCCAGATATGTGACAGGAGGGACGCCCAGGAACCAAGTGTTCCGAGTATGAACCCTGAGCAGCCTGGAAAAGACCACGTCTAGGGGAAGGACATTCATCCCAGATTCCGCGGGTCAGGTAGGACATTCATCCCAGATTCCATGAGTCAGGTGAGGCATTTATCCCAGATTCCACAGGTAGGTCAGATGTTTATCCCAGATTCCATGGGTCAGGTGGGACATTTATCCCAGATTCCGTGCGTAGGTTAGATATTTATCTCAGATTCTGTGGGTCAAGTGGGACATTCAACCCAGATTCCGAGAGTCAAATGGGACATTTATCCCAGATTCTGCAGGTCAGGTAGCACATTCATCCCAGATTCCATGGATCAGGTGGGACATTTATCCCAGATTCTGTGCATCAGGTGGGACATTCATCCCAGATTCTGCAGGTCAGGTGGGACTGAGACCCACAGAATGTATCTTGCCTGTAGCTATGGATACCCTAAGTCAATGGTTTCCAAATGCTGGTGGGAATCAGAATCACCCAGGGAAGCCAGGAGGAATGCCAAGGCCTGGGCCCTTTCCTCCTTCAAGGAGCCTGAGCCACTGCACTTATTATTAGCACTCTTGGTGACTGCCCACAAAGTTTGAGAACCACTGTCTCCAACTCAGGGAACATCCTGAAACAGGGTAGGGGGAGAGAGAAGCTGAGATTTGTAAACCAAAGAAAACATCTCACTGGGCCACCAGAACTGTATTGCCCCCTGATCCGTGTCCCCATTCTCTCTCACCAGGGTCACAGCAGCAGCCTCAAAAGTGGTCTTCCTGCCTTTGATCTCACTTCTATCTCTGGGTCATTGCAGCCAAGGTGATCTTTCTAAGTCATGGATTTGTTCGTGGAACCCCTCCCCCACCCCATGATTAAAACCCTCAAGGGCTGCCCATTGCCTCCCAGATAAAGCCCTAACTCTTTATCATGATTTGTAGGACCCTTTTCGATAGGATCCCTGCCTGATTTTTCTAATTCAGTGGTTCTCAGTCGGGGGTGATTTTGCTCCCCCACCTCCAATTGGGGATATTTGGCAATAATGCCCGGAGACATTTTTGGTGGTCACAAGCAGGGAATGAGTACTACTGGTATCTAGCAGGAAGAGGCCAGGGATGCTAAGCATCCTAGAGTGTGCACGACAGACCTCTGTAATAAAGAGTTACCCCAGCACCAAATGTGAATTGTCCCAAGGCTAAGAAACTCTCCCCTAGCCTCACTTCTTGCCACTTCCCTCCTCTCAATCCACAGTCCAGCCTCTTAGGCCTTATTCCATTCATCCAATGTGCCACTCCTTCCCTACCCATTGAGCCTTTTCACTGGACTGCTCTTCTCCCAAAATACCATTCCTACCACCTCTTGGCTTGGCTAAACTGCACTTGCCCTTTTAGTCTCAGATGTCTCTTCTTCCAGGTAGCATCTTGCTCCAAGACTGAGTCTGGTGCCTGCGATTTACCCATAGAAAAGCCCCTACCACATGATGCTGTAATCTCCTGTTTGCTTGTTGGCCTCTCTCACAAAACTCTAAGCTCCTTGGGGACAGGAATTGGATCGTGTTCAGCTTTGTACTCACCTGTGCCTAGTACAATATCTAGAACAGAGTAGGTGCTCAATGAATACTTGTTGAATGGATAAGTGAATGGATGAGGTGTTAGAATACACTGCCAGGAAATAAGAGCTAGACTGACAGCTCATGTAGGCAAGCCAGACTGTAATCTAGAAAAACACTGAGCCCAATTCCTGGTCTGGCCTGGCAACTGTGATCTAGAAAAAGACTGAGCCCAACAGAATCCCAGCGTATGTTGTATCAGGGAACGAGCTCCATTAAAGAGCTAGGGATGGGTGGACACTTATCCCCTTTCCTGCTGCTCAGTGGAAGACAGGTGGCTCCTGTACAAAGTTAGGTTCCCCATTTTTTTTCTAGATCCCACCCTTTCATTTATTTCCTGCCCTGTTTGTTTTATTGTTTGTTTGTTTGTTTGAGACAAAGTCTTGCTTTGTCACTCAGGCTGGAGTGCAGTGGCACAATCTCAGCTCATCGTCACAACCTCTGCCTTCCGGATTCAAGCGATTCTCCTGCCTCAGCCTCCCAAGTAGCTGGGATTACAGGTGCGTGCCACTGCACCGGGCTAATTTTCTCTATTTTTAGTAGAGACGGGGTTTCACCATGTTGGTCAGGCTGGTCTTGAACTCCTGACCTCAGGCGATCTGTCCACTTTGGCCTCCCAAAGTGCTAGGATTACAGGTGTGAGCCACCGCACCTGGCCCCTCTTTGTTTTTAATAGTAATGGATGCCTCTTCACCACCACCATCCCCTCAGAGCTAGATACTCCCCACTAGCTACTGCCTCCTCCCTTCTCTTCTCAGCCAAGAGACTCAAGAGTAGTGTAGTCTATGCTCAGGGACTCCACTTCCATCCAGAACCTCCAGGAGTGCCATTCACATCATGCTCTGTGAGGGTGACATATCTGGAAACATAGCTCTGTGGAACACAGCAAGAGAGAAGCCCCAGGATTTGAGTTCTACCCACCCCTCCATCCACTGCTCTCTGGCTCTCATCACCGCACTGAGCCAGTTCTGAGTAGGGTCATAGAAAACACCATATTTGCCCAGCGAAATAGACATTTTGAGTAGTGATCTTACACAACCTCTGAGGACAGTGGCTCGGTCAATCCTTCTGTCCTTCTCCACCCTTGGCTCCCCTGACTCCACTCCCTTCTGCTTTTCCCTCTCTCTCTCTGACTGTGCCTCTATTTGTGCCTTAGTTCTTGACATTCATCTGAATTCCCTTCTTGGCTCTTCTTATCTTCTTTTTCCTCCCACTCTTTCTAAGTGATGAGGAGGTAGTGAAAGCTCAACACATGAACGGATTCCTAATCCAAATTGTTAGCACTCCTATCCATTTGAATTCTTAACTCTTTCTTGAATCCACCCTCCTCTTACTATCCCTACTGCAATTGCCCACACACATCCCACCCAGCTGCCAGTGTGGCTTTTCAGTGGAATGGGACTCTCTGTACCTTTCATCACTTGAATACTTCCTCAGCCTCACACCCAGACAGGACATCTTTCAACTGTATTAAATCAGAAATCATATCATATTTCATCAAATCTAAAACACTGTGCTGCAGCACTCTGTTGACCTTTCAAGAAGGTACCAAAGGGATATTTCCATGCAGCGTGGCTGCCAGCACTTATAAATGGATGAAAGTTATGCTGAGAGGGAATCAATAGTCATAAGACAGAGATTTGTTTGTCTTCTAAATGGTCTACTCCAAGAATGTGAGAATCCACCATGCAGTTCCCAGGACAAAATCAGGAATGGCTGTCATCTGGCATTGATTACAGAGGACTGGAGAAAGATGGATCTGGGATCATGGACAGGGAAGAAAGAAAGAAAGAGTAAGAGAAGGAGAGGCGAGAAAGAGAGAAAGGAAGGAAGGAAGGGAAAGAGAGAGAGAAGGAAGGAAGGAAGGAAAGAAAGAAAGAAAGAAAGAAAGAAAGAAAGAAAGAAAGAAAGAAAGAAAGAAAGAGAGAGAGAGAAAGAAAGAAAAGAAAGAAAGAAAGAGAAAGAAAGAAAGAAAAAAGAAAGAAAGAGAAAGAAAGAAAGGAGAGAAGGAGAGAGAGATAAGAAAATGTACTTCCTAGATCCCATCCAATGTGATTGTCTATGGACAATTGAGACCCACGAGGAAATATTTGATGCTACCCTTTTGATCCTGACGATACCAGGGATTGGCTTCGAATAACCCTGGTTCTTTCTGACAATGAACTGGGTCCTTTCAGATCCAATAGGTCATAAAGGCAATTTTACAAAAGTGAATTCAATCTCATTGTTAAACTATTAGAATAATTAAATACCCCCATTCCTTGTGACCTACAGGAGAAAGTCCAAAATGTGAAAGAGCATTATGTGGGTGGGGACTTAGAGAATATTGGAAATCTCCCAAACCCTCTAAATATATCCCTACTGCTTTGTTATTGCCAGGCAGCTTATAAACAGCAGTGACTGCAGAGGGAGGAGAGGTGGTGAGAGTGAAAGGCTGCCATGTGCATGGTGTCTGGCTCAGCCTGCCCAAGAGGCCAGCACCCCATCATTCCCCAATAAATCAGGAGGTCATTTTTCACTGAACTGAAGCTAAATACTCCCATCGTTTTCTCCCCTAACCAGTCCCAAGATTGCTCCGTGCTCTTTATTACCTTTCAATGACTTAAGCCCCTGAACTGAATAACTTCATCAAGGTGTCAACCTAAACAGATTTTCCCCATAATGGTCCAACTCTCACAGGTTCTTAATGAAAAATATTGATTTCTAAGGATTAGTTGCAGATTTATGTGTTGGGATGCTGATCTCTCTGTCACCTGACACCTTATCAGTATATGAAAAAACCTAGTTTCTCCTTCGTGGTTTTTAAAAAAAAAGCAATCACCGGCTGTGTCAAGGGGCAGCTTGGGTCCAGAAAAACAAATAAAATTCTCTGTCTGGATCCCATGGAATACTTAACAGCTAGTGGGGGTGTGGATGGGGAAGGCGCTGAGACACCTGTCTGCCTTCCTCACTAGCATCTTCACTGGTTGGGTTGTGGGGAGACCAGGTGCAGAGAAGCTGGAAAAGCAAATGGAACAAGCATCCATCCCTCTTGGTATGACAGATCTCCAAGACACAGTCTGGAGAAAAGCTTGTCGTGTACACCCTGTTTGGGGCTGGAGACACCAACTGGAAGAAATACAGCAGCTGCCATCTCAAAGTGGCATTCAATCAACACCAGGCTAGGTTGGCTCTGCCAACTCACTCTGTTAAACGTGGTTCTCAAGGGATGAAGTTAAGACTTTGGCACCTAAAACCTCAGCAAGTTGCAGAGCAGAGAAGAATCTCTCCCATACCCGGAAATGGCTGGAATGGAGTAAGATTCATTATTTATCTATTTGATAAATATTTATGGAGGGTCTATGTGCCAAGCACTATACTAGGCAATGGGGACGCCATAGTCAGCAAGGCCAGATGTGGGTTCCTGCCTTCATGGAGAAGGTGACCAACACACACACACACACACACACACACACACACTCACACATACATGTAGAACTGCAACTTCAACACGATTCAGGAGAATGGGGACACAGGGCTGCAGCAGCCTGTAATGAGGGCATTTACCCAGTAAAAGACGTCAAGAGAGATTTGTCAGAGGAAGTGATGGTCAAGGTAACACCTGAAGGATGAGAAGGAGCTCACTGGAAAAGCAGGAAGAGTGGGGAGCATGTGGGCACAGGAAATAGTCTGTGGGAAAGCCCTGTTCCGGAGGAGCCCAGCACCACCAGTGTGGCCAGAGTGCAGAGAGAGCTGGTGGTAGGCATGACACAAGAGGGCTCCGGAGAAGTGGGCAGAGGCCAGATTGTGCTTTGGGTCACTATCCCAAGTGCAACAGGAAGCCATTGAAGGATTTTCAGATCCACACCTTGCAAGGATGACTTCGGTTGCTCGGTGGAGAATGGATTGCAACAGCCTCACCGTGAAAGCAGGAGGAAAGGGGCTGAGGAGGTGACTGCAGTGGTCCAGGCAAGAGATGAAGCAGTGATGCTGCTGGAGACGGAGAGAAGAGGACAGAATCCAGAAATATTTTGGAGAAGAAAAATCAAGAGTCATTGGTATGGAATCGAATGTGGGGTGGGGATAGGATGAAGGAAAGGAGGTGACAAGGATGACTCCCAGACTTTTGACTGAGCTGCTCCTTCTCTGCAGTGATGGCCTCCTCGTTTTGGGCCACTAAGGGCTTCTCCAACCACTGGGAAGCACTTCCAGAACAAGGTCCTCATTTCCTTTTCAGCTCTCACAGCAGGGACTGGCAAACTTCCATAAAGAACAACATAAAAAATATTTTAGATTTCAAAAGCTGTACCATCTTTGTCTCAATGACTCAACTCTGCTGCTATAAAGCAAAAGCAGCCACAAGTAATATGTAAACAAATTATTGTGGCTGTGTTCCAATAAAACTTTATTTAAAAAAAAACAAGTGATGGACAGGATTTGGCCCTCCAACTGCAGTTTGCAGACCCCTGCCCTAGAGGACTGGGAGGAATCTGGAAACTAAGCTGAACTCCTACATTCCCCAGGCCTGAAGAACTGGAGTATTCCATTGAAATAAGAGTACTTATTCCCAGGCCCGGAAGCCTGAGACCTTCCCCCAGAAATACAGCAGGGGGCCGAGGACTGTAGTGTACCCAAGACCCCACAAAAGACCTAGGGTCAATGGGAGAATCCCAGAGGTGTTACTAGGCTGATGAAATAGACCTCCAACTTCCCCTGGGCTTCCTCAGGTCCCCAACACCATCCAGAAAGGAAATTCAGGACAAATCTTTCATATACTCATACATACTCATCTGAACTTATAGCAGAATAAAAAATAAATAATAATAAAAAAAAACCAGAAGGGTATATAAGAAACAAGTAAGTGCTTACATATAAGCCTGAGGGTGAGAATGGGATGTGAATGAGACTGTCACGTGTATATATTTTTGCATCATGTTGAGTTCTGAACTACATGAATATATTACTCAAGTATTCTCTACTCAAAAAAATAGTAAATTTCTTCATAAAACGCACAGAAATGTATCTAGTTCTTGCCATTAGATTTTTTTTAACTATTGAAAAAGCTCTATATTTATCCTTGAAATTACACAGGGGGCCGATTTGAAGCACAGCTGCATTGCACATGAAACGGCAGTGTGTCCTGGTGACAAATTAATAGAAGTCCCTTTTTCTGGTTTGCTTCTCAGGTCTGCTCTCTCGTTACTAGTAGTCTACTTGCAGCTTCTCCTCTTGTTTTAAACAACTCCCCTTCCTCAGGCAACAGCACCCACCCTCACGCTGGGGAACCTCCCTCCCTCATTCAAAACTGTCGGGTGGGACTGTCAATCAAGAGGCTCTCTGCCTGCCCAGGCATGGTCATGTGACCCAGGCTAAACCAATCAGATTAGCTCTCCCTAGAATAGGCCTGGAGGTGCCCCCCAGGCCCCATTCCGGAGAAACATGGTAAGGTACCTTAATGGGTTTTCAGTTAGTTCCTGTTGCCTAGATCTTTGAGGCAGCCTTTTCAAAAGAGCTTTCTTTCTATTTTAGCTTTTGTTTTTTTGGCTTAAGTTGGCCAGAATCCATTTTTGTGGCTTGATACTGATGCAGTCAGTGATCCTGCATAAAACTCTCCAGTGCATCCTTGTGGCCTACAACACAAAGGGCAGACAGGACAGACAAGTCCCAATGTGCACAACTGTGGCTCAGCTTCCCCACTTTCCAAGCCCCTGCCTCCCCACTGCCCTATCCCCCCAGCCACCTGCCGCTTCAGTCACATGGAATTCCTGCTCTTTCTCCCAAAGCATGGCATAGATTTCTCTGCTGTATTCCCGCTTCCTCACCTGAAAAATTCCCTACCGATCACTCGAGGCAGTGGATTGCAGTGGATCAGAGTGCGAGTTCTGCTTGGGCAGAATGGCCGTTGGTGATTGCTTTTTCTTAAGTCCTGCTCTCCAAATGTAAGATTGGTCAGTCTCTCCTTCCCTGGAGACGCACGCTAGAATCTACCAGGACTCTGGGGCCAGTTCCTGAGCCCATTACAAGGATCCAGGATGACAGTGATTTTTTTTTTGAGACGGAGTCTTGCTCTGTTGCCTAGGCTGGAGGGCAGTAGCACGACCTCGTCTCACTGCAACCTCCAACTCCCAAGTTCAAGAGATTCTCTTGCCTCAGCATCCCATGTAGCTGGGATTACAGGTATCCGCCACCACACCTGGCTAATTTTTGTATTTTTAGTAGAGACGGGATTTCACCATGTCAGCCAGGTTGGTCTCGAACTCCTGGCCTCAGGTGATCTGCCCACCTCAGCTTCCCAAAGTGCTGGGATTACAGGTGTAAGCCACCGCACCTTGCCCACAGCACTGAATTTAAACATGTTTCTGCCAGTTGACCTTGGACAAAGTGCTTGCTTCATATCCTCAGAGGAGCTTGGTTTGCTTATCTTTGGATGTGAATTCTACCAACTTCACAGCGCGGGTTTATTTATTTAACAAACTCTCTGCACCAGACACTGTTCTAGGTGCTTTACACATATTCGTTGATTTAATACTCGTAATACTCGTAACAACACTATAAGGCAGGTACTATTTGTGTCCCCATTTTGCAGATGAGGAAACTCAGCACAGAGAGGTTGTTAGTTGTCTAAGGTTGCAAAGCTAGTATGGGATGAAATGAAAGACTGCATGGGAATTACTTAGCACAGACAGGAGATAATAAATGTTCCATCAAATTGTAGCTATTTGTTATAGACTAAATTATTGCCCCTCATTCATATGCTGAAATCCTAACCCCCAATGTGAGATATGGCCTGCAAAGGGGTAATTAAGGTTAAATGAAGTCATAAGGGTGGGGCCTAATCCAATAGGATTGGTGTCCTAATAAGAAGAGGAAGAGACACCAGGGATGGGTGTGCACAGAGAAAAGGGCATGTAAGGATGTAGCAAGAAGGTGCCGCCTGCAACCCAGGGAGAGAGGCCTCAAGAGAAAGCAAACTTGCCAACATCTTGATCTTGGACTTCCAGCCTCCAGAACTGTGAGATGTAAATTTCTGTTCTTTCCGCTACACAGCCTGTGGAATTTCATTACGGCAACCCTAGCAAACTTACACACTATTGAAGAAAATATCACTTTGTGGTGGAAATCACAGTTGTTTTTTAAACGTACATCTGACAATGTTACCCCAGGAAGTAAACCCCTTCAGCAACTCCTGTACCATTTCCTGGGAGGAAATTGGGACCAGATCCTCTAAGATGGGCTTATACTATGGCCAAGCCTGGAAGAAGACAGGAACTAAGGCATCCCCAGAGGGTAGAAAAGAGGAATCATAACCAACACAGGATAGCCTGATGTTTAAAAGCATAGGCTCACACTGGGTATAGTGGCTCACCCATAATCCCAGCTATTTAAGAAGCTGAGGCAGGAGGATCGCTTGAGCCCAGGAGTTCAAGATCAACCTGGGCAACATACTGAGACCCCTGTCTCTAAAAAAATAAGGCATGGGCTCTGGAGCCAGACTTCCTGGGTTCAAATCCTGGCCCTGCTACTTACTAATTTTGAGGTTGGCAAGTTACTTAGGTTCTGCATGCCTTGGTTTTCCCCTCTGAGAAATGGGGACAATGATAGTATGTGTCTGATGGTTTTATTATAAGTGTTAAATGAATTAATATAATTAAAGTGTTTTGCATGAGTGCTGGGCACTTAGAGCCATATGGGTGCTAGCTGTTACCATTGATAGTTTTGTGGCTACGAAACCACTATCATAACCAAAGTCTTTCTCTCTGCTCGAGATTCAAATCCTAGGTTGAAAGCCTCAGAGAATCCCAGATCAATTCTCCTATTACTGTCCTATGAATCTGCATCAAATAGAAAAGAGCTTATTCCTCAAAAGGAAACTAAAAGAGCCTAGAAATAAATCCACACACAAATGATCAAATGACTTTCAACAAGTGGACAATGTAATTCAAGAAGAAAAGGACAATCTTCAACACATGGTGTTAGAACAGTTGGATACATATATGCTGCTGAGGCGGGAGGATCGCTTGAGGCCAAGAGTTCAAGACCAGCCTGAGCAACATAGCAAGACCTAAAAAGATCTCTAAAAAACATTTTTTTTAATTAGCTGAGCATGGTGGTGTTGCACATCTGTAGTACCAGCTACTCAGGAGAGGCTGAGGCAGGAGGATTGCTTAAGCCCAGAAGTCTGAGGCTGCAGTGAGCTATGATTGCACCACTGCACGCCAGCCTGGGCAACAGAGCAAGACCCTGTCAAAAAAAAAAAAAAAAAAGAACTTAGGCCCTTACCTCACACACAAAAATTAACTCAAAATACTCAAAATGGATCAGAAACCTAAATATAAGAGCTAAAACTATAAAACATATAGAAGAAAACATAGGAGGAAAACTTGTGTGACCTTGGGCTGGGAGGAAAACTCCTGTGACTTTGAGCTAGGCAAACATTTCTTAGAAATAACCTAAAAAGTACAATTCATGAAAGAAAAAAATTGACAAGTTAGATTTCATCAGAATTTAACATTTTTGCACTTTAAAAGATGCCACCAAGAAAAATGAAAAGATAAGCCATAGACTGGAAGAAAATATCTGCAAAACACATAAAGGACCTGTACTGAACACAGTGAATGCTTACACTCGATAATATGAAGATAGATAACCTAATTTTTTAAATAAATGAAAGAATAGACCGTTCACCAAAGAAGATGATATACCAATGAATAATAAGCATATAAAAAGTTGCTCCATACCATTAGCTGTTGCAGAAATGCAAGTTTAAGCCACAATGAGATGCCATGACACACTTAATAGAATGGTTAGATAGAAAAGGCCAACAATACCTAATGTTAGTAAGGACATGGAGTAACTGTAATCCTCATATATTGATGGTAGGAATGTAAAATTGTGCAGCCACTTTTGAAAACAATTGGGCAGTTTTTTAAGTTATGCACCAAATATCCAGCAATTCCACTCATAAGTATTTAATCAAGATTCAAATGCAGGATATATCAGGGCAAAGACATATATCCAATTGCTCAAAGCAGCATTATTCATAACAGCCAAAAAAAGTGGACAATCCAAATTCAAATTCATCTAAATCCATCAATTAGTGAATGGGTAAACAAAATGTGGTGTATACATAAAGCAATAAAAACGAATAAACTATACATACTTAAAACAACATAGATCAGCCGGGCATGGTGGCTCATGCCTGTAATCCCAGCACTTTGGGAGGCCGAGGCGGACGGATCATGAGCTCAGGAAATCAAGACCATACTGGCCAACATGGTGAAATCTCATGTCTACTAAAAATACAAAAATTAGCTGGGTGTGGTGGCACGCGCCTGTAGTCCCAGCTACTCGGGAGGCTGAGGCAGGAGAATTGCTTGAACCCGGGAGGAAGAGGCTGCAGTGAGCCGAGATCGTGCCACTGCACTCCAGCCTGGCGACAGAGTGAGACTCCGTCTCAAAAAATAAATAAATAAATGAACAACATAGATTAATCTCAAAAACATTATGTTAAGTGAAAGAAGACAGACATATAAGACTATATATTGTATGATTCCATTTACATGAAATTTCTAGAAAAAGGGAAACAGTAGAGATGGTAACCACATTGGTGGTTGCCTGGAGCTGGAGGTTGGAGTTGGGATTGACTATAAATGGAAATGAGAAAACTTTTGGGAGAGATGGAAGTTTTCTAAAACTGGATTGTAGAGATAATTGTGGCATTATATGAATTTGCTAAAACTCATCGAACTGTACATTTTAAACGGGTGAATTTTAATGTATGTAAATTATACCTCAATAAAGCTGTTAAAAAATAAATAATAAACCATGAAAAAATAAGCAAGAGAAAAGAGGAAACCATGATGCTGTTAGATTGGGGATTATATGGTTTGGATATTTGTCCCCTCCAAGTCTCATGTTGAAATGTGATCCCCAGTGTTGGAGTGGGACCTGGTGGGATGTGTTTGGGTCATGGGGGTGGATCCCTGATGAATGGCTTGGTGCCCGCCTTGCAGTAATAAGTGAGTTCTTGCTCTTAGTTCACATGAGATCTGGTTGTTTAAAAGAGTCTGGCACCTCCCCCTCTCTCTCTTGCTCCCTCTCTTGCCATGTGACACATGGGCTCCCCCTTCGCCTTTCGCCATGATTGGAAGCTTCCTGAGCTCCAAGACAGCACCATGCTTCCTGTACAGCCTGCAAAACTGTGAGCCAAAATAAACCCCTTTTCCTTATAAATTACCCAGACCCCAGACTTAGGCATTTCTTTACAGCAATGCAAAGCAGACTAACACAGGGGGAAAGGATGCTGGACTGGGAGAGAAAAACACTCACATATATTACCCATTTTTACACATTAGGAAAATAAGAAACAATGACTTGCCCTATGTCACCCAGCTAGTAAGTGGGGGAGCCCAGATGCAAACTCCCAACTCTTTGGCCCCAAACGCATGCTCTTAACCCCTCCGCCATGTGATCTTTCTTCCCTTTTGCACAGCCTCTCACCAGTCAGCCCCACTGTATATAGGGAGACCATGAGGGACTCTTCTCACATTGCTACGTGAGCAGAATCCTCATCTGTCTGACATCTGCTGAAAACACAAGCAAAAGACACTCTGAGGCCTGATGTCTTCCGACGGTTCATTGAAGTTGCAGTTGTTACTTTCCCTTGAACTGTGCAAACGCTTGGTGTGCTCGGGTTGATTTGGTGCTTTTTGTATATTGCTCATCTGGCAGAGAATTACTACTCTGCTCTACAAGTTCCCACAGATGGCTTTATTTTCCATTGCTATTAAATTGGTTTTGAACAAGACATAATTCTTCAAGTGCCTGGTGTGCTCTCTGGGTTTGCTCAGGCAAGATTCCATAAAAATGTAAATAATCGGAACACTTCTGGGATTATTTATCACAACTGACTTGTGGCTGTAAATTTATGTATTAATTTCAGCTATAAGCTTCAGTGGGGAAAAGATGAACCATTGAAAATAGTCTCTTCCACCCTAACATCCTCGCTATGTCCCCATTTCCCCTCTGCTTCCAGGGAACGTACCAGAGAATGGCTCACACATCTGGGTCTGAACGACATTGAACAGGCTCGAAAAGGAACCAGGTGGTAAGTGGGGAATAATCACTCCTCAGCAACCCGCAGGCTCATCACTTACTGCTCTCCCCTGGGTCTTCGGACCCCAGTCACACCAGCCTTTCACTTGCTCCTGTGGATTCCTGCCCCAGGACCCTTGCACATGCACCCCAGGCTTGTAATGCTCCTTCTTCCCTTTTATGCCTGGTTCACTCTTACTCATCCTTCAGCTCTTGGCTCAGCGTCACTTGTTTGGAGAAGCTTCATCCCCGCCCACCTGCTAGACGAGGTCTCCTCCCAGGTGTTCTTCTCATCCACAGCGCTACTCACAATCACAGTTCCTCATTTTGGGAGGATTTTTAAAACTTAATGTCTGTCTCCCCTACTTGGCTGTAAAAATTTCATGAGGGTTAGGGCTGTGTCTTTGTCGCCTGCATGCCCAGAGCCTGGCACAGAGTTGAAGATGGATGAATGTGTGCAGAACAAACTAATGGATCCACTTGGAATAAGAGCACATAGCAGGGCTCTTGGGGCCTCTGCCCACACGCACTCAGACCACGCTCTGCACACAGCTCCTTGTGTGCTTTCTCTTAGCCAGCACCTGCATGTTGGCAGAGGGCTGCTCTCACTTTGCCTGTGTGTGCTGAGACTGGAGTGCCTGGGAATTTGCACTCTCCTTGGAGGCCAGCCCTTAACCAATTAGTGGTGAAGGCAGGCTTAGAAGCATGCCAGCTGGCCGGGTGGAATGGCTCATGCCTGTAATCTCAACACTTTGGGAGGCCAAGGCAGGAGGATCACTTGAGGCCAGGAGTTCAAATCCAGCCTGGGCAACACAGCAAGACCCTATCTCTACCAAAAAAAAAAATTAAAAATAGCCGGACATGGTGGTGAGTGCCTATAGTCCCAGCTATTTGGGAGGCTGAGGCAAGAGAATTGCTTGAGCTCAGGAGTTTGAGGCTGCAGTGACCTATGATCGCACCATTGCAGTCCAACCTTGGTGACAGAGCAAGCCCCTGTCTCTGAAACATCACGCCAGCTCTCTTGTCTTGATCGGAAAACTGCAAGGAGCAGCCTGAACTCTCCCTGGAGCTGTCCTGGGGACTGAGCCACAGCAGTCCTCCTGTAGGACCTTGCTTGATCCAACACCCTTCTTGGCTTCTTCTCTTCTCCATTCTATTTTCCCACTCCCCTACTAGTGTTTCTGAGAACCCCTCATAATAAATCACTTTTACACAAATCCTCGTCTCAGCGTCTGCTTCCAGGGAGCCCAACCTAAAACAGAGAGTCTTCTGCCTGCAAATATTCTCACTGAGCTGTGATTAAGATCATACATTTTAGAGCATGCAAGCACTCTAACCAGACAGGCCATTTGCTGATTCAGACAAGGATAAAGTCCTGCTAGTAACACTGTAACTGGCAGGGCATATTCATGTCAACAAGCTAAGCCCCTCTAGTCTTGAACCTTCTCCCCGACTAGCCCAGTGCCCCACTGAGACAGCATGAGAAGTCTGTGCCACTGAGATCCCAACCAAACTGGACATTGGAGCTCAGCAGCAAGACTGACTTGGGGGTAAGCCAAAATCATCTTTAAGATGCTCCTGCTCCTTCTCAAGGTAGGTGAATAGCTAGAGCCCAGAAGCTCGAGACCAGCTTGGGCAACACAGTGAGATCCCATCTCTACAAAAAATAAAAAATTATCTGGGCATGGTGATGCACACCTGTTGTCCCAGCTACTTGGGAGGCTGAAGTAGGAGGATTGCTAGAACCTGGGAGGTGGAGGCTGCAGTGAGCCATGATTGTGCCACTGCACTCCAGCATGGGTAACACAGTAAGACCCTGTCAAAAAAAAAAAAAGAAGAAGAAGAAGAAGAAGAAGAAGAGGAAGAAGAAGAGGAAGAAGAAGAGGAAGAAGAGGAAGAGGAGGAAGAGGAGGAAGAGGAAGAAGAAGAAGAAGAAGAAGAAGAAGAAGAAGAAGAAGAAGAAGAAGAAGAGGAAGAAGAAGAAGAAGAAGAGGAAGAAGAAGAAGAAAAGATGTTATGTGCGACCAGGGCAGGGCAGAACCAAGCTTTTGGGTGGAGAGAAGGAGGTTCCTCTGACTAGAGGATCTTAGGGGGCTGAGGTGCAGGCTGTTAAGGTTTTTGTAGCAAGGATGTCTTCAGCTTTAGGACACAGACTACCTAATTTTAAAAAGGCTTACATAATAGAGACATGTTTATTGAAGGAATTGCTATAAAGCAAAATAACAGGGTGTTGTGGAAGAGAAAATCAGAAGTCAATGCAGATGGTGTTGGCAAAAGCCTCTCTAAGGAAGGTGCATTTAAATCAAGACCAGAAGATGGAGAGGGATCAGCTGTTTCACAAGAGCACAGTGGCCCCTAGAGATGTTCACGTCCCGATCACCAGAACCTGTGAACATGTAACCTCACATGGCAGTAAAGACTTTCTGGATGTGATTAAACTAAGAATCATGAGGTGGGTGATCATCCTGGATGATTTAGGTTGTTCCACTGTAATCACAAGGGTCCTTAATAAGGGAAGGAGGGAGACAGGGGGGTGGTCAGAGAAGGAGACGTGATGATGGAGGCAGAGGTCAGAGTGATGCAGCCATGAGCCAAGGCATGCAGGCTGCCTGTACCTCTGGAAAAGGCAAGGAAACAGATTATCCTGAGAGCCTCCAGAAAGAATGCCCCTTGATTTTAGCCCAGGGAGATCCATCTTGGACTTCTGACCTACAGAACTGGAAGATAAGAAATGTGTGTTGTTTTAAGCCACTAAGTCCGTGGTCATGAAGTCACAGCACAAAGAGGAAATTAACACAAGTGTCACCTCAGAGGGATCAGCATGTACACAGTCCTGAGGCAGGAGGGCTTTTATTTGAGAAATGTGAAACAGATCCATGTGGCTGGTACCCAGTGGGCCAGGAGGTAGAAGTGGACAAGATGATGCAGGCCCTCATGTACCACCCTCCACAGGAAGTTGGGATTTTATTCTAAGATTGACGGGAAGCCATTAAAAAGTGTTTGTGGGGCAGGGTGTGGTGGCTCACACCTGTAATCACAGCACTTTGGGAGGCCAAGATGGGTGGATCAGTTGAAGTCAGGAGTTCGAGACCAGCCTGGCCAACATGGTGAAATCTCATCTCTATTAAAAATACAAAAATTAGCTGGGTGTGGTGGCACATGCCTGTAATCCCAGCTACTCGGGAGGCTGAGACAGGAGAATCACCTGAACCCAGGAGGTGGAGGTTGCAGTGAGCTGAGATCGTGCCACTGCACTCCAGCCTGGGCGACAGAGCGAGACTCCAACTCAAAAAAAGAAAAAAGAAAGTGTTTTTGGTTTTTGTTTGTTTTTGTTTTTGTAGATGGGATCTAGCTCTGTTGTCTAGGCTGTAGTGCAGTGGAACAATCATAGTTCACTGCAGACTCTTGCCTCAGCCTCCCAAGTAGCTAGGACTACAGGCAAGCACCACCATGCCCAGCTAATCTTTCAACTTAAAAAAATTTTTTTTTGAAAGACGGGGTCTCACTATGTTGCCCAGGCTTGTTTCAAACTTCTGGCCTCAAGCGATCCTCCTTCCTTGGCTCCCCAAAGTGCTGGGATTACAGGCGTGAGCCACCATGCCCATCCCCATTAAAAAGTTTTAATGTAATCTGATCTTCATGTTTCCAAGACCACTTTGGCTGCTGTGTGATGATGGGGGCGGTGGGGAGGCTGTGGTGAGGACCCGTAAGAGCAGAAGCGTAGAGTTCAGTCTGGAGGCTGTGAAAATAATCCAGGAAGGCAACACAATGGCCTCTATCAAGGCGGTAGGGATACAGGTAAGGAGATGGCTGCAAGATATATCTCAGACTCTGATTTATTGGCTCTGAAAAAATCAAATAAAATAATTTGGACATCTTAGTGCCAGAGGCCCTTTGATTAAATAAAAGCCAGCTTTTCAGAGACCACATGTTGGGTCCTCACAGTGACAAACAGAGCCACCACACAGGCAGTCCCCAGCGCAGGGACTTGGGGATGTTCGGGCAGCACACAGAGAGGTAAAAGGAAAATGTATGTTCCTTCCTAAGTGTCCAGCAACAAATGACTGCCCGGCAAGAAAGAAATTTAGAGTGCAGAAGGATGGTCTTGCCACACTGTGAAACTAGAAGTCAGATATGATTTACGGGGACAATGACTTAATCTCCTAAACCACCATCAAGTCCTGACCTGTCTCAGTTCCATAAAAATCTCTAGTTCAGTCTCCAATTTGAAGTTACAAAAATGAGTTTGGATCCTTCAGGAATTCAGATTTACTGTTAAGTCTATCCAAAGACCTGCCAACAGATGTTAGAGGGTTTTGGAAATGTTAGAGACTCATGCCTACTGACAGAAGTGTTAAGTAGAATCAGTGTTCCCATTTTATTTTTAAGCCAGGAGGGGAGATCGTGTTTGTCCTAGGGTGACTTTCCTGAGTACCTTCTGTTCCTCACAAGAAATAATAATCATAATGAAGAAGTTAACAACCAAGCAACAACAGATACCATTTCTGGAGCACTTACTATGTACAACATTAGGAGACAGACCTATTATCACCCCCACTTTAGACTTGAGGAAACAGAATCTCAGAAATATTTGCCAATGACTTACAAGGAAGCAGTGGAGATGGGTCTAACTATGAAAACAAGTTCTAAAACCAGAGATCTGCAAACGATGGCCTGTGGGCAAAATCCCACCTGCCCTTGTTTTTGTAAATAAAGTTTTATTGGAACATAAAACATGACCATTTGTTTACCTACTGCCTATGGCTGTTTTCCCACTCCAAGGGCAGGGCTGAGTCCTTGCCAAAAGAGACCAGATGGTCCACAGAGCCTAAAATATTTACTGTCTGTCCCTTTACAGAAGAAGTTTGCCAATTCCTGTTCTAGAACATACATTGCACAGCGAGCGTTTCCTCATAACTCCTCCTCCTACTCCTTCAGGACATTTCTATACCATCCACCCCACTCACAAGTTGGAGACCTATTCCAGATGGTTGAGTGGGACTCCCGGGATCCTCCCACTCCCACAGCCAGCTTGCAAAGACCCCTGGCATCCTTCCGTCTTTTTTTTTTTTTTTTTTTTTTTGAGACAGAGTCTCACTGCAAACTCACTGCAACCTCTGCCTCCTGGGTTGAACCAATTCTCCTGCCTCAGCCACCTGAGTAGCTGGGACTACAGGTGCACGCCACCACGCCTGGCTAATTTTTGTATTTTTAGTAGAGACAGGGTTTCACCATGTTGGCCATGCTGGTCTCCAACTCCTGACCTCAAGTGATTCCCCTACCTTGGCCTCCCAAAATGCTGGGATTACAGGTGTGAGCCACTGCGCCTGGCCCCAGCTGGCTTCCTTCCTCCTTGTCCTGCTCTGTTGTTGAGAGGAGGGGTAGGGTGAAGCCTAGGCCATCACAAGCAGGACTCCTGGAAAACTTGTGCCTCCTACACCAGTTCTGCTACCTCAGGGAATGAGCCAGTGGACTTACCTGTGGAGCACTCACCTGGGGAGCACACATCCCACAAGTGATTTCTTAAGAAGTACTCGTGCTATGTACAGGCAACCATAGGGCCCTGAGCTGCATGAGTTCTAGGAAACACTCATCTCAAGTCTGACTTTTATCGCACGAAGTCTTTCCATGAGGGGCCCTTATAGAAACTCTATGCAGCCAGCTGGAGGAGAAATAAGGATGGAATGCCTAGGGTGACCATCCCACAGCCCTGCCCCAAAGCCAGCAGGAATAGATGCAAAGGGAAGATGAGGGTCAGAGGCAGACACTGTAGATTCCTCTAACTTTCCAGCAACTGTATTCACAGCCTATTCTGGCCTTACTAGATCTATGTTGCTCCTTTGCTCCAAGTTCCACTTGCTCTTTGATTTTTTAAATATTTTCTTTGGGTGGGGCATGGTGGCTCATGCCTGTAACCCCAGCACTTGAGGAGGCTAAGGCAGGAGGATCACTTAAGGCCAGGAGTTGGAGACCAACCTGGGCAACATAACAAGACCTCGTCTCTACAGAAAAACAAAAAACAAGAATTAGGCAGGCATAGCTGCACAAGACTGTAGTCCCAGCTACTTTTTTTTTTTTTTTTTAATTTTTATTTTTTTATTTTATTTTATTTTTTTTTTTTTGAGACGGAGTCTCGTTCTTTCACCCAGGCTGTAGTGCAGTGGCGCGATCTCGGCTCACTGCAGGCTCCGCCCCGCGGTGTTCACGCCTTCTCCTGCCTCAGCCTCCTGCGTAGCTGGGACTACAGGCACCCGCCACCTCGCCTGGCTAATTTTTTGTATTTTTAGTAGAGACGGGGTTTCACCGTGTTAGCCAGGATGGTCTTGATCTCCTGACCTTGTGATCTGCCCGCCTCGGCCTCCCAAAGTTGCTGGGATTACAGGCGTGAGCCACCGCTCTTGGCCATAAATAAATTTTTAAAACATCAGTAATAAAATAGTTTTTAAAATTTCTTCTAGTTGCTATAAAAGTTAAATAACTAATAGTGACAATGTTTATGTATTTGTATCATATGTAAGAGTAAAGTGTATAACAACAATGGCACAAGGGGTGGGAAGGAGGAATTGGGAAAACACTGGCATGAGGTTCTAGCAAAAAACATGAAGGAGTATAGTATTATTTGAAGATGGACTTATCTAAATTAAAACTTCATATTAGTCCATTCTCACGCTGCTATGAAGAAATACCTGAGACTGGGTAATTTATAAAGAAAAGAGGTATAATTGACTCACAGTTCCACATGGCTGAGGATGCCTTAGGAAACTTACAATCATGGTGGAAGACACCTCTTCACAGGGCAGTGGGAGAGAGAATGAATGCAAGCAGCGGAAATGCCAGATGCTTATAAAACCATCAGATCTAGTGAGACTCACTCATTATGACAAGAACAGCATGGGGGAAACTGCCCCCATGATTCAATTCCTTCCACCTGGTCCTGCCCTTGACACGTGGGGATTATGGAAATTACAATTCAAGGTGAGATTTAGGTGGGGACACAGAGCCAAACCATATCAAACTTACATTACAAACCCTATTTTTTTATTATTTTTTTTTATTATACTTTAAGTTTTAGGGTACATGTGCACATTGTGCAGGTTAGTTACATATGTATACATGTGCCATGCTGGTGCGCTGCACCCACTAACTCGTCATCTAGCATTAGGTATATCTCCCAATGCTATCCCTCCCCCCTCCCCCCACCCCACCACAGTCCCCAGAGTGTGATATTCCCCTTCCTGTGTCCATGTGATCTCATTGTTCAATTCCCACCTATGAGTGAGAATATGCGGTGTTTGGTTTTTTGTTCTTGCGATAGTTTACTGAGAATGATGGTTTCCAATTTCATCCATGTCCCTACAAAGGACATGAACTCATCATTTTTTATGGCTGCATAGTATTCCATGGTGTATATGTGCCACATTTTCTTAATCCAGTCTATCATTGTTGGACATTTGGGTTGGTTCCAAGTCTTTGCTATTGTGAATAATGCCTCAATAAACATACGTGTGCATGTGTCTTTATAGCAGCATGATTTATAGTCATTTGGGTATATACCCAGTAATGGGATGTCTGGGTCTACCATCAGAGTGAACAGGCAACCTACAACATGGGAGAAAATTTTTGCAACCTACTCATCTGACAAAGGGCTAATATCCAGAATCTACAATGAACTCAAACAAATTTACAAGAAAAAAACAAACAACCCCATCAAAAAGTGGGCGAAGGACATGAACAGACACTTCTCAAAAGAAGACATTTATGCAGCCAAAAAACACATGAAAAAATGCTCATCATCACTGGCCATCAGAGAAATGCAAATCAAAACCACTATGAGATATCATCTCACACCAGTTAGAATGGCAATCATTAAAAAGTCAGGAAACAACAGGTGCTGGAGAGGATGTGGAGAAATAGGAACACTTTTACACTGTTGGTGGGACTGTAAACTAGTTCAACCATTGTGGAAGTCAGTGTGGCGATTCCTCAGGGATCTAGAACTAGAAGTCCCAGCTACTTGGGAGGCTGAACACAAGGAAATTGAGGCTGCGTTGAACCATGATCTGCACTGCACTCCAGTCTGGGTGACAGAGTGAGATCCTGTCTCAATAATAATAATAATAATAAAACATTATCTTTGCGTTATTTATTCCTTATTTACTACTTTTGCTAATAGGTAAAGTAACATCGTGGTGAGGCACGGTGGCTCATGCCTGTAATCCCAGCATTTTGGGAGGCTGAGGTGGGCAGATTACTTGAGGTCAGGAGTTCAAGACCACACTGGCCAACATGGTTAAACCCCGTCTCTATCAAAAATACAAAAAGTAGCCGGGTGTGATGGTGCATGCCTGTAGTCCCAGCTACGCGGGAAGCTGAGGCAGGAGAATCGCTTGAACCCAGGAGGTGGAGGTTGCAGTGAGCCGAGATCATACCACTGCACTCCAGTCTGGGCGACAGAGTGAGACTCTGTCTCAAAATAATAATAATAATAACAATAATAATAAAGTAACACGTGGTTAGGTATCTGTTCCATTTCCCTGGCTTTGAATTTTTAGCCATCCCACCTTGTTTTAATTGTTAGAGCTTTGAAATAAGTCATTATATCTCATGTTCCCACCTTTCTCAAATTGTTCTAATTGAACCACAGGATTATTTTATTAAGCTACTAAAAACTGTAAATTCCATATGTTGAGTCTGTCAGCTAATTTTGGAAGAATTTAAATCTCTAAACTCTTTAGGTTCCAATGCAAGCAACTGAAACCTCTCTTTATTTATTTAAACCATCTGTATTGCTCTGTAAATTTTTATAGTTTTTCCTCATGTACATCTTATGTTACATACAGACTGGTTATTTTATTTTTTCATTGCTATTGCACAAAATACTTTTAATAATCGTTTCCTTATTTGTTACTGATTTTCAGAGGTTTATCTCACATCTGACCACTTTCCTGAACTGTCTTATTGAGATTGTTATAATTCTTATCATATAATCATGTCACTTATAAATGATAAATTGGTTTCTTTCATTCTCATAGTTCTGTCTCTTATTTCTCACTTACACCATTGGTCAAAAACTTCACAGCAGGCCAGGAATGGGGGCTCAGGCCTGTAATCCTGGCACTTTGGGAGACTGAGGCGGGAGGATCACTTGAGCCCAGGAATTCAAGACCAGCCTGAGCAATATAGTGAGGCCTCATCTCTTAAAAAATAAAAAATAGCTGGGTATAGTGGTGTGCACCTGTAATCTCAGCTACTCAGGAGGCTGAGGTGGGAGGATCACTTGAACCTGGGAAGCTGAGGCTGCGGTGAGTGGAGATCATGCCACTGCACTCCAGCCTGGGTGACAGAGCAAGACCCTGTGTCAAAAGAAAAAAAAAATCACAGCACACTTAGATCAGTAAATGAAAGGATATTAGTTGACTAGGGCTTCCTAATGAAGTACCACAACCAGGTGGCTTACACAACAGAAATTTATTTTCTCCTGGTTCTAGAAGCTAGAAGCTTAACATCAAGGTGTCAGCAGGGTCTGTTTCTTCTGAGGCCTCTCTCCTTGGCTTACAGATGGCCATCTTCTCCCTGTGTCTTCACATGGTCTTGCCTCTGTACATGTCAGTGTTCTTATTTTCTCTTTTTATAAGGACATCAGTTATATAGGATTAGTACCCACCATAACGACCTCACTTCAACATATTTACCTCCTTAAAGGTAATGTCTCTAGACATATTCAGAGGCATTTGGGGTTAGGACTTCAACATAAGAATTTTGGAGAAATGGGTCGGGTGTCGTGGCTCACACCTGTAATCCCAGCCCTTCGGGAGGCCGAGGCGGGTAGATCACCTGAGGTCAGGAGTTCAAGACCACCCTGGCCAACATGGCTAAACCCCGTCTCTACTAAAAATACAAAAATTAGCTGGGCGTGATGGCAAGCACCTGTAATCCCAGCTACTCGGGAGGCTGAGGCAGGAGAATCACCTGAACCCAGGAGGCGAAAGTTGCAGTGACCCTAGATCGCACCACTGCACTCCAGCTAAGGTGACAGAGTGAGACTCTGTCTCAAAAAAAAAAAAAAAAAAAAGGAATTTTGTGGAAATGCAATTCAATCCATAACAGTGAACATTTCTTGTCTCTAATAGGAAGATATCTGATGTTTCTTCAAGCCTGATGTGTACTTTGATTTAAAAGAGATATTTTTATCACATTTCTATCTCAAATTTTCAAAGAGCTTTTTTATCAGGAATGGATATCAGGCCTATTGAATGCCTTTTGGTACTTATTGACTAAATCATACAGAATTTTTATCTCTTCTTTTGATAGAATACATTAATAGATTTCCTGTTATTAAACAGTCCTGGGTCGGCATTGAGAATATAAAAAGAAATCCTACAAATCAATAGGAAAGGGATTTTTTTAAAATCTAGTATAAATTAGACAATGGATACAGACAGACAATTCTGAATATGGGAAGTACTCCAGATCAGTAAACACTGGAAAAATTTCCACCTCACTAGTAATCAGGGAAATGCAAATAAAAATGGGAATAAAATCGCATCCCACACAAGAGTTAGCAAGAATGTGGAATACAGAACTCTCACACTCTGTTGATAGGACAGTAAACTGCCACAACCTTATTCACACATGGCAGTGTAAAAAATGTGCACCGTGTTTGTTATAGCATTGTTTATAATAGCTACCGAAAAAAATAAAACAACCCAAATTTGTCTTAGTTCAGGCTGCTATAACAAAATATCATAAACTGGGTAGCTTATAAACAACAGAAATGTATTGCTCACGGTTCTGGGGGCTGGAAGTCTGAGATCAGGGTGCCAGCATGGTCGGGTTCTGGTAAGGGCTCTCTTCCGGATTGCGGGTGGCTACCTTCTTGCTGTATCCTTACATGGGGGAATGAGGGAAAGAAAGCTCCCAGGGGCTGTTTGTGTAATGGCACTAACTCCATTCATGAGGCTTCACCCTCGTGACCTAATCACTTCCCAAAGGATCTACCTTCTAATACTATCAAATCGGGAGTTAGGATTTCAACATTTCAATTTGGGGGACAAGGGACACAAACATTCAGTCTACATGTAAAAAATTATAAATAATGGCACTTTTTTTTTTTTGAGATGGAATCTTGCTCTGTTGCCCAGGCTGGAGTGCAGAGGCATGATCTTGGCTCACTGCAACCTCTGCCTCCCGGGTTCAAGCGATTCTCCTGTCTCAGCCTCCCGAGTAGCTGGGACTAAGGCACGCACCATCACTCCCGGCTAAATTTTGTATTTTTAGTAGAGTCAGGGCTTCACCATGTTGGTCAGGCTGGTCTCGAACTCCTGACCTCATGTGATCCACCCACCTCCGCCTCCCAAAGTGCTGGGATTACAGGCATGAGCCACCATGCCCCACCAGTACATTTATACAATGAATGAGCTAGATCTACTTGTATCAACATGGATAATCTCAAAAACAGAAGGCTAAATGAACAAAAGCCAGTTCCACAGGAACACACCTAGAATAAAACCAGTTATGGAATTTTAAAGAACATACAAGATAATATGTAGCTAAATATTGATGGATACTTATAAAAGTGGTAGGGATATGAAACATATATTGGAAAGATAAATACCAACTTCAAAATAGTCCTTATCTCTGGTTTTTGCAATTTATAGGGGATGGAAAAAGGAAGAGAAGAAAACCCAGGAGGGGTACAAAAAGTGTCACTGTAACCTATAAGATTTTATTATTTTTTTTTTAATAAAATGATTTGAAAAACAAACGTCTTTGCATTCCTAGGCTAAATCCTCCTTGGTCATGGTTAGTGACTCTATTAATGTATTATTGAATTCTGTTTGCTATTATTTTATTTATAGTTTTTCATCTAGTGCCTTGGTCTTCTGTTCTATTTTTTTTCCACTATACTCTTCAAGATTGAATTTCAGGGTTGTATCGTTCTCGTAAAATGAATTAGAAAGTTTTCCATGGTTTTCTATAATCTGGAACCATTCATTGAGTATAGGAATAAATTTGTCACCAGAAAATTTGAAGAGAACAAATACATTAGAAAAATCTGTTTAAGGAGGCTATTTTAAAATGACCATTTGATAATACTTTAACTTTTCTATTTTTATTTATTTTATTTTTTAAAGAGATGGGGTCTTATTCTGTCACCCAGGCTGGAGTGCAGTGGTGTGATCATAGCTCACTGCATCTTCAAACTCCTGGTCTCAAGGGATCCTACCACCTCAGCCTCCGAAGTAGCTGGAAATACAGGTGCACACCTCCAAGCCCAGATAGTTTTTTATTTTTTGTAAAGATCAGGATCTCACAATATTGCCCAGGTTGGTCTCAGACTCCTGGCCTCAAGCAATCCTCCCACCTCGGCCTCCCAAAAAGTTGCTGGGATTACAGGTGTGAGCCAGCATGCCCAAGCACTTTTTATTTTTGTATATTTTTTTTATTCCAGACATTACTTTTTCATAATTCAATTTTTGTAATTCATATTTTATTAAAAATATCTGCATCATTGAATCATTTGTATTTCCTTACATAGAGTCACACTGTAACATCTTGGTGATTTTTTTTTTTTTTTTTTTTTTGAGGCAGAGCCTCTCTCTGTTACCCAGGCTGGAGTGCAATGACACAATCTCGGCTCGCTGCAACTCCGCCTCCCGGGTTCAAGCGATTCTCTTGTCTCAGCCTCTGGAGTAGCTGGGATTACAAGCATATGCCACCACACCCGGCTAATTTTTGTATTTTTAGTAGAGATGGGGTTTCACCGTGTTGGCCAGGCTGGTCTCGAACTCCTGACCTCAGGTGATCCACCTGCCTCGGCCTCCCAAAGTGCTGAGATTACAGGCGTGAGCCACTGCACCCAGCCCCTCCTGACATATTCTAAGTTGGGCCTAAGGTTTCTCCGCACTTAGTGAACTGTAACCTAACTGGATGTGTCAATAGTCTGTAATCTACTCTTGTGCCAATCACCAAGTTTCGGCCAATCACAGGCAACCAACTGTTCAAACTGTGTTCAAATATGGCAAATGCCAAGCTGTGACCAAGCCAGCTGTTTCTGCACCTCACCTCCCTTTTCTGTCCATAAATCCTCTCCAACCACACGGCAGTGCAGGAGTCTCTCTGAAAAGGAGGACTGCCCTATTCTCAAATTGTTCTTTGCTCAGTTAAACTCTGTTAAATTTCATTTGTCTAAACTTCTTCTGGGCCAAGCATGGTGTTTCACACCTGTAATCCCAGCACTTTGAGAGGCTGAGGCAGGAGGATTGCTTGAGACCAGGAGTTCAAGACCAGCCTGGGCAACATAATGAGACCCCATCACTAAAAAATATTTTTAAGTCAGCTGGGGTGCGGTGGTGAGCACCTGTAGTCCTAGCTACTTGGGAGGATGAGGTGGGAGGATCACCTGAGCCCAGGGAGATTGAGGCTGCAATGAGCTGTGATTGTGCCACTGCACTCCAGCCTGGGCGACAGAATGATACCCTGTCTCAAAAAAATATACACCATGGAATACTATGCAGCCATAAAAAAGAATGAGTTCATGTCCTTTATAGGGACATGGATGAAGCTGGAAACCATCATTCTGAGCAAACTATCGCAAGGACAGAAAACCAAACACCACATGTTCTCACTCATAGGTGGGAATTGAACAATAAGAACACATGGACACAGGGTGGGGAACATCACACATTGGGGCCTGCCAGGGGGTGGGGGGAGCGGGGAGTGATAGCATTAGGAGATATACCTAATGTAAATGACGAGTTAACGGGTACAGCACACCAACATGGCACATGTATACATATGTAACAAACCTGCACATTGTGCACATGTACCCTAGAACTTAAAGTAAAATAAATAAATAAATAGGAAAAAAAAGAAAAAAAAAGAAGGCAAAGAAAAAAATAAAAATAAAATAAAATAAAATAAAGTTCTTTAAACACCATGAAACAGACCTTGACAAGACATGCATATCCCCTTATGCCTACCCCAAGATTTAGGATGTCACACTGTACCTGTCCTTTGCGGTAATTTGTCTTAAGGACACAGGTACAAGTTATCCTGTTTTATATGCACTTTAATGAATTTTCACTTCAAATTCAAGTTGCAGTATATGTCACATGGCGCCTTCCCTTCAAAGTAACTAATGTCAACAATTTACTATGTATTTTTTCCATGTTTTTCCTGAGTTCATGCAAGCATCATACATGAAAACCAGATGAAAGGTTTTCTTTCTTTCTTTTTTTTTTTTTCAGAAATAGGATGATATTACACAAATGTGCTTCTTTACTTAACAAGAAAGTATAGGCATCTCTCCATATACCTGGCTTTTTTCAACAGTTGCATAAAATTCTGAAACATAAAACATTATAATTTATTCAATAAATCCCTGCTTTTGGATATTAATTTTGTTTCCAGATTTTTGCAAGAATCAGGTACTTAAAGTAATAAACATTTTTCTGTGGAATTGGTACTTCCATTTCTGCATGCCAAAAGTGAAATTTCTGAGCATAAGTATATTTTGAATTCCAGTAGCTACTTTCAGATTTTTCTTGAATGGTTAAAGCAATTCTTACTCATAACAGCAAAGTATGAGAGTCCTTTCTTCCTCCATACAATCATAAGTGATGGTAATAAATCATTTCTGTTTGGGTCAAATTGATTAATTTCTAAAGTAATCTATTGTCATTTTTATTTACATTTCCCCTTCCCCGAAAAGAATGAGCATAATTTCATTTGTTTATTGGCTATTTGCATTTCCACTTCTAAAGATTGCCTACTTCTATTCTTTACCTATTTCTGTACTGGATTTTTAAGTCTTTTTCAATTTGCAGAAGTTATTTGTGGATTAGAAAAATTAGCACTGGTTAGATCAACCTAAATACCCTTCAATGAGAGATGGATAAAGAAAATGTGGTACATATACACCCTGGAATACTCTGCAGCCATAAAAAACAAGATTATGTCCCTTGCAGGCACACAGATGGAGCTGGGGGCCATTATCCTTAGCAAACTAACACATGAACAGAAAACTAAATACCACACGTTCTCATAAGTGGGAGCTAAATGATAAGAACACATGGACACATAGAGGGGAAAAACACACACTGGGACCTTTCAGAGAGTGGAGGGTGGGAGCAGGAGAGGATCCAGAAACATAACTAATAGGTACTAGGCTTAATTCCTGGATGATTAAATAACCTACAGCAAACCCCCATGACACAAGTTTACCTATGTAGCAAACCTGCACTTGTACCCCTGAACTTAAAATAAAAGTTTAAAAAAGAAAAGAAACAGAAAAACTAGCCCTGGCACCCTTCCAACTATTTTTCCTGAAACTATCAAAAAAAAAAAAAAAAAAAAAAAAAGAGGCAGTCTTGTTTCTGGGATCACTGCAATAAAAGCAATGGGAACCTACAGGTGCCAATGCCATATTTGCTGCCATGTAGATAGAGTTTGATAAAAAAGAAAGTAGATACAGAGAAAACGAGTTAGAGTGGGGGAAGAGAAAGAGCTAATGACATCATTTGGACACCTACATACAGCCATACTTGAAGCTGGAAGGGTTTATCCATTAAATTTCTGGGTTACAAGAGCCAATGATTTTCCTTTGGGGTTTGTGCTGGGTTTCTGTCACTTGCAACCAAAATCCTCCCAACTGTGGTGAGTTTGCGTATATTGGGACCACACCCTGATTCTAGAACAAGACCTTTGCATCCATAAGAACTGGACTTTCTAAATGCTGGGTCCAGGTAATATTTGAACTGGTCTCACCATTGTTCCTGGATAGCTCTCTGATTTCCTACTATGAGGCAACCTCTAGAGGATTCTTGGCTCAATAATGCACCAAGCTCATGGGACGAGTTCACAGTGTGTACCTGTTATATTGGTCACAACAAGAATTTGAGTCTCTACAAACCTCATGGCTTACACCACTGTATATTGGCTGGACGCACTTAAATGAGGTCCAGGCCGGAACATGTACAGAAACCCAAGTTATAAATTACAAGTTACTCTGGATAATTTTGGAAAGGGGGTCCTTGAATTCACAGGTCTGCCAGAAAGCCTATGCAGGCCGGATCTCCAAAGGCTCATTTGAAAACACAGTACCTTCCTAAACAGACTTTTATCATAAGGCTTTTTGCCTTTTCTTAAACTATATACCACAGGACTATTCAATAGCGTTGTAAGGGAAAGAAGAAAGTAAATAGAACTGTGCATTAGAAGGCTTTGTAAACTCTTTAGCAGGGGGTAATAGAAGTGCTCGATGTGAAGCTTCTGTTCTGATCAGGTGGAAAGGCAAGACATTGAAATACTAAGAGTTTAAATAAACTTTGAACATACCATCAGAATATTCCAAATAGGATCATTTAGCCATAATACATAGACATCCCCAACTACAACAACAATAATAGGAAGCACTAATATTTACCGAGTACTTGTGTGCCAGCACTAAATGAAACACTTTTTGTTAATTACTTCATTATTCTTCCTCATATAACAACCCAATGAAGTCAGTACCAAAGCTTAGAAGAAACTAAAGCTTATAGAGCTTCTATAAGGCAGGATAAGCTACATGACGCTGAAGTAACAAAAACCTCAACATCTCAATGGCTTAACACAACAAAAGTTTACTTCTTGCTCATGTTGCACAAACAATGCAGGCTGGCAGAGAAGACGCCACCCATCTTGGGCTAATGGGGCTTTTGTCTGAATTGTGTTTCCATGACCACTGCAGCAGGAGGAAGAAAACATGAGAAATTGCACTCTAGTCCATATGGGCGCTTCCAAATGGAACTGACAGATATTGCTTCTTCTTGCATTTCATTGACCAAACGAGTCCCATGCCCACATTTGACTTCAAGGTGAAGAGAGGGGAGGAGTATGATCCAATTCGTGCCCAGAAGTAACAGAATTGGAAATATTTAATTAACAGCATTGAACACAACCGCAGGGCACAAGCTGGTCTGTCCTCTTCTAGAAACAGAGATGTCACAATAACCTTGGAAAATTCAGTTTATCTTTGTGCCATTGCTCCAAGTGAAAACTTTAAAGTTGAAAATCTCTTTGTTTCAATTGCCCACATCATAACAGAAATTCTCTCTCTTTTCCCTCCGGACCCCCATTTCTGTCTGTAACACCTTCCTATAGGAATTATCATCTTTTCACTTTATTATAATAGAATTTGTGGTCTCCTGGGCATAAAACTCTTTAAAGGGACACATTTGAGTCAGGGGGGTTGTGAGGTTTTTTATTTTTTCCTCCAAAGAAAGTTTAAAAACCTTCATTTTGTATTCAGGAATAAATGAGAAGTGGTGTTATTTATAATTGGCTCCCTCTAATTCAGACTAAATATAGATTAATCCTAATTGATAAGACATAAAATTTAATTAAACCTTAATAAAGAACCTGGGAAAGAGTTCTCAATAGATGATATCAATGGTAATGTTGGATGCTGCATGCTGCAGTACTTCAGATAAAACACAATTCGTAGAAGTATTTTCAGGGCTTTGTGCAAGTCAAGATATGGGTCATTATCTCAAACAGAGCATTCATTAAAATTATGGATAAATCTGAGAGATGGTGTTCTCCATACAGCTCACCGATAAGAGCCTGGCCCACAAGAACTCCCAACAATCTCCTCAGCCTGTTGGTCAGGAGGACGCTCAGTTCCTTGACCTTGAAGCCACACTGAGTCACAGAAGTTGCTGTCACAGACTACGGTGTTATCAGATAAACCCCAACCCACCGAATATCCCATTGTAGAAATCCAATTAACAATGCTACATAAACATTACCCTTCTGATTGATGTTCCCAGCACGTAACATTTTTATTTCATGTACTCATGGTATGTTTATGTGTTCAGGAGTGATTGAGAACTTATCTTTCATGGTCAATCAACCTGGTGTCTAATTACTGCAAACATGAATAGAGAGCCCAGGCAGAGGGGAAGATCCAGCTCCCAGGAACGGAACTCCTTCCTTGCAAATGGGAGCATAGACACTCCAGTTCCTAGCAAAGTGTATCAAAGGAAGCAAACCCTGATACCTCCAGGTGTCAGAATTCTAAGAGGAAAGTGAGCTCAGTTGGCACCACAGCAAACTGGAGAGGGTCTGCCTGATCTAAAGAGGGCAACTTTTCTCTACTCTGCCCACAGTTGCCATGAAGGAATGAGGGTCCAATGATGGCAAATCATTTCACTCTTCTTTAAAATTTGTGTATTTGGATTGTAATCGGAAACAAAACCACGTTTTTAAATGGGAAGAAAAGACTTTTTTCAACAAAGTTTTTTTAAAAAACTTATTCCAACAAAGTTTTTTTAAAAAACTTATTCCTTCCCTTTGGTTATTCCTTCCCTTTGGTTCATTTTCCCCTTTAACAAATACTTAATGAATGCTTAATATGTCCCAGGCATTGTTGTAGGCACTGGAGATAGAACAATGAAGAAAACAAAGATCCCTGTCTTTAGGAAGCCTATATTCTAGAAGAGGGAGATTGACCATAAGCAATAAACATGATAAGTAAAGCATATGGTATGTTAAATGGGAGAGGTGCTAAGAAAAGACAGAAAAAGCACAGTGGGCAGGGAACTGGAAATCATGCAGGGGTTGCCTACTGATATTTAGACACAGTGGTCATACAGAAGGTGACGTTGGAAAACAGATTTGTAGAAGAAGAGGAAATTAGCCAGGCAAATATCTAGGAAAAGAGCATTGGAAGAAGGAATGGCCAGTGCAAAGTCCCCAAAGTAGAAATGTACCCAGTGTGTTCAAGAAACAGTAAATAAACTAGGTGGCTGAAATGAACTGAATGAGGGAGAGACTGGCAGGAGGTGAGAAGAGAGAGGCATCAGGGAGGGAGCAGAGCACGTGGGGCTTCCTAGGTCATTGGAATGACTTTGGTTTTTACTCTGGGGTAGTTGCAGAACCATTGGAGTGTTTTGAGTGCAGAAGAGACACAGACAGACTTGTATTTTTACCGGGATCCCTCTGGCTACTATGTTGAAAGAAGCCTGTAGGGATCAAGGATGGAGAGGCAGGGAGACCAGCTAGGAGGCTGTAGCAGCATCTAGGAGAGAGACAACAGTGGCTCAGACAAGAGTGAGGCGTTAAGAAGGCAATGGAGGTGTTAAGAAGTAGCTAGATTCTGGAATATCCAGAATCTATAAGGGACTTAAACAAATTAACAAGCAAAAAACAAACAACTCCGTTAAAAAATAGCCAAAGGTCATGGACAGACACTTCTCAAAAGAAGACATGTATGTGGACAACAAGCATATGAAAATAATGCTTAATATCACTGATCAGAGAAATGCAAATCAGAACCACGATGAGATACCATCTCACACCTGTCAGAACGGCTACTATTAAAAAGTCAAAAACAACAGATGCTGGTGAGGTTGCAGAGAAAAGGTAATGTGTATACAATGCTGGTGTGAATGTAAATTAGTTCAACCACTGTGGAAAGTAGTTTGGAGATTTCTCAAAGAACTTGAAACAGAGCTACAATTAGACCCAGCAATCCCATTACTGGGTATATACCCAAAAGAATATAAATCATTGTACCATAAAGACACAGTGCATGCAGCCAGGTGTGGTGGCTCATGCCTGTAATCCTGACACTTTGGGAGACCAAGGCAGGTGGATTGCTTGAGCCTAGGAGTTTGAGACCAGCCTGGGCAAGATGGCAAAACCCTGTATCTACAAAAAAAAAAAAAAAAAAAAAAGCACAAAAATTGGCCAGGCATGGTAGCACACCCCTGTAGTCCCAGCTACTCGGAAGACTGAGGTGGGGGGATCACCTGAGCCCAGGAGGTCAAGGCTGCAGTGAACCCTGATTGCACCACTGCACTCCAGCCTGGGCAACAGAGTGAGACCCTGTCTCAAAAAATATATAAAGATATATGCATGCATATGTTCATCACAGCACTATTCACAATAGCAAAGACATTGAATCAACCAAAATGCCTATCAATGGGGGACTGGATAAAGAAAATATGGTACATACACACCATGGAATAATATGCAGCCATACTAAAGAATGAAATCATGTCATTTGCAGCAATATGGATGGAACTGGAGGCCATTATCCTAAGCGAATTAATGCAGGAACAGAAAACCAAATACTGCCTGTTCTTACTTATAAGTGGAAGCTAAACACTGAATACACATGGACACAAAGAAACGAACAACAGACCCTGGGGCCTACTTGAGGATAGAGGGTGGGAGGAGGGTGAGGATCAAAAAACTACCTGTTGGGTACTATGCCCATTACCTGGGTGACAAAAGAATCTGTACACCAAACCCCAGTGACACGCAATTTACTCATGTAACATATCAGCACACATACCTTCTGAACCTAAAATAGAAGTTGAAAAGGAAAAAAAATCACTGATCAATATAGAAATGTTATTTGTAATGCATTTGATAACATGTATTTTACATTGTCTTCTGAATTTTGCCAAAAAAAAAAAAAAAATGAAGTAGCTTGACTCTACCTAGATTATAAGGTAGAATCAACAAGAATATCCAATGGACAGGTTGTGGAAAGTGAGAAAAATGGAAGATTTAACGACAACTCTAAGCTTTTTAGGTTGAACAATTGAAAGAACAAGAAGTCTCTATAAATATGAACCAGATCCCACATTTCTGACACAATTTAGGACAGTCAGGATATCCCAATTTATCACTTGCTGTTCAATAATAACGATGGTAATAACAATTACTATCTTTTTATTGAGCATTTACTATATGGCAAGGCATTTTATATGTATATTGCATTTAATCCTACACCCACTCCATGAGCTAGACAGATTTTTAGCCCTGTTTTTCCCCATGAGGACACTGAGGCTCAGAAAAGTTAAATAACTTGTCAAGTTCACTTACTAGTGGCAGGGCCCATAATGAAGCCCAGGACTCTATGGCTGCAAGGCCCATGACCATAATGGCATGGCATACTGTCTCTTCAATTCCATAATTTTCTAACTACTTATCATGAGTCGGGCATAGGCTGAGGCATTTTAAATATGCAATTTCATTTAATCTTTACAATAATCCTATGAAGCAGGTATTCTCATTCCCATTTTCAAATGGAAGCTAATTGAAATATCCAAGCCCTACTTCCCTTGTTCCAAAACCACGGTTCTCCAGGAAAATATGATAGAGCATGCTATGGGCTGAATGTTTGTGTCACCCCAAAATTCATACGTTGAAACCCTAATGCCCTATGTGATTGTATTTGGAGATGAGCTTCTGGGAGGTAATTAGGTCATGAGGGTGGAGCCCTCTTGATGGAATTAGTACCTATATATTTATTTATTTGTTTATTTATTTATTTATTTTGAGACAGAGTTTCACTCTTGCTGCTCAGGCTAGAGTGCAATGGCACGATCTCGGCTCACTGCAACCTCTGCCTCCCAGATTCAAGCGATTCTCCTGCCTCAGCCTCCTGAGTGGCTGGGATTACAGAAGTGTGCCACCACGCCTGGCTAATTTTGTATTTTTAGTAGAGATAGGGTTTCTCCATGTTGATCAGGCTGGTCTTGAACTCCCAACCTCAGGTGATCCACCCACCTCAGCCTCCGAAAGTTCTGGGATTACAGGCATGAGCCACCATGCCTGGCCAGCATTAGTACCTTTCTAAGATGAGATGGAGCACTCTTGAGTTCACTCTCCTTTCTCTCTCTTTCTCTCTCTCTCTCTCTCTCTCTCATCCCTCACTCCACCCCCATCTCTCTCTCTTTCTGTCATGTGAAGATACAGCAAGAAGGTGTCTGTGCAAACCAGGAAGAAAACTCTCTCCAAATCAAATCATCTAGAACCTTGATCTTGGACTTCCCAGACTCAGAACTGTAAGAAAGAAATTTCTGCTATTTAAGCCACACAATCTATGGTATTTGTGTTACAGCAACCTGAACTAAGATAGGGCGAGTAGTGTCCCACCCACCTGCCCTGATATTAGCTGGAGGGGAACAAGAAACTGAGTAAAGTGGGAGAGGGAGTACAAAAAGGCACAAGGCACAGTCTCTGCATTTAGGGGGCGTGACTCTCCTGGGGAAGATGATCAATTACCCACAGCCGGCCAAATGCCAATATGTCTCAAGTATGTGCCTTCCTTCAGTGGGTAGCCCACCCACACTGAAGGTTCGCCCCATGCCACAGACACTACTGTACATTGAGGATACAAAGATGGACCAGAGGAAGCTCCCACAAAATCTATGAGCAATGAAGAATTTTGGAGGCATATGCATTCTGTAAATGATTTGCAAGGCTTATTTAAATGCATCATAACTGCTACTGAGCCGAACGTCTATTCCCAGTTCTTTTCCTTAAATGTTAAAGACTAAAGACAGCACTTACCATCTGCTATAGCTTGAGATCTGCTCCTTCCCCCAAGGTCTCCCGACATGGCAGGCCCTGGCTGGCAGTCCCATATGACACAGCACACAACCCACCGGGAACATCTAACAGTCAGAACATCTGCTGGCCTTTTCTCTGCACTTTGCAGCTGTTTTAAACTTGTAACCGTTCCCTCTCTGAGGTCACTTCAGGCTTGTGGACAAACATGAAGTGTCTTAGGGTATTTATCTCAGTCTCCAACGAGTCTGGGTCCTTGGACTTCTGCTTATTTATTTAACAAATACTTGCTAAGCACCGGCTATGTGCCAAACATTGCTCTTGATGATACAATGGTGAACAAGAAAGATGCAGGTTCTGCCCTCATGAAACAAAGTCTACAAGGGAAAACAAACTTTGAGTAAGTTAACTGGCTATTGAGAAGATGTACAGAGTATGGCTATTGGGAAGATGTACAGAGTACACCAGAAACATATCATGGTAGATCTAAACCAGCATGGGGTCTCCTGGAGTAAGTGATATCTGAGCTAAGAAATGAAGCAGTTGTTAGCTGGATGGTAGGGGGGACAGACGAATCATTCCAGGCAGAAGGAATAATGTGAGAAAAGGCCCTGAGTCAGGATAGAGTATGTCAGCTTTGAATAAGAGAAAGAACTATAGAACAAGGAAGAGAGTGATGTAAGATAAAGCAAAGATACTGGATCATATTGGGCCTGACAGGTCATCTCAGGGAGTCCATATTTATCCTGAAGGCAGGGGAAAGCCATTAAATGATCTAAGCAAAGGAGTGACTGGATCTATTTGCATTCTTAAAGATAATTCTAATGGCTGTGTGGGAAGAAATAAGAGAACAAGGAGGAAGTAAATTGCAGTCCTTTGCAATTGTCCAGATGAAAGCTGGCCATTTCCAGTGGCTAAACCATTGGAAATGAAATGGATGGTATCTAGGCATGTTTTTGGTAAGTGCAACAAAACCTGGTGAGAGACTGCATGAGGCCAGAGACATACAGGCAGCCAACAAGCATATGAAGGTAGAGAAGTTAGCATGGAAGCTGATTTAACCTTTTAAGGACAATGGTGTCATTTTGAGATAGGGAAAACTGAAGGAGGGGTAGGTTTGATGAGTAAGGGTGATGAATTCATTTCTAGACATGCTGAATTTGAGATGACTGCAAGGCACTCAAGAGGATATGTCCAGAAAGAAAATTCAGCCAGCCTCCTATATTTGTTCTGACTCTCCTTATGTAAAGAAGAAACAGCCAGGAAAGAAAAGCTTCTATCTTGTGAGTCTTGTTTGATTCGTGCCCCTGCTGTTGCTGACAAAAACCATGCTGATACATTTCATATTCAGGGATGTGTCAGAACCCATTGTGTAGCACCTTGGACAGCTCTCCCAGTGGCCCTTTTGACAAATCTAGGTTTAAATCAGCCTCCTATGTATCTTGCCTTCTGTCCTATCCCTCACTGCCCCACTGACCTCCTCAAATGCTACACTACAAGAGAACTGGCTGAAAAATTATTCATGCTCAACAGATCCTTCCAAAGGCTGAAGTTCATTCAGGAAGTCAAGATTAGAGTGAGCCCTGCAGAATATAGGGTGAGAGAAACTGGGAAAATGGCGTGGGGAGATAATGGAAAGAAGGGTAGCTTCAGGAGAGGACTCACTTTTTTAAACTTTTATTTTAGGTTCGGGGTACATGTGCAGGCTTGTTATACAGGTAAACTTGTGTCATAGGGGGTTGATGTACAGATGATTTCATCACGCAGGTACCAAGCCCAGTACCCAATAGTTATTTTTTTCTGATCCTGTCCCTCCCCTCACTCTCCACCTTCTGATAAGCCCCAGTGTGTGTTGTTCCCCTCTGTGTCCACGTGATCTCATCAACTTAGCTCCCACTTATAAGTGAGAATATGCGGTATTTGGTTTTTTGTTCCCACATTAGTTTGCTAAGAATGATGGCCTCTAGCTCCATCCATGTTCCTGTAAAGAATATGACTTCATTCTTTTTTATGGCTGTGTAGCATTCCATTGTGTATATGTACCACATTTTCTTCATCCGGTCTACCATTGGCGGGCATTTAGGTTAAATGTATGTCTTTCCTATTGTGAACAGTGCTGCAGTGAACATATGCATGCATGTGTCTTTGCAATGGAATGATTTATATTTCTTTGGGTATATACCCAGTAATGGGATTGCTGGGTTGAATGACAGTTTTGTTTTTAGCTCTTTGAGGAATAGCCATACTGCTTTCCACAATGGTTAATTTACACTCCCACCAACAGTGTATAAGTGTTCCCTTTTCTCCACAACCTTGCCGGCACCTGTTATTTTTTTACTTTTTAATATAGCCATTAGCCATTCAGGGTTGGGCACAGTGGCTCATGCCTGTAATCCCAGCATGGGAGGCCAAGGCAGGCAGATTTGAGGTCAGGAGTTCGAGACCAACCTGGTCAACATGGTGAAACCCCATCTCTACTAAAAAAATTACAAAATTTAGCTGGACGTGGTGGCACACACCTGTAGTCCCAGCTACTCAGGAGGCTGAAGCAAGAGAATCGGTTGAACCTGGAAGGCAGAGTTTGCAGTGAGCTGAGATCGTGCCACTGCACTCCAGCCTAGGTGACAGAGTGAGACTCTGTCTCAAAAAATAATAATAATAATAGCCTTTCTGACAGATGTGAGATGATATTTCATTGTGGTTTTGATTTGCATTTCTCTAATCATCAGTGATATTGAGCTCTTTTCATATGCTTGTTGGCTGCATGTATGTCTTTTTGTGAAAATGTTCATGAGGAGAGGACTCAATGTAGTTTCAGAAACACCGAAGAACTGTGTACACTTAAAAATGCAGCCTGAGTGTAAGGATGTAGCTTGGTAGTGCACAAAAACACTGCAATAACAGTATTGGTTTAGGTCCAAAACTTCTAATTAGGTGATAAAAGAAAGAGCAAGAGAAAAAGATAATTCTTTATGTGCTCACATAGCATCATACTCACAATATACTCTGTTTTGAGAGGGAAGGGAAGGACAGCTTGTAGTATAGAATGTACAGTATAATCTTGTTTATGTTTGCATAGAAAACTTTTCAAAGTCTGGAAAAATATACCCTAAACTGTTAATGGTAGGCATCTCTGAGAGGAGGGATCATAGTGAGATTTTACTTTCTCACCAGTATTTTCATTTTTTATAATTATTCTGTCTTAGTCTGTTTGGCTGCTGTAACAAAAATATCACAAACTGGGTGGCTTATAAACAGCAAACATTCCATGTCTCACAGTTCTAGAGGCTGAGAAGTCCAATATCACTGCCAGATTCAGTGCCTAGTGAGGTCCCATTCCTCACTGAGAGCAACTTTTAGCTGAGGTTTTGGCCTTCATGACCTAATCACCTACTGAAGGCCCCACTATTAATACCATCACACTGGGTTTAGGTTCCAACTTAGGAATTTGGGGAGACACCAATAATCAGACCATAGCAGATTCTATATTGGGTTGACATGTGGCTAATATGCAGTATGTTTCACCAGCTGTGTGGGTATTTAAAATAATAAAATGCTTCTGTACTAGCTGGAGAAAGCCACTGTCCCAAGCCCCACAAGAACTCTCCCCAATCCACTCACGATCCAGCAGGTGAAGGGTTAACACCAAGTACATCCGGGAGCTTCCAGATTCCCTAATATAATTCTAAGGGCAGGGTCCATTCAGCTTGATCTGTTTACAGGCTGGGAAAATTGTTAATTTTTAAAATATCGTCTTTTTCCCCTCCCCAAAAAAGTGGTGATTTTTTTTTTTTTTTTTAAACCTCATGTTGGCTCCAATCAGAATTGCATAATGACGCTCCTGCTGGAAGAATTTTAGAACATCGGTTCGCAATTTTTATTGCGGTCATGACTCACATGTCAAATGACTTTTACATAAAGGACTCACTCTCATAGGCTTACCCAAATTTTAAAAATGATTCTGGTTTGCATTTCGCCCAGATGCAAGCTGCTGAATTGGGATTGCTACCCAAGACTCTCCCTGATGTCATGTCATGCACCTGAGTGTGCTCATTGTTTTCTGCAGGCCTGTGTCAGCTCCCTTCCTCCCACTTATTTCATACTTAGCCTCTGTTGCTTAATATTTCTTGTTATTATGTTCTGTCACCCTGACTGCTTTGTAAGCACTGTGAAGACATACAGTTGGGCAACTTTTTTTTTTTTTTTGGCCTCACTGTACCTAACCTACTGACTGGTTTGTAGTAGACCTTCAAGGATATTTATTGGCTGGTTCACATCTATAATCCCAGCACTTTGGGAGGCCGAGGTGGGAGAATTGCTTGAGCCCAGGAGTTTGAGACTAGCCTGGATGACATAGGGAGACCCTGTCTCTAAAAAAAAAAAAAAAAAAAAAAAAAAAAAAAAAAAAAAAAAAATACAAAAAGTTAGCTGTGCATTGTGGCATGCAGCTGTGATCCCAGTTACTTAGGAGGCTGAGGTGGGAGGATCATCTGAGCCTGGAGGTCGAGGCTGCAGTGAGCTATGATCGCGCCACTGCATTCTGGCCCTATTTACTGCTATTGATACAGGTTATTTGCAAAGGGATCCTCCTCCCTGGTTACTACCACAATTGTCACTGCATGGTTAGTGCTTGGACAATACAGAGCCTATTACTGGAGGCTTGAACAGGACTGGGGTGAGAAATACTCTCCCATCTTAAGGGGCAGAAATTATTTGTCTGCCTGTTTGTCACAATGGGCATGGCTTTTACAGACCTCTCTCATCCTTAATATTTTTATCTACTCTTTTCTGATAACAAATATTATTCCCTTTTCACCTAGAATGTTTGTCACAGGACAAAAACTCTTTACCCATCCCATATGCTTCGTGCCAGACATTAGAAACCATCTTTGCTCTTAGCAGCTTCCCTGTGTCAGGAAGCCAAAGTGCCTCCAGCCAGATGAAAGTCTTCAGTATCCTGATGATTGGTCAGTGTATGGTTAATGAGGGTGATCCAAACCAACGTCATAAGAAAATCCCTCCAATTCCAGTGGTTTTGCTTATTTCTCATGCACATAAAGCACAGTGGGGGTGTATCTGATCAACAGGCAACTTTCTTCCACACAGTGATTCAGGGACCCAGGCTCTTTCCATCTTACAGTTCCACTTTTCCCTAAAGCTTTGGGATTATCTGCACTCCGCTGGCAGAGAAGGAAAGAGAAATAAAGAAGGAAAGAGGGTACCCACTTCTTAAAAAAAAAAAATCCTGACCTAACACATGGACGTAAAGATGGGAACAACAGACATTGGGGAATACAAAATGGAGGAGGGGCGAAGTGGGGCAAGATTTGAAAAACTACCTATTGGGTACTATCCTCACTACCTGGGTGACAGACTCATTTGTACTCCAAACTTCAGCATCACACAATACACTTTTACAATAAACCTGCACATGTACCTCTAAAATAAAAGTTGGGGGGAAAAAAAAGAAGAGAAACTCTCACAAAACATAAATAAATAAGTAAAGCTAACCCAGAGGTAACACACATCACTTCTGCTCGTGTTCCTGTGATGAGAACTAATCACATGACTCCCTGCTGATGTGAGGGAAACTGGGAAATGGCATTGCTGGCCTAGAAGTTGCCTCACAGCAACCACTTCATGCTGTAGAAAGGGGATCAGGAATTTTTCGTGGATAGCTAGTCATCTGCCACAGCCAATGAATTGCAAAGGACTCAGATGATCTTCTACTTAGAATTAGAAAATCATCTAATGAGACTCTTAAGAAATCTCCAGGCCAGGCGCCATGGCTCACACCTGTAATCCAAGCACTGTGGGAGGCCGAGGCAGGTGGATCACTTGAAGTTAGGAGTTCAAGGCCAGCCTGGGCAACATGGTGAATCCTGCCTCAACTAAAAATATGAAAATTAGCCGGGCGTGGTGGTGCATGCCTGTAGTCCCAGCTACTCAGGAGGCTGAGGCAGGAGAATTGCTTGAACCTGGGAGGTGGAGGTTGCAGTGAGCTGAGATTGTGCCACTGCACTCCTGCCTGGGTGACAGAGTGAGACTCTGTCTCAAAAAAGAAAAAAAAACACAACATTTTCAGATGTATTTATTTTAATAGACAGGATCTCACTCTGTCACCCAGGCTGGAGTGCAATGGTGGGATCAGAGCTCACTGCAGCCTTGAACTCCTGGGCTCAATCAATCCACCTCCTTTAGTCTCCCAACTAGCTGGGACTACAGACGGGTGCCACTATGCCTAGCTATTTTTTTTCTTTTAGAGAGTTCAGGTCTTGCTATGTTGCCCAGGCTAGTCTCAAGCTCCTGGCCTCAAGCATTCCTCCTGCCTTGGCCTCCCAAAGTGCTGGGATTACAGGTGTGAGCCACCACATCCAGCCTATTCTTTCCAAGTCTCTTAACACTCCTGTTCCCTGTCACAGGATATAGGTTTTTATGCCAATGGGTAAAGACTTCGAACTGGGAGGGGATTATGCAGTGTGACAAGGTTATAACCTACATAAACCTTTAAATTAGGCTTTAAGCGTGGTCTGCTGCCATAAAGCTTGTGGGCATCGGGAAGCCAAGAAAGCATCCTACTATTCTTTGACTGAAATTAATCTCCATTCTCTATGTGACTGCTCTTCACCGGGGCATCGTGGTGCTATGATCAGCCACACTTCCTGTCCTTGAAGTCCGAATCAAGCCTGTGAAGGAAGCCTGGAGTAAACTCCCAGGACACATGTCTAATACAGCTATTTTCTTTTTTAAAATATAAGCAACTGCTATGGTTCCATAATGAACATTTTTATTTTTAAAGTACTTTATTTCATAGGGAAGAAATGTAATGCATTCTTTTCCCCCAAAATAATAAAGAAAATTGCTACTGGGAAAGGTTTGGCATTTGAAACCTAGTGGGAGATTTCTCCAGCAGATGGTTTAGTGGCAAAAAGCTTTTAAGAATTTCTGACTGCTAGAGAAAAAGGGAGAGGGAAGGTGGGGGTTGGGGGGAGATTGATTTGATGTGATAAAGAAAAGATGTATCCAAAGAAAGCAATTCTTATTCAAGTTCTGATGACTCAAATGATCCATAGACTAGATCACAGATTCCAAAGCCTGACTGTGCATCAGAATAGCACGGGAAGCTCGTTTAAAATACCAATGGAATCAGAATATCTGTGGGTGGTGACCAGACATGCATATGTTTTCAAGCTCCATAGGTGATTCTGTTGAAATGCAGTGGCCTATCTCTTTGTTTAATTCTGATGGTAGCTACAGAGCTAGGCAGTACTATTAGCTTAGCAAATATTTTGTACTCTTAACCACTTGGCTAGCATTTGCTGTATACCCAAGCCCACCAGCAGCAGGCTCTTTACTGGGTCTCTCATCTTTTTACAAAAAGCATTTGGATGATATACTTGAGAACCCCATGGATGAGGATGCCAATGCATTTGATTATTTCATTTGGAAGCAAGGGAGGCAAAATTCACAGCCAATCCACCCAGCACTCTCTGCAGAGAATCACAGCTATGTTACAGCAAATAGCTCTGTTGAATACCTTTGGCTGCATCCCCTGGGAAGGCAGGATGGTGTCCTGGGAGGAGCAGAGACTGTAGCAGATTGGCTTTAACTCCCAGCACTGCTGCCTGCTAGCTGGGGGCCCAGGATATGTTCTTTCAACCCTGTTTGTTGTTTGTAAAACTGGAAAGAATTCTACTGACCCCACAGTAATATAAGTTTCAAATGGGGCTGGGCACAGTGGCTCATGCCTGCAATCCCAACACTTTGGGAGGTCAAGGTGGGTGGATCACCTGAGGTCAGGAGTTCAAGACCAGCCTAGCCAACATGGTGAAACCCCATTGCTACTAAAAATAAATAAAATAAAATAAAAAAAAAAACAGCTGGGCATGGTGGCCAGGACCTGTAATCTCAGCTACTCAGAAGGCTGAGGCAGGAGAATCACTTGAACCTGGGAGGCATGGGTTGCAGTGAGCCAAGATCACGTCATTGCACTCCAGCCTGGGCAACAAGAGCAAGACTCCATCCAAAAAAAAAAGAGTTTCAAATGGGGAAAATGTAAGAAAAGCATCTGGGGAAGAACTGCCATGGAGTAGGAACTTTATAAATGGTACTCAACTCACTACATTTCTTTTAACCTCCTTACCCCTGGAAAGAGGAGAACCAATTAGCAACAGCTAAGAAAAGACATTCACGTTTTCCCAGTACTCCTGAATTTTCTACAGAAGTGTTATCCAGGATAGAATTTGGAGACAGACGTCCTTCTCTATTTTCCTTTATGGAAGTTGGCTACCACTGTATAGACACTTACCTCCAGTCCCAGGTGTGACCCCAACCAGAAAGCCTCTCCTAAAACATGGGACCAATCCTGGGAAATGCCAGATATGGCTTTTGTAACTTAGGTAATAGAAATGATCTCTGTGAGTCCCACATGATCAAATACAAAATTATACAGGATTCAAATTAATCACATGGACAGGCATAAAACACCAGACTCTAAATATTATTTACCCAGCATCAAGCAGATGTTTGTTTCCAAAGCTACAATCTCCTCTAATTGGCTGATGCTGTGCTGCATAGACTCCAATGCAAGCTTATGTTCTATAATGAATGACAAATGCCTAGAAGAATCCTCTGTGAATTGGCAGCCTCCTCCTCTAGCATGCAAATTATGCCGAAATCCCATCAGCAGACGCAGATAAGCTCATCTGCATGATTGGCAAACTAGTGGATAAACACACCCCAGGATTCATTGTCCAAATTCAATTTGGTGGTTTCATCTCCATTTTCAGTGATCATTTATTTGTTAATTTATTCATTAGCCAACATGATGAAGCAGCTATTCGGAAACAGGCACTGTCTTAGGCTTTAGGAATACAAAGGTAAATAAAGATATGGTCTCTTCCTTCAAGAAGTCCACAATGAAGGAAGTGAGACGAGGCCGGGAAAGAAAACGAACTAGGAACAAGTACAAAACTAGAGATATGGGCAAATGTCAGTGGTGATACAGAGGAGGGGTGATCAACTCTACCTACAGGGGTTGGAGATGGTGCCACAGATTTTCATGGTGTAGCTTAGAGGAAGATGTTAGCTAGACAGACAAACTGTAGAAAGGGGGGTTTCCATCAAGAGTGTTCTCTTGCTGTTGCAAGAACACTTGACGACGTGCGTCCTGTTCTGGGAACCACAGGAGTTTTATCTGGCTAAAGCAGAAGGTGCCAGTGTCTGTTCTATTTTGGCTCCTTTAAAAATCCACCCAAGGCCAGCTGTTGTGGCTCATGCCTGTAATCCCAACACTTTGGGAGGCCGAGGTGAGAGGATCGCTTGAGGCCAGGAGTTTAGGACCAGCCTGGGCAACATAGCAAGACATCCCCATCTCTACAAAACATAAAAAATTAGCTAAGCATGGTGAGGTGTGCCTGTAGGCCCAGCTACAGGGAGGCTGAGGCAAGAGAATCCCTTAAGCCCAGGAATTCAAGGCTACAATGAGCTACGATCTCACGTCACTGCACTCCAGCATGAGTGACAAAGTGAGATCCTGTCTCTAAATAAATAAATAATTTTTTAAATTAAATAAGTATAAATAAAAAGCTTTTAAAAATAAAATCCACCCAGGTGGACATGTAAACTGCACAACCCCTTTGAAAGGCAGCATGGCTATGTCTATTGAAATTTAAAATGTGCCTGTCTCTGTAATAATTACGGAGGCAATGGATTCAGGTCCTCATGGCCCAGTTAGTTTTTCTCTGTCTCACAAGCATAATTATACATTTCCTCCACAAAATGTGCGATCACGAGGGAAAAAAAAAATCTTGGATGGGTTAACAGAGGTTCATATTCATTATGGAAATACATTACGATTGTGTTTTCTTTCCAAGGTCTGTTGTCCTAACAAGATCTTAAGCATTGTGAGAAGAAAGGCTGTGCCTGTTCTGTGAATCCTGTTATCAGCAGTGCCTAAGATAATGCCACCACACAAGACCTTAGCAAATATTTAGTACAGACATACATACTTGGATAACTAAATGAATGAATAAAACATCTCAAAGCCTAAATCTACAAAAATTTTAAAAAATAATAAAATGCTTATGTCTTGTTTGTAGTAGCAAAAGATCAGGGAAAAGTGATCTATAAGAGACTAGTTAAAAAAATTATAGCACATCTATGTAAAGAAATACTATGTAAATTAAATACTATGTAAAAAGGCATGAGTTAGCCGGGTGCTGTGGCTCACACCTGTAATCCCAGCACTTTGGGAGGCCAAGGCAGGTGGATCACTTGAGGTCAGGAGTTCAAGACCAGCCTGGCCAACATGGTGAAACCCCATCTCTACTAAAAGTACAAAAATTAGCCAGGCGTGGTGGCACGTGCCTGTAATCCCAGCCACTCAGGAGGCTGAGGCAATAGAATCACTTGAACCCAGGAGGCAGAGGTTGCAGTGAGCTGAGATTGTGCCACTGCACTCCAGCCTGGGCCACAGAGCAAGACTCTGTCTCCAAAAAAAAAAAAAAAAAATAGCATGAGTATACACTCTCTATAGTTATAGAAGATTTATGGTTATGGGAAGAGCTCCAAGATATATTATCAAGTGAAAAAAAGTGAAATAAAGAAGAATATATATATATATATATATATATATATATATATATATAGTATGGTATCTTTTGTGTAAGAAAGAAGAGAAAATAGGAATACATGTTCTTCTTTGCTTTGTTTTCATAAAGGAACTGTGGAGGTATACACAACAAATTAATATCTACAGGGGTGAGAGAAGGGAAAATAGATTAGGAAAAAGATGGGGGAAAGACTTTGTGACATATATCTTGCATATCATTTTTTATTTTTGAATTAACTAAATGTGTGACCTATTCAAAAAGGAGAACTTAATTTTAACATGGGCCTGCCTCATGGCCCAGAAATTTCAGTCTTGGTATCAACCATAGAGAATCACTCACACATGTGCATAAGGAGGTATATAGAAGGATATTTGTTGTAGTACTGCTTATTATAGAGGAAAACACAGTAGAAATAACCAAAATGTCCATTAATGGAGTTACAGAATAAACTGTGGCACGTTCATACTTTGAATATTATGCAGGAGTTAAAACCACGAGGTAGATGTATGTCTACTAACATGGACAAATCTCCAAGATTTACTATTGCGTAAGAAAAATCGAGAATGGTGATTGTCAGGGGCAAGGGGAGGGGAAAGCGATGGGCAGATGTAGGTCAAAGGGTACAAAGCTTCAGTTAGGAATAAGTTCAGGAGATCCATTGCATAGCATGGTGACTATAGTTAATAATAACGTATTGTAAGCAAGGTGTAGTGACTCACGGCTGTAATCCTAGCCCTTTAGGAGGCCGAGGTGGGCAGATAGCTTGAGTTCAGGAGTTCGAGAGCAGCCTGGCCAACATGGTGAAACCTCATCTCTACAAAAAATACAAAACTTAGCCTGGTATAGTGGCGTGCGCCTGTAATCCCAGCTACTTGGGAGGCTGAGACATGAGAATCACTTGAACTGGGGAGGGGGAGGTTGCAGTGAGCTGAGATGGTACCACTGCACTCCAGCCTGGGCAACAGAGCAAGACTCTGTCCAAAGTAATAATAATAATAATTAATAATAATAATAATAATAATGTATTGTATACTTGAAAATTGCTAAGAGTAGATTTTTTTTTTTGAGACAGAGTCTCACTCTGTTGCCCAGGCTGGAGTGCAGTGGTGTGATCTCGGCTCACTGCAACCTCAGCCTCCTTGGTTCAAGTGATTCTTCTGCCTCAGCCTCCTGAGTAGCTGGGACTACAGGTGCACCACGACACCCTGCTAATTTTTTGTATTTTTAGTAGAAATGGGGTTTCACCATGTTAGCCAGGATGGTCTCTATCTCCTGACCTCAGGTGATCTGCCTGCCTTGGCCTCCCAAAGTGCTGGGATTACAGGTGTAAGCCACCACGCCCAGGCTAAGAATAGATTTTAAATGTTCTCACAACAAAAAAAAATAAGTCTGTGAGGTGGTAAATATGTTAATTAGGTTGATTTAGCCATCCCACAATGTATACATATATCAAAACATCACACTGTACACCATAAACATACAATTTTTTTTCTGTGACAAGGTCTCTCTCTGTCGCCCAGGCTAGAGTGCAGTGGCACAATCATCACTCACTGCAGCTTTGAACTCCTGGGCTTAAGCGATTCTCCAGACTCAGCCTCCTGAGTAGCTGGCACCACAGGCACATGCCACCATGCCCAGCTACTTTTTGTATTTTTTGTAGAGACAAGGTCTCACCATGTTGCCCAGGCTGGTCTGAAACTCCTGAACTCAAGCTGTCCTCCCACCTTGGCCTCGTAAAGTGCTGGGACTACAGGCGTGAGCCACCACACATGGTCAACATTTACAATTTTTATTTGTCAACTAGACAACAAGTAAAAGAAAAATGTGCAAAAATATATAATACATTAATGTCACACACATACATCAATACAGAGCTTTATAAGCTGAAACAATTCACATCAAACTGGCAACAGTGCTTGTTTCTCGAGATTATCTAGGAGAGTGGTTGGTAAACCTCTTTTGTAAAAAGCCAGATAGTAAATATTTTAGGCTCTGCAGGCCTTAGGGGCTCTGTCATGACTAATCAGCAATTCCTTTGGAGTGTGAATGCAGCCACAGATAATATACAAATGAATGAGCTGTGTTTTAATAAAACTTTATTTCAATAAAGACAGCGAGCCAGATTGGGCCTGCAGTAGTTTTCCAACTCCTGGTCTGGAGAACCAAGAGGAGAGGTGTGAAGCCTCTCATGTTTAATTTTTTTTTTTTTTTTTTTTACAGGGAGAATGAAAGCATCTCTTACATATGTAATTAAAATGAATTTGAAACAAAGATGTGGGTGTATTAGTCTGCTTAGGCTGCTAAAAGAAAATAGTACAGACTGCGTGGCTTTAAAAACAGACATTTGTTAGCCAGGTGCAGTGGCTCACGCCTGTAATCTCAGCACTTTGGGAGGCTAAGCTGGGTGGATCATTTGAGGTCAGGAGTTCAAGACCAGCCTAGCCAACATGGTGAAACCCCATCTCTACTAAAAATACAAAAAAAAATTAGCCAGGCGTGGTGGCGTATGCCTGTAGTCCCAGCTACTCAGGAGGCTGAGGTAGGAGAATCACTTAAACTCGGGAGGTGGAGGTTGCAGTTAGCCAAGATCGCACCACTGTACCCCAGCCTGGGTGACAGAGCGAGACTCTGTCTCAGAAAAAAAAACAAAAAACAAAAAACAAAAACAGACATTTATTTTCTCACCTTCTGGAGGTTAAAAGTCCATGATCAAGGTGCCAGGGTTGGTTTCTATAATTTCATAAATACATACATACAAGATTGACTGATTTATTTATTAAGAGATAGGATCTCGCTATGTTGCCCAGGCTGGTCTCGAACTCCTGAGCCCAAGTGGCCCTCCCACCTTGGCCTCCCAAAGTGCTGGGATTACAGGCATGAACCACCATGCCCAGCTCAGGGTTGGTTTCTAGTGAGCCCTTTCTTCCTGGTTTGCAGACAGCTGACTTCCCACTGTATCCTCACATTGTCTTTTCTCTGTGCTTACACAAAGAGGGAGGGGAAGAGGTGCTCTCTAGTATCTATGCTTCTTCTTCTAAGGACATCAGTCCTATTAGATTAGGGCCCCACCCTTATGACCTCGTTTAACCTTAATTACCTCCCTAAATGACCTATATCCAAATACAGTCAAACTGGGGGTTAAGGCTTCAACATATAAATTTAGGAAGGACACAGTTCTGTCCATAACAATGGGCCATGACTTGTATCCTGTAACAACAACACACAGGCTCCTTTTCTCAGAATCCTGGACAAATCAGTCAAGATCATGATGATTCCCAAAATGAGGAGGCCCAGCCAGAGATTATACCTTCCTCCTCTAATTTTCTTCTCCTTCTCCCTAAGGGTGTACTGTTGTCCTGCTCTAAGAAGTCTTTGCCCCACCACTCGCTTTCCCTTGGATATCTCCTTACCTGTTAGACATCCTAGAAAAGGGTGCATTGAGAAATAACTATGGCAATAGACCCAGACCCCCTTTGGTTGACCTGTAGCAGCACAAAGCAGGCCTCTAATTCCCCAACTTTGAAGAAAGAAAGAGACACAGGACCAGAGCCTGATGAGGGGTAATAAGGTGAAGACCTTCAAACTTCTAAGGTCTAAGTATTTTTTTCAACATGTATTTAGGAAGACACTGGGCCTATCAGGGGAAAGGGAGAGACGATGGGTGTGTGTTGACAATGCACAGCCTCTCCTATGCATCCTCAGCAATTCCTCTCTGATCCGACTGCATGCCCCAGTCAGCAAAACCAAAGCCCCAAAATCAATAAGGCCCCTTACAAGGCCAATTAGCAGCCACCTGTGATTCTACTAAGATCATACCCCCTTCTGCAAAGAAAGGAGAGGTTCCCATTCCCTGTCCCAAAGATGTGAGAGTTGGATTCTTTCCAGCTGCATTTGGTAGTCTCCCAGAGTGTTCCCATGGGTAAAATGTTCTCCTCTCATCACATTTCCGGAACTTTTTAGCATCATAGACATATTTTAATGTCCTTTATAAGCGAACATTGCATGCAGCGGCCTGGCTGGCCCATCCCATAATCCAGCATTGAAGGAACGTAAGGACTTAAAGGTGAGAAAGACACAATCATTCTTTCTTTTTTTTTTTTTTTTTTTGAGACAGCGTCTCACTGTCACCCAGGCCAGCGTGCAATGGTAGTGGCATGATCATAGCTCACTGCAGCCCCAACCTCCTGGGCTCAAGCAATCATCCCAACTCAGCCTCTGGGGTGGCTGGGACTACAGGAGCACAGCATCATGCTCAGGTAATTTTTTATCTTTTTGTAGAGATGGGGTCTCACTTTGTGGTCCAGGCTGGTCTTGAACTCCTGGACTCAAGTGATTCAAGTGATCCGCCCACCTTGGCCTCCTGGGATTGCAGGTGTGAGCCACCACACTCAGACACAATCTTTCTTAAAGTCTCTCTGTCTCTCTCTCTCTCTCTCCCCGCAACCCCCTCCCCACCCCACCACCCCCCCACCAGCTCGCTCTCTCTCTCTCTCCTCTCTCTCTCACCCCCCTCTGAATTTGGCTAACCTTCTATACTGGGACTAGCTCTACCTGTCTGGAGCTCATCTTGTTGGTGTAAGATGGAGAGTATTCTTCACAAGTCCATGCATCCACCCTCTTTAGGTGAGCCAGCCTCTTTGGAGTAGTAATGCCCAAGTTTCATGGGCTTCTTGTTCTTTGTAAGTATACAGTGATTGATCCTCGTGAGATTACTTAACGGTGTGTGTCTGCTGGTGGAACCCTAAAGGCTGGGCAGTGGGCCAAGGTCATAGCACCCAGCCAACGAGCAGGTGTCCCTGACAACCCAAACATCCCACAGCATATCTGGGATTATACCAAGAGAAAGTCTCATTGTATGCAATAGGTAAAGAGCCAAAACAGGTAGCTTAATAGCAGCTTACAGACAGGAGGCGGGTGGGTCTCTGGAGCTGTCTTGCCGCCACCCAGGAGTACCCTGTATGTAAGTCCCAATAAACTCATCTACTCATCAAGCTGGACTGGTCCGAGTCATTCTTTGGTCTCTTGGCTCCTTCCCAGTTTGGGGGGACATTTTTTCATACAGTACCAGGTTTTTCTCATAACATCCTGTGGCTCAGAGGCAGGGGTACTTTCTTCTTCACTGTTGCCTCTCATCTATAGTTGCAAAATAAACTTACACCCAGATTACCTCTCCCTGTCAAGGAACTAGATCAGGTATTTTTATAGTGCTGCTTGACCAAATGAAAAAGAGAAGAATCTAGAATAGCTTGGAAATTTCTGGGCTGGGTCTCATTACCCAAGCTAGGAAAATACAAGAAGGTCCTGGGCTAAGGCAAGGAAAGAGGCGATGATTTGTTCTCTTTGGGGCTATGGTAAATTTGAGGCACATCTAGGATATCCAAGTAGAGTGTCAGATGTTCAAATCTAGAGCTTGGCCCTAGAGAAAAACCCACATCAAAAAAGGGACAAAGAATATGATCACTCAGTTCACAGAAAAGGACAAAAACAGCTCTTAAATATAGAAAAAGATGTTCAACCTCACTCATAATATAAGAAATGCAAATTGACTACCTGGATAACATTTCTCACCTATCAAATTGGAAAAAACCCAAACGTTTGGTAACACATTTTGTTGATAAGGGCTGTGGGGAAACAGGAATGCTTCTACATTGCTGGTGAGGATTTAATTTCATATAATCACTCTGAAGAGCAATTTGGCACTCCAGTGAAATTATGAATGTACATATCCTTTATTCCAAAAATTCCACTTTGGAGAATTTATCCTAAGGATATACATGCACAACTGTGAATTGTATTTGCACGAAATTACTCATTACAACATCATTTGTAATGCAAGTGTATTAGTCAGGGTCCTCGAGAGAAACAGACCAACAGGACACACACACACACACACACACACACACCCTGTTGGTTCTGTTTCTCTAGAGAACCCTGACTAATACAAATGTGTATGTATAAGTACATGCATATATATGTGAGTGTGTGTTTGAAGAGGAGAGAGAGAAAGGGACAGAGAGAAAGAGAATATAAGGAAATGGCTCACACAATTATGGAAGCTGAGAAGTCCAGACCCAAGAGAACCGATGCAGTAAGTTCTATCCAAGTCTGATGCAGTAAGTTCTATCCAAGTCCATGTCTGAAGGCAAAATAAGACTGATGTCTCAGCTCAAAGACAGGCAGAGAAAGAGCCTTACTTAGCCTTTTATTTTATTCAGGCCTTCAATAGATTTGATGAGGGGCACCCACAGTAGAAGACAGTTTGCTTGATTGATTCAGTCGATCAATTCAAATGTTAATCTCATCCAGAAACACCCTCATGTCAAACACACCCAGAAATAATATAACCAAACATCTGGGCAGCCTGTGGCCCAGTCAAGGTGACACATAAAATTATCCAACATGACAAGCAACTGGAAACAGCTCACATGCCTATCAATAGGAAACTGGTTAAGTAAATGATGGGACATCCAGACAATAGAACATTGTGCAATTACAAATTTTAAGAAGAAAAAGAAGAACGAAGATATTCTCTATATGCTATCACAGAAAGATCTAAAGTGAAAAAAGCAAAGTGTAGAATTTGTATGTAATATGATACATTTGAAGGAAAATGAGGAAAAATTACAATTTATATATCAATCTTTTTGCATACGTGTAAAGAACTTCTGGAATGAGTCATAAGAAACCAAGAGTGCCAGGCGTGGTGGCTCTCACCCATAATGCTAGCACTTTGGCAAGCTGAGGCAGGACGATCACTTGAGCCCGGGATTTGGAGGCTGCAGTGAGCTATGACTGCACCACTGCATTCTAGCCTGGGTGACAGAGCAAGACTTTGTTAAGAAAGGAAATGAAAGGGGCTGGGGGAAAGGAAAGGAAAGAAACGCAAAATTAAGTGCAATAATCTCTCATGAGGACAGAAACTAGGCATATACAAGACAACGAAGAGAGAGAATTTTTACTAACTGTTTATACTATCTGGATTTTTAACTATGAAAATGCAGTGCCCATTCAAAAAGATTTTAAATAACTGAGAAAGGAAAAAAAGAGCTGTGTGCCTAGGAAGGTACAACTTGGAAGCCATCAGCACACAGCCAGCATTTAAAGCCATGAAGAAGGTGAAGTTGTCTAGACAGATGTGAAGAGAGAAGGAAGTTTAAGGAGTGGGGTAGAAGAAAAGGTGGTGGGGAAGCAGTCCGAAAAATAGAAGACAGAAGAGGCAGGTGGTCTCAGAGGGTATATAATGGTCTCACAGCAAGAAATATAAAATGCAAACTCAAGCATTTGGCAGCTGGGTCGTTTTGGGTTGATATATTTAACCAGATAGTCTGTATTGTGTTTGCACTTTCTGTAGGAAATATATCATGTAGTTACATTTCATCCTTGGAATTCCTCTCTCCTGTGAGTGCAACCTGATTTGAGATGTAAATAAACTGCGGAGATAATGCCGGAGTCTCGTCAGACGCCCAGTTCTCCCGCCAGCCGAGGATGGGAGTGATGATGAATGGTGCCAGGCCCGCTGCATAATCTTTTCTGTTTTAATACTCGATTATCATGTCCCTCATCTTCCCTGGACCCAAGACTCAACACATTAAAATCTCTTTGTTTCTTCCACAATGCTTCTATCTCCATTGCATCTCCAGCCTCCTTTAATATTGTTCATTATTGAAGGGAACACAGGAAACCAATTACCCAGGTGGCAGCCGGAGTTGGTCATGTGCCCACCCAGCCGCACGGAGAGACCGGTTCCCTGTTCAGACGAATGAGAATCCTCACGCTCTGCCAAGTCCCTCACCTGTCCTCAGGCTCCTGGGAGCCACCACTGACATGGCCACACATGCGTTAGACATTCACGTTCAGCTAATTCAATTGGCGTTTGTCAATGCCAGGTGCTTTGGGAGGGCCAGGCAGTTCTGCAGGCAAAGCAGTTGTTCACACAGTGGTTAAGAGCAGAGACTTCCAGAATACCTGAGTTTAAATCCTGAGTCTGCTGATAAAGCTGTGTGACCTTGGACAAATTCCTAACCTCTCAGTCCCTTTGAGTTCCCATTTGTAAAATGGAAATAATAACAGTACCCACATGTTGTGGGTTAAATTGTACCCCCCCCCCAAAAAAAAAAGATATGTTAAAGTCTCAACCCGTGGTACCTGTGAATGTGACCTTATTTGGAAATAGAGTCTTTGCAGATGTAATCAAGTGAAGAATAGGTCATGCAGAATTAGGGAGACCCCTAAATCTAATGACTGGTGTCCCTATGAGGAAGAAGAGATTTGGAGACGCAGAGACAGATACATCAGGAAGGCCACATGAGGCCACAGCAGAGAATGGAGAGATTCATCTGCAAGCCAGGGAATGCCAGTAACCACGAGAATCTGGAATATGCAAGGAAAGATTCTTCCCTTAAGGCTTTGGAGGGAAATATGGTCCTGCCAACACCTTGACCTTAGACTTCTAGCTTCCAGAATTATGAAAGAATAGATTTCTGTGGTCTTAAGCCACACAGTTTGTGGTCATTTGTTACAGTAGCCCTGGGACATTAATACCCCAGCTCAGAGGGTGTCAATTGACATCAGAGGGTGTCAAATGAGGATTGATTATACATGCAACACATGCAAAGTGCTTAGGAGAGTGTCTGACATCTGGTGAATCATACAAGTGTGGCGTAATTGTTATTATTTGTTGATATTATTGTGGTTGCTTTGTCCCATAAGCAGACATCCCTTATCATTACAGCAATAGCAGACAATGGACAAATAAGTTGCCTGCCCATCTGCACAGACACCTGGAGTTGACTATTGGCAAGCAGGCTCTCAGTCCATTCCCTGATACAAGGGAAGAGGCCAAGCTCTTCCATGTACGGGGCTTGCATTGCTCACCTTTGCAGGGAAATTGTAAGAGGGAGGATGCCAAGCACATGTCCATAGGTTGACAACTTTCTAAAGACTGAACTGGTTTCTGTTATACTGAGACCTCCTAAGGGGAAGAGTCAATTCCTTAGTCAACATAATTGGGGCAAGGGAAGCACATTGGTGAAGCACATGGGTCTTGGGGTCAGAGTATCTGGCTCAAATCTCACTTCTTCCACCTACTAGTTCTGTGACCTTCAGCAATACTTTAGCCCTTTTTTTTTTTTTTGAGACTGTGTCTCACTCTGTCGCCCAGTCTAGAGTGCAGTGGCGTGATCTCTGCTCACTGCAACCTCCAGGTTCAAGCGATTCTTGTGCCTCAGCCTCCAAAGCAGCAGGATTACAGGCATGCACCACCACGTCCAGCTAATTTTTGTTTCTTGGTAGAGATGGGGTTTCGCCATGTTGGCCAGTCTGGTCTCAAATTCCTGACCTCAAGTGATCTGCTCACCTTGGCCTCCGAAATAGCTGGGATTACAGATACAAGCCACCCTGCCCAGCCCTTTAGCCTGTTTCCTCATCTGTAAAATGGCAAAGGCTAACATAAAGTGTATCATAATGTATTGGTGGATAATCTAGAGTGGATAGAAAAGGGCAAGTTTTTTCAGGGCCAACACAGCTCCCTTGGTCCTGCACACACACACACACACACACACACACACACACACACACACATATCTGTTGGCACTCTGAGGTCACTCTCACACCCACTGTCATTATCTGTTCCCTGTAATTATCTGTTGAATTTTTTGCCAAAATTATTTACCATTCAGTCCTCTACAGAAAAAGTTTGTTGATCCCTGCTTTAAATCAACTCACTTTTTAATTTAAATGCATTTCTAAATAGGACACATGATATAGCCAATGTAATTGAAAACCAGCATTTCTTGCCATAGATGGAAGGTAACAATAAAATAAATGTGTAACTACAATTATTAGTGTGAGTCAAAGAAAGAACACTCAGAGTAGAAGGAGAAAAAGGAGGATTTATAATAGCAGGGAATCAGAGGAACTCGGGGGAAATAGGCCATTGAGAAAGGTAGTGAAGGCTGTAATAGAAATACTGCTCATCACGAGGGAGCAGAGTAAATAAAAGCGTGAGGGAAAAGGACACTGGGAACCAAAAAAAAAAAAAAAATGATTTCTTTTCAACATCTGAAAGTAATAAGCATAATTTATAAACTAGATTAGAAAAGAACATCTCAGCACATTTATAATGAAAACTGCTGATGCTAATGAGAGCAATAACATTTAAATAGAAATCTGTTTACCTTTGGGAAATTCATGCATAACTTCAATGCTGTACTGATTAACTTAAGGACCAGGGACTGGACTGATTAACCTTCCTGGGTTTTTGTTTTCAAAAGGGGAGTTGGCTGAGGTGTAACAGCCTGACGAGAACTCAACAGCCTAAACCTATGATTGGGAGTAATTGGAACCAGTAGAACCGAAGTCAGAGTAGCCAACCTGGCCATATGCTACAGTTCTTTCCGGTATGAGCATCCGAGGTTTCTTTGAAAACCTGAAGAAAGCTATGCTCCTCCTTCTCAGAAAAACACACAAAAATACACACACCAAAACTTTTGCATTTAATTTGTTTTACATTTGAAATGTATGTCTTGTATATCAATAGAAGTTAAAAGCTGTCTTAAAAAAAAAAAAAAACTCCTGATCTAATTATTTTATAACTTATTCTAAGAGTTAAGGCCTATTTAAATGGTAAAGGGGGTCAATCCAAAATTGCAAATAAAACAAATGTTTAAAATTTTCTTCTTCTCAAAATCACATTTTAATGAAAATACTATAATTTCTTGGCTTGAATCAAAAGTTGGCTTTGTGAAGTAGTCTTTGATATCAATCCCAAATCAATTTTAAATTTTCCGTTAAATGGCACTAAGGGTCAAAAACCCTGAACCCCCAAAATGCACAGGAAAAGACAAAATTAACATTCCCATTGCTTGCTTTGCCAAGTTAGAGTGGGGCTATGTCAATAAACACCAAATCCTCCAAGACTTGGTAAATTAAATTCATGTCGCCTGTTTTCTTTTGTCCTTAAGTTAATGAGGCTGGGTCAACGAGGGAAGAGTTTATGAATCTATCATTAAATTTGAAGATGATCTGAGTGTAAGTAACCTTCAAGTGACTTCATCAGTGTTTCAAGGTGTTTTCAGATTTGGTGCGCCATGAAATTTATAAGGCTGTCATTTTTGGCTCCAATCTGCAGAATCGCTTTCATTCAGCCTTGAGAAGTTTGCAGAGTTATCCCCCTGCAGGGTAAGATTTTGGTTCACACAGCAGTTCAGAGCAGAGACTTAACCACTGCAGGTTAACATTTTTGCCAAAAAAAGCTCACGATTTTTCTGCACTGACCATAATAGTAACTGAAGGACCTTGCATGGAAATATTGGCTTCATTCTGGTGAACAATAATTTCTTCCAAGTAAGTCCAGTGGTAAAAGAATTTCCTGCCAAATTGTTCTGCAAAGGAGCTTTTCTTCTTCTTCTTCTTCTTCTTCTTCTTCTTCTTCTTCTTCTTCTTCTTCTTCTTATTATTATTATTATTATTATACTTTAAGTTCTAGGGTACATGTGCACAACATGCAGGTTTGTTACATATGTATACATGTGCCATGTTGGTGTGCTGCATCCATTAACTAGTAATTTACATTAGGTATTCCTCCTAATACTATCCCTGCCCCTTCCCTATGCAGCCATAAAAAAAAAAAAAAAGTTCATGTCCTTTGTAGGGACATGGATGAAGCTGGAAACCATCATTCTGAGCAAACTATCGCAAGGACAGAAAACCAAACACTGCATGTTCTCATTCATAGGTGGGAACTGAACAATGAGAACACTTGGACACAGGGTGGGGAACTGCAAAGGAGCTTTTCATACTCTCATAAAGGTGAAAATTCTGCCCCAGGTTCAATCAAGAGCTTGGGGGAATTGTTTCCTGGAAAGGCAGCATACTTGTATGTAAACAGGAAGAACACGATATTCTGCATCCATTCGGTAGCAAAAACTCCTCAAAAGGCCAGCTTTTAGGGCACGAGACAAGGCTCCCTTCAGGATTTTGGCCGAGTCCCCATGCCAGTGTAGAAAGTAATGAAGCACGCAGCGTCTCCATTAAAACAAGGAAGCCATATGTGTTGTAAGGCATGCCAGATGCTGTCATCCATACCCAGACATTTTTCCCAGTTAAAGTTGTGTCTGAAGAAAATAAACTTTTCAGGCATGATGTTTCCAACGGGACTCACCAAAAGAAAATGTTTCTTCTGAAGGTGTCAGAATGCACATAGTGGATGAAGAGTACATAAAGAGTACTACCTCCGCACTGAAAGGCGTCGACAGTTGCACGCAGTTGCAAGCTGAAGGAAGGAGAAATCGCTACAATTCTTGCTTTAAAATATCCCGAAGAAATAAGTGTTCATCGGCCGGGCGCGGTGGCTCACGCCTGTAATCCCAGCACTTTGGGAGGCCGAGACGGGCGGATCACGAGGTCAGAAGATCGAGACCATCCTGGCTAACACAGCGAAACCCCGTCTCTACTAAAAATGCAAAAAAAAAAAAAAAAAAAAATTAGCAGGGCGTGGTGGCAGGCGCCTGTAGTCACAGCTACTCGGGAGCCTGGGGCAGGAGAATGGCGTGAACCCGGGAGGCGGAGCTTGCAGTGAGCCGAGATCGCGCCACTGCACTCCAGCCTGGGCAACAGAGTGAGACTCCGTCTCAAAAAAAAAAAAAAGAAATAAGTGTTCATCTTTTGGAGTAGGTGAGGTTATCTGAGAGAGGCACTACTTTATTGATTTCTCTGCTCCAAGTCATAAACCAGCTTGATCACTGCTAAGGTACTGGTCTTCCTCAAGATATCCCCAGTTGTACAGATACTCTGCATTTTTGGCAATGTGAGTGACAATGTTGTAGAATGTTTCTAGATATGGCATTGGGGCTGGGGCAAACGTAAGATCAGGTGGAGTTCCAGCCTTTCCAAATTTAAGGTTTGTCTCAGGAAACACACCCACACTGAAAGATGCTGAGATGGAAGTTGCTTCTTTGGTTTTGTTTGTTTTATGCACCCATTGATGAGCGATTTGCATTCACAGAACCATTGTGGCTTTAGTGTCCCATAATGTTCAATGAGGAAAGCGAAACCAAGGGATACGTCAGTTGCGTCATGCTTTTATCTCTTCATACTTCCCAATTCAGCTAAACTTGATATGAACAAAGACAGATTCCCTTGAGTATTAAGGCAAGGCATATCTTCTTTAATTTTTATCAGTGAGAAATTAATATAGGCATTGACACAACCATAACCATAAACTTTGTATATTACCATTCCACAACTGTTTGAAATGGAACAATATCATAATCATATAATTTGACACCAAATTTTTTTCAAAGATGACTTTCAAAGTAACAGAAAGAAAACTGGAAGAAAAGCTATGTGCGCGCGTGTGTGTGTGTGCGCGCGTATCTGATTCACAGAACTCTTCTGAGATGGAGTGTCACCCTGTCGCCCAGGCTGGAGTGCAGTGGCACGATCTCAGCTCACTGCAACCTCCGCCACCCAGGTTCAAATGATTCTCCTCCCTCAACATCCTAAGTAGCTGGGATTACAGGCATGCACCACCACGCCCAGCTAATTTTTGTATTTTTAGTAGACACGGGGTTTCACCATGTTGGCCAGGCTGGTCTCGAACTCCTGACCTCGTGATCCATCCACCTCAGCCTCCCAAAGTTCTGGGATTACAGGCATAAACCACTGTGCCCGGCCTGATGCACAGAACTCTTGATACTCATCTATATGCCCCTTCTCTGACCCCTTCTTTCTCTTCCCCTACTCTAGGTTAAGAAACTCTGCAATTAATATTGATACTAGACTCCAGCCCACCGATGCTTTTTTTTTTTTTTTTTTTTTTTTTTAGACAGAGTCTTGCTCTGTCACCCAGGCTGGAGTGCAGTGGTATAATCTCAGCTCACTGCAGCCTCCACCTCTCCAGGCTTGGTTGATCCTCCCACCTTAGCCTCCTGAGTAGCTGGGACCATAGGTGCACTCTGCCTCACCTGGCTAATTTTTTACTTTCTTGTAGAAACAGAGTTTTGCCATGTTTGTCCGGTTGGTCTCAAAACTCCTGGGCTCAAGCGATCTGCCTGCCTCAGCCTCCCAAAGAGCTGGGATTACAGTCATGAGCCACTGCATCCAGCAAGTCCACCAATGCTTGTACGGACTACTGGGACAGCAACTTTAAGTGGGGATAATCAAATAGAGTTATAATGAATTGCTCTGACCAACCATACCAAGGGACAGAGATCTCTAGTCAACATACATTTCAAGCCCAAATTGGCCCACATTCCCTATTCTTCTCTGTTTTATACTCTAACATTGACCAACTCCTTATTTTCACTGATAAATGATGTTTCCTTCATGATATCTGTAGAGCCTGGATTGTTAGAGCTTAGACCCTTTACTTTCTTCCTGAGGCAATGTAGCCTAGCGGTTGAGTGAATTGGTTTGAGCCAGGTGTAGTGGCTCTTTTTAATCCCAGCACTTCCGGGGTCCAAGGCAGGTAGATCAGTTGAAGCCCGGAGTTTGAGATCAGCCTGGGCAACAGGGCGAGACCCCATGTTTACCGAAAAAGGAAAAAAAGTGAATAGGTTTGGAAGTCAGATGGGCCAGAGTTTGACTCTAGTTCCACTATTTGATTTTTTTAATAGCCATGTGGCCTATTTAAGCCTATTTTCCAATCTGTAACTAGGTATTAAAGGAAATAATATATCTGCAATAATCTCGCTCCATTTTTGATATCTGACTGCTGATAGCTTTCAAGTCCCAACCTTTCCTCTTCCTCTTCTGCCTCACATCTGAACAGACCAATAACAGAACCTGGGTGTTATCTCCTTTGGTGATGCCAAGAAGTTCAACACTATACAAGCCTGACTTGTAGGCAGAAACCCACAACCCAACCCTATCCCCCAGCTACCATCAAACCCAAGCCAACCTCCATTCTTTGCTTTCTCAAGCCATTTTGGACCTACTAGGGAAGCCTGCCTTGCTTATTACGTGAGTAATAAACCTTGTCATAGTGTGTGTGTGTGTGTGTGTGTGTGTGTGTGTGTGTGTGTCATATGAACAAATCTGGAGTGACAGAGTCCATCCCACTTTTGCAGGGTGACCACAACTCTGTGAGCAGTATGCCTAGGCAATGACCACCACCACCGGGGGTCATTCTTCTTTGGCTTTGACTTGTGAACAGGCCCTGCTGCCTGCTGGCTTGCATGCGCTTTGAGTTGTGCCGCTGCCGGCAGGCTGACTTGCTCTTTGAGCTGAGCTGCTTTCTGCTGAATTTGCTGAGCTTTCAAGCCTCTGTTATATACTTAACCAACCTAAATCAGAAATTTCACTAATTGGCATTTAGAAACAGGAGCATGGGATTGGGGCCCTCCTTAAAGTGACCTTGGATCATGTGTCTGGACTCCTTTGTGTGTCTCAATTCCAGCATAAGCCATGACTGCCACTAGGCTCAGGGGAATGACTCTTACTCTGTTACCATTCGTTGTATGTCTCAACAGGACTTTAGTCCCCATTTTATAGAGTGCTTGGGAAAAGACGGATACCCTATGCAATATGCATGCCATTGAGTGGTCCTTGCATGGAAGTATATGCTGAAGTCATACTCCTAAAAACAGGTGACTCACTAGGACCCTACAGAATGGTTTTGCTGCTGCCGCTGCTGCTTATGTGTTTCTCACAACAAAGTTCTCAATCCTGAGAGTTATACGGAAAAAAATACGCTTAGCACCCTGGTGACATAGCCAAAGGGTTAATTCAAACACAACTTAAACCCTGGGTCCTTAAACCCAATAAAGCAACCATTTCTAAAAGGCAGGCCCCTAATTCGGACTGTATTAATTTCAGGCTCTTTGAGGTGAAATTTCTAAATATAAGCAAGGTAGAGAACACCCACTCCCTGAAGTATATCCAGTAACCATCAAAAAACAATAACAATAATAACACCCGGATGCCAGAGCCAGAGGAAACAACAACAACAACAACTACAAAACAGAAACAGAAGTCCTCAATTTGACCCAACTGGAAATCCAAGATGCACCAAAAGAATGTATACAACAAAAAGATAAAAGATTGGCCTTTACAGCTCTGCAGCATAGATTGTGAATTAACTTCAAAATCTACTGAGATGTACCCGTTGGCAAATTTTAATGGCCTTCATCAACACGGGGGCTGAAATTATGGTCATACCTGGGATCCCACTAAATTTAAACAAGGTACCCCCTATAATCTTGGGAGAGTTACTGAACATAAATGGAAGACAAATAGGTATGCCTCTCCTTAACCACCAGACATATTGCCTTACCTAAACTCCGCCTAGTTAAAATGCCCATGGCCCCAAAATATCTCATAGTGGGCAGGGATGCTCTAACCCAAAGTGTGATAACTTAAAGTTAAATTAGGTTTTTGACACTTACAATGGGCTTAACACAAAATGTGACCCCCTGGACCTCCCTGACCCTAGTTAGAATATTTAAGACGTCCCTGACCCTAGTTAGAATATTTAATAAGATCTAATATAAATCAAAACAAGGCATTTAAGATTGAAACTCATTATGCAAGGTCCGTTTTGAAAAGGGAGTGATTATTCCCACTACTTCTCCATTTAATAGCTCAATTTGACCTCTTTTACCTTGGAAGGAAAGAATAGTGCCTCACTATAGATACTGAAGTCTTCTTTTCTTTTTTTGAGACAAGGTCTGTCTGTCACTCAGAGTGACTATAGTGCAGTGGCGCTATCACAGCTCACTGCAGCCTCAAACTTCTGGACTCAAGCAATCCTCCTGCCTCAGCCTACAGAGTAGCTGGGACTACAGCTGTGTACCACCACACCCAGCTAATTTTTTTTTTATTTTTTATAGGGACAGGATCTCACCATATTGCCCAGGTGAGTCTCAAACTCTTGGTCTCAAGCAATCCTTTCACCTTGGCCTCCCAAAGTGCTGGGATTACAGGTGTGCACCATTGCACCTGGCTGATACCGTAATCTTAATGTCACAATGCCTTACCCATTGAGGTTCTCATACCCAATATTAGTAAACTATTGACTTCATCAAATCAGCAACTTGTAAATACCCTGCAGTCGTAGATTTAGCTAAATCTCTTATGTTCAATGCCTATTTTTACAGTCTCTTAGCTGCACTTTGTCTTCACCTTCAGAGGGATACAATATACCTTTGCTGGAGCACTCAACAGCCTTGCCATTGCACACAATCTTTGTGGGCGAGATCTTAACCACATTCAATGTGATGGGGCTTGCTAGAAAGCTGCTGCATTCCATCCCTAACCAGGACATTCTTGAAAAAGGAGAGGATCCAAAGGTTAACACAATTGGCGGAACTTCAGGAAGTAATCTTAGCCCAGGATGCCTTGGCTAATAATCAGCCCGTCCACACACCTTTACAGACTCATGGACCACTGCCAATCATCTGGCCTTCTAGTCTTGCCAATGGCAGGAACAACAATTTCTTACCCAGAGTTTCTGCCTTTGGAGTACAGAACTCCACGAATCTCTTGCCTCATAGATATCCAACATATAAATCAAGGTCACACATGTCTCTGTACCTACAAAAACCACAGTACAAAGCCTCCCTAAGACACTTCTTATATCATTTTGTGTTCTGAACAAAGCACGCATTTCACTTCTCAACAGACATAATGCTGGGCTCTGGAATGAGTCATTCAATGGGACTTTCAATTTCCTTACCAGCCTCAGGACACAAGCCTCATAGAGAACCATAATGGCTTAATTAAACCAGTTCAAACTCAATTAACTGAAACATGGCACATTTTTAGTCATCAGTCAAATATCAAGGGCGAATTGCAATGAAAGGCCTGCCAACAATTTTGACTCTGGGTATATAACCCAAAAGAATTGAAAGCAGATTATTGAAAAGATATTTATATACCCCTCCAGGTTCATAGCAGCATAATTCCCAATGGTTAAAATCCAATGCTTATCCATTGACAGACAAATGGATAAGCAACATGTGGTATATCCATACAAGGGAATATTATTCAGCCTTAAAAAGGAAGGAAGGCCAGGCACAGTGGCTCACGCCTGTAATCCCAGCACTTTGGAAGGCCGAGGCAGGCGGATCATGAGATCAGGAGTTCGAGGCCAGCCTGGCCAACGTTGTGAAACCCTGTCTCTACTAAAAATACAAAAATTAGCTGGGTGTGGTCGTGGGCGCCTGTAATCCCAGCTACTCAGGAGGCTGAGGCAGGAGAATCACTTGAACCCAGCAGGCAGAGGTTGCAGTGACCTGAGATCGTGCCATTGCACTCCAGCCTGGGTGACAAGAGCAAGACTCCATCAAAAAAAAAAAAAGGAATTTCTGCAATACGCTACAACATGAATGATTTTGTAGGACATTACGCTAAGTAAAATAAGCCAGTCACAGAAAAACAAATACTGTATGGTTCTACTTAAAGGAAGCCCATAGAGTTGTCAAAATTAGAGAGACAGAAAGTAGAATGGTGGTCCCCAGCAGCTGCAGAAAGACAGAGTGGGGAAATTATTGTTTAATGGGTACAGAGTTTTCATTTTACAGGATGAAGACTTGTGGATATGGATGGTGGTGATGGTTGCACAACAATATCAATTTATTTTATACCACTGAACCGTGCACTTCAAAATGGTTAAGATGGTAAGTTTTATGTTGTGTATTTTACCATAATAAAAAAAATTGTAGAGGGAAAAACAGTCTGCCTCCACTTTTGATATGGGACTGCTAACATCTTCCACCCTCCCTCTCCCCCTCTGCCCCACATCTGGGCAAGCTAAGAAAGCCTGCTGCTCTCTCCTCTGGCACCAGCTGGAAATTCATACCCAACAAGCCCTAGCCCTCCCACCAGACCCACATTTCATCCCCATCCCCATCGCATCCCCATCCCCATCCCCATCCCTAACCACCATAAATGCTAAGGGAGTTTCCTTGCCTGGTTTTCTGAAGCCATTTTTGGACCTGCTTGGGAATCTGCCCTGCTCTCTCAGAAAGCTTCATTATATGAGCAATAAACCTTTTCCTACCCTCTTGGTGCATGTGGTGTATCATCAGTCTTGACATCTAAAACAAATTTTGGGTGGTGGGGTCCATGTCTTTGCAGGGTGACCACAATAGTACCTGGCACATTATGTGTTTAATAAACAGAGATTACTGTCATATTTATTTTATTTTATTTTTTGAGATGAAATTTCACTCTTTTTTCCTAGGCTGGGGTGTAGTGGTGCGATCTTGGCTCACTGCAACCTCCACCTCCCGGGTTCAAGTGATTCTCCTGCCTCAGCCTCCCAAGGAGCTGAGATTACAGGCATGCGCCACCACACCTGGCTAATTTTGTATTTTTAGTAGGGATGGGGTTTCACCATGTTAGCCAGACTGGTCTCGAACTCCTGACCTCAGATGATCCACCCACCTTGACCTCACTTACAGGCGTGAGCCACCGCGCCTTGTCTCTGTTATATTTATTTCTCTATTTAAATTGATGGATATATGCAAACCTGATCATTATCATACTTATGCCTAGACACAAGAGAGGCAATAAACTAATCTAAGTGATGCTTGTGATGCCAAAGATGTCAGAACACTTTCTGGGCCAATGGCAGATACCTCATGTCACCAGATGCTAAGGGTCCACAATAAAAAGCACTGAATGAAAATTTTGAGGATAAATATCTCCAGGTTGAGGAAGAAGGTTGCACATATCGGGTGCTCAATAAATATTTGTTGAATGAATGAATGAGTGAATGGCCCCAGTGTGTGGGGCTTGGGAAGTGATTGGATATAGGCAGAGAAAAGGAACAAGTCAAAAATAATTCAGAAATCAAGAACAAGCAAGTTGCCTTGATACACTTCATTCCTACACTTGGCAAACTTTAGTGATTAAGGAAACAATGTTTTAAAAAAAGTTTTGGTGATGAGACATTCAGGAAGATCTATCAATAAATAGCAAACCTGGTCCTTTTTAAGACACTGTGTATAAAAAAATTCCAAAAAGATTAAAATCAATGCAGAAACCAAAGAACCATTTTTTTCTATATCATATTGATCATTTCAAGTGGAACTGTTAGCTATCTTAGAAAAATTGTGGTTCTCAATTGCTTTTGCCTCTATCTCTGAACCACCAATCCTAAAGAAAAACATTCAACCAGAAAATTTCAGCACATCACAATCTCTCTGAAGATTAAGAAGTCTCTGTGAAGGACTGAATGTATAAATTGAAAAATTTTTGCTGTCACATTTAGGTAAAAGAGAAATCGTTCTTCATATCCCCTTCCTTTCCATCTGTAGCTCACCTATGTCAACTTTCCTCTCAGAAGTGAAATAAAATTAAAGCTATGACACTGAGTGTCAGTCATGGAGGGACACGTTCCCCACTTAGCCTTTGCTGAAGTGTTTCCAGAGACAACTGTCTAATGCCAGGTCCCCACTTAGTGGGCTGCACTTTTCTACTCATTTGCACATAATCCAGAAGTCACATTTTGGGTTCACAGTTTCCACTGGGGTAACCTCATTAGGCCTGGCCACCTCTGTGCTTCTTGTGAAGTCTCTGATTTGAAGGATTAGTATCCTTTCCAGACTGTGTGGGTTGACTTTCACCCATCTGGAGTTGCTTGGAACAAAAATAACTACCTCAACTCCTTGTCACGAAAGCAAAAAACAAGATAGCATTAGAGTTCTGAGAACAGGATGTCATTACGGGTTGTGCCTTGTCAGCTACAGGTAAGATATTTGAGTGGCTCCTCAAGCCTCCCCAACTCCCTCTCCGACCTCGCTACACAGTCTTCCCAGGTGTGGTATTTGACCTCCAGACTGCCACCCAGAAAGCAACTCAGAGCTCAGCAACACCATGATGATGAAACACAAATATCTGGGCCACCAACTTTGGAGACTCCACTGGTTGCTTTTGTGCAGCTCTTTCTATATATGACTTTCAAAATGGCAGCCAACCCTCTCAACTGTTGGTTGATCTGAATATGTAAAGTTCAGCCTTCAAACCCAGCAAACAGTCAGCTATAGGATAGAGTTCAGGTGCTGGGGAATGACCACGGTTGGCTGCTACGTTGGGAACCCTGGTGACATCATATATGGACCTGGGAATGTAAAGAAACGTAGGAAATCTGAATTTATGACTTTTCTAATCTCTCTATCGGGATCCTTTTTTGGAATCAAGATGATTTTCCTTCTAAAAGGTCATTTTATTACAGTAATGGGCAGGGTAGACATACCTCACTAGCGTACTCTCAAAATTTCTTGCATGCATATGCTTTCTCCGGCATGCATATGCTTTCTACTACAATGTGAACAAGCCTACGAAAGCTAGCCTAATGGAGGATGAGAGACCACGTGGAGGAGAGCTGAAGTGCCCCAGCCAGCAGCTAGCCTACACCCACAGCTATTTTGCTTGTGTTCCACTCGTCCTATTTGCATAATATTGTTCTTTAAGTTAACCCATTCTTAATTTATTGTTTTAATCTTAAGCAATAATATTCAAGAACTAATGAGTTTTGTGTATTCGTTATATTTTTCCATAATATATATTATACTAATAAATGCCCATTCAAATTTTTGTTTGAGTGCTCAAGTGGGTATCATTTAAAATAATCTTATATACTATATATAACAGCCAAGGTTTGGGCAACACAACAGAAACTGCATGAGTTTATTTTATCAGAATTTTTTAAACGGTATGGGAGAACTAAAAAAGTAAAAAAGGGAACCCTTGAGTTAACAAGGAGATAAGAACTACATAAAGCAGTTACTGTCCTGAAGGAATAAAGGGAAGAGCATGGGGTTATTAGAACCTAGAAGTTTGGAACCACCAGGAGCTGGGACCCTATGAGGAGAGGGTTGGCCCCTGACAATGCTGGTGTCTCTAAGGGAGCTCCTGAGGCTGATTCTAGCAGTGTAGGGAAAGAAACTGGAAACTGGAACAATTTCCTCTGTAATCAATGACCCTTGCCAGGGTAAAGAATCACTGCTGAAGAGATGCTACTGGAAAAGCAAGCAAACAAAAAGGAGGGTGTCCCTTCCCCTTCTTCCTTCCTTCCAGTCTCCCTCATGACAGAGCATCTGGCTGGTGACGGGAAAAGGTGCTCCACAGAGCACCACCCCAACATCACACGGGCATCTGCTGACCCACAGCTGACTGCAGATGAGGAAGCTCAGCCTAGGTCACACAAATGCCTCCCAGCTGAGTCTAGCCTAAATTGCCAACCTGCCAAATCATGAACTAATAAGTGACTATTGTTTTAAGCCACTACCTTTAAGGGAATTCAGTATGCAGCAATAGCTATCTGATCCATATAGGCCTACAAGGCTATAGAAAAACTATCACATGTAATCCCAGCACTTTGGGAGGCCAGGGCGGGTGGATCAACTGAGGTCAGGAGTTCGAGACCAGCCTGACCAACATGGAGAAACCTCGTCCCTACTAAAAACACAAAATTAGCCAGGCATGGTGGTGCATGCCTGTAATCCCAGCTACTTGGGAGGCTGAGGCAGGAGAATCACTTGAACCTGGGAGGCAGAGGTTTCAGTGAGCCAAGATCGCACCATTGCACTCCAGCCTGGGCAAAAAGAGCGAAACTCTGTCAAAAAAAAGAAAAAGAAAGAAAGAGAGAGAGAGAGAGAGAAAGCAGAGAGGCTACTGCAGAGAAAAGTCTAGAAGGATGGGTTCATGGGTTCATCGAGAGACAATAGCTTAACAACCAGCACACCATAGTTGGCAAAACACTATCATTGAAAAAAAAACATGCTCAAAAGGGGAAATGCCAGTTTGGGTAAATATGCTTTTGTGTTGGAGAGAAAGAATTTGGAACAGGCTTTTCAGACCCCCTTAAGGCCCAACAAACAAATTATAATTTAGACAAGTCTGGGATTCTTCACAGCTCAGCTTGTGGTGATGGTATTAGCTTCACAACTCCAAACAAGTTAAGCTGTCTGTGTGAAATCTCCTCAACAACACCTCACTGGCAAACCTGGAGGTGCTGAAAACAGAGCTTTCAATTCTTGTTTGCAACCAAGGGAGTTGAGTTGGCAGATGGGCACTGTGTCCAGCCTTGGGAAAGGACATCGCAGACTTTGCATCCTAAGAACTCATAACCACAACGGCAAGGTAAGACACAAGCTCTTGAAAGTTTCCATCACAGTGCAGCACAAATGACCTTGGCTATGTGCCCTGTTATTGCTGGTCCCTGCTTAAAAATCTCCTGTGACTTCCAACCACACAAATTTCCTACCTGGTTGCAAAAATGCCCTTGATAATTCACCCCTCCCTCTATCTTGCCCCCTTTACAATGTGGCTTGGCAGCTCCTCCCATCAAGAGTTAAAATCTATTTCCTCACCCCTTGAATCTAGGCTGGCCATGGGACTTGCTTTGGCCAATAGATGTGGCAGAAATTATGGCGTGACAGTTCTAAGCATGAGTCTCAAGAGGCTTTGCATGCAGCAACTTTCTCTTAGAACCCTGCCACCATGTGAACAATCCTGCCTGGGCTAGCCTAATGGAGGATGAGAGACCATGTGGAAGAGAGCTGAGGTGCCCCAGCCAACAACCAGCCTACCCCAGAAGCAGAGGCATCTGCTGACCCACAGCTGACTCCAGATGCATAAGGGAGCTCAGCCTAGATCCAGAACGCCTCCCAGCTGAGTCTAGCCTAGACTGCCAGCCTGCCAAATCATGAAGTAATAAGGGACTATTGTTTTAAGTCACTACCTTTTGGGGGAATTTGATATGCAACAATAGCTCTCTGATACATATAGGCCTACAAGTCTATAGAAAAACTATGCTGCCTCTCTCTCCAGCCACACAATTTCTTTCTCTTCTCATTTACTATTCTAATTCCTCTGTGTTATAGTCTGTGTCCCAAAATTCATGTCAAAATCCTAATCTCCAAGGTAATGGTATTAGAAGGTAAATCTTTGGTAGGTGATCAGGTCATGAGGGTGGAGCCCTCATGAATGGGATTAGTAACCTTATAAAAGAGAACCCAGAGAGCTCATTTGCTGCTTCTGCCATGTGAAGATACAGTGAAAAAAGAAGCAGGCCCTTGCCAGATACGAGTTTGCCAATGCCTTGATCTTGGAATTCCCAGCCTCCAGAACTGTGAGCAGTAAGTTTCTATTGTTTTTTTTTTTTTTTTTTTGAGACGGAGTCTCGCTCTGTCGCCCAGGCTGGAGTGCAGTGGCGCGATCTCGGCTCACTGCAAGCTCCGCCTCCCGGGTTCACGCCATTCTCCTGCCTCAGCCTCCCGAGTAGCTGGGACTACAGGCGCCCGCTACCACGCCCGGCTAATTTTTTGTATTTTTAGTAGAGACGGGGTTTCACCGTGTTAGCCAGGATGGTCTCGATCTCCTGACCTCGTGATCCGCCCGCCTCGGCCTCCCAAAGTGCTGGGATTACAGGCGTGAGCCACCGCGCCCGGCCAAGTTTCTATTGTTTATAAGCTACCCAGCCTATGGCATTTTGTTACGGCAGCCTGAATGGACTAAGACAGTCTACCTAGACCATTATTTCCCTTTCATCATCCACCAGCCAATTCCAGCACATCTTTTAGATCTCAGCTTAAATACTCCCTCCAAGACCTCCCTCTATCTCTAATATGAATGAAATCCATATCTCAAGTTCTTCACAGAATCCTCTACTCTTTCCTTCATGGCATTTGTCATAATTTGTAATTATATATCTAGCAAAGTTCTTTGTTGTTAAACATCTACCTCCTCCACTCTCCTAGAAACTCCACAAGGACATCCCTGCACCCAGTGCCTAGGCAATGCCAGACACATAGCAGATGCTCCATTAATTATCTGTCGAATGACTGAATGGCTTCCAAGTTAGTTAACTGGGCACCCTTGATAACAGATTCTGGCCTATTTGAAGGATCAAAGAAGAAAGTGGTGCTACCTTCTCCCCTGCCACTATCTTGCCCACTTGTGGTGCCAGTTCAGGAGGTTTGGAATGGATGTGGCTAATGATAGACGTAGACCTATTGCCTTTCTTGGATCATAATTCTGCCAGGCTCTGAGTCCATGTGGCATCGATGGCTAATTGTCCTCCAAAATTTATCCTCTCTTCTTCCATTTATACCCTCCCATGGAGTTTTAACAGGGCATGTGGTCACCCTACTGGGATCTCACTTCTCAGCTTCCCTTGCAACTGGATGTGGCCTTGTGACTAAATTCTCATGAACAGAATGTGAGTGCAAGTGATGTGTCAGTATCTTCATCACTTTCCTAAAAAGGGAACTGCTGGTCCTCCACTTCCTCTCTTTCACCCTTCCAATGAGCCAGAACATGCATGTGATGCTGGTGAGTCAGCTTCAGTCACATGAATAAAAACAAACTCCAGGAGATGACTAAGCAATAAGACAGAAGGAACCCAAGTCCCTAGATGAGTTCACAGAACCAAGCTACCTATCCAACCCTGGGCCCACCTGGATTATAACATGAGAAAAACATAAGTCCTAATCATATTTTTGAAGCACTGCATTTTAGGGCTTCTTTGTGACAGCAGCCTACCCTCTAGTCTAATCAATATACCTCACCAAGTCTCCTGCTCCTAAGGGAGACAAAGAAGCAAAATGAGTCTCAAAACATCATCCAAATGGAATAGATACAGACCTGTAATCCCAACACTGTGGGTGCCCAAGGCGGGTGGATCACTTGAGGTCAGGAGTTTGAGACCAACCTGGCCAACATGGCAAAACCCTGTCTCCACTAAAAATACAAAAATTAGCCGGACGTGGTGTTGTGCACCTGTAATCCCACCTACCCACGAGGCTAAGCCGGGAGAATTGCTTGAACCCAGGAGGGGGAGGTTGCAGTGAGCCGAGATCATGCCACTGCACTCCAGCCTGGGTAACAGAGTGAGACTCTGTCTCAAAAAAATAAATAAAAATAAAAATAAATAGACCATTAATTAATAGATATAGCCTTGGTCTGTGACCAAAGCTCAGAATGTTATGATATTCCTTTCCTATGTCACCTCAACTTGCCCCTGTCATCAGACAGGACAAATTCCCCACTGGTCCTTTGCACTCACAGCTGTTACATTTGAAATGGGAGCTTAGCCTTCCCTGCCCTGGTTCCTCCTTAGACTCATTTGGGAAAACAGGAAACGTAATTATTTCTGCCATTACCTTTATCTCATGGAGCCTGACAGAGTGTAACCAATGGTAGGAATTAAAACATTCTAATTGCCAACTCACAACAACTCCCGAAAAAAATCATTTTAACTCATTATACATATTAAATTATGACATGCTTAATGTCCAAACCTAATAGATTCAGTACTCAGGAAATCCCTTATACAGGTAGACACCTTTCCTCCTGTACTTTAAGAAAATCTTACATCAATATGCGGGACTTCTCAAATTTTTCTATCACAGTTTTCTTAATAGGAAGGAGAATTTGTGCCAAAAGATGTATGGAAATTTAGCACAAAGTAGCCCTCTACAAGCGGAGGATTTCTTTAAAGCATTGTGTTTTATCTCAAGATTCCATGGCAAATGTTTATCTTCTCTGCTTGTTTTAGTATGAAATAGTTTTCATTTGCTTGTCATCATTTTTAAGGAGTTGAAAATACAATCAACCTCACTCATCATAAAATAAAAGCAAATTAAAACTACTATGACATATTTTCACCTACAAAATTGAGAACATTTTAAAATGTGATAATAGTTCTATTAACAAGGGTGTGAGAAGACAATTCTCAGGCAGGGCATGGTGGCTCACACCTGTCATCCCAGAGCTTTGGGAGGCTAAAGTGGGAGGATCGCTTGAGCTCAGGAATTCAAGATCCACCTAGGCAACATAGTGAGACTCTGTCTCTACAAAAAGTAAAATATAAATTAGCTGGGTGTGGTGGCATGCGGCTATCATCCCAGCTACTGGGGAGGCTGAGGCGGGAGGATTGCTTGAACTGGGGAAGACCAGGTTGCCATGAGCCATGATCACGCCACTGTATTCTAGCCTGGGTGGCAGGACCGGACCCTGTCCCAAAAAAAAAAAAAAAAAAAAAAAATCCCTCTTCCCTGATTGGTGGGACTGTAAGCTGGTGCAACCTCTTGGGAGGAGCAGGTGGTTAGAAAACATGTATCAAATTTTTATGCAAAATTTAAATAGACCCACAATTAGACCCTAGGAATTTATTCTCCAGATATTCTCATGCATGCGTGCAAGGTATATTTGCAAAGATTTGTATCCAGCACTATCTGTAATTGCAAAAATCCAGAAGCAACCTCAGTGTCAATCCTTAGAAGACTGTGTACATGAGATACTGTACATGTTGGTTGGGTTCTCCGAGAAGCGCATGCCCGGATAGAATGCAAAAGATTCATTAGGGAGTAACACCTCTGCCAGAAAAGCAGAAGAGATAGGATTGGGCAGGAGGGGCCATTAGAGCACAATTTAGAGCTACCACCATTTCAGAAGGCAGCAAAGATTGCCTGTTAGAGAAATGGTCAGGCCCTTGTACCCTCAGTCACTGGATGGGAGCCACTCCAAGAAGAGCATGACCATGACTTAACAGCTAAGGGGACCCTGAAAGAGCTGCCAGGTTAAGGCTATCAGCTCCTCACTCCCCACAGCTGGACAGAGAGCCTTTGTTTAAGGAAGATCTGAGCAGCTCATCTCCAGGTCTGGCACAAGGGTTACCCATAGGATGAAGATGGAAGACATGAATCTATATGTATTAGTATGGAACAATCTCCATGATAGATTTTTAAGTGAAAGAGCAATAGTAAATTGCAAAAGAGAACATAACGTTTTGGGACTAGGCAGAAGTGATAACCGAACAACAGTGTGAATGGAGTAAAATGTCACCGAATTGTACACTTTAAAGTGGCTAATTTTGCTATGTGAATTTCACCTCAATTTTTTTTTTTTTTTTTTTGAGATGGTGTTTCACTCTTGTTGTCCAAGCTGGAGTGCAATGGCAAAGTCTCGGCTCACCACAACCTCCGCCTCCTGGGTTCAAGCAATTCTCCTGCCTCAGCCTCTTGAGTAGCTGGGATTACAGGTGCGTGCCACCACGCCCGGCTAATTTTGTATTTTTAGTAGAGACGGGGTTTCTCCATGTTAGTCAGGCTGGTCTTGAACTCCCGATCTCAGGAGATCTGCCTGCCTCGGCCTCCCAAAGTGTGGGATTACAGGCGTGAGCCACCGTGCCCGACCCCATCTCAATGTTTTAAAAGAGAGAGAATACAGCATGCTGTCATTTGTGTTAATTTTAAAAAGGAAATGAATTTATGTGCATGTATAAATGCTAGACATGGAATCTCTCTGAAAGGAGCCATGAAACACTCATACTATGATCTCCAGTCAGGAAAGAGACTTAATTTTCACTGTACGCCCTTGGTGCTGCTTAAATTTTTATCATGTGCATGTAATTACACCCTGTCTTTAAAAATCATTAAAGATGTTTAATTGTTCTGATGAAGGAATACATTACTTGCCATCAAGAAAAATGAATGAAAAATTTTCTGCGAGACAATTTTTAGCAAGACACTGTTGTATTGATCATTCAAGTTCAGAAAATTCAGCCTCCGTCAAGGGGCACAAACATCATATATCAGGTTCAGTTTGTCCTCTCTCTCAGAGTCAAAGTGCTTTAGGAACATAGACACAATAAGTTTCTGGAACCAAATGGCAAATATCAAAACTTGCTAGAACAGGAGAAAAGTGTATCTTATTGAAAATTCACCAGCTGCTATACCATTCAGCATTGGGAAAATCAGCATACCTTCTTAGACTTCATTATTTTAAAGATGGCAAAATAGCCAAGTCATGGATGTCTCCCCCTTTCATCAAAATGTAAAGAACTAGCTGCCTCTGGGACTCTCCACCAATTTTCAAGCACGTCTTTTGAACCCATTTGATGGTGTCACTCAATAAGGGCACCTTTTTCAACTTGGCTGCCTCTTTTTGACCCAAAATAATTTCAACCCTTTTCTGCAGCTCCGGGCTTCACCAGGCTTTCTATTATTGCATATACCTTTCATAGTGATTCTAAACCGACCTCGAATGAAGAGACAAATGATTTTTTATCTATTTGTTTGATTGCACTTCTCCTTGTACTGCTCCAAGACAAGGCTTGTCTTTTGAGTTGCAAAAAATACTAGCGCTCTATTTCCAAAGTCAAACAAGTGGCTTTTCAATGTCTCTGCAAGTGTTTTGTTTCATGCAGTCAGTGCTGACTTTTCTCGATGGAGAGACATATGGTTTGGGCCCATTTTAGCAACTCTATAATAAAACTGATTATAAAAATAAGCATCTAAGAATATCTTAGGCTTTTAAGATTGACACCACTGCTTGCTACTCAATTGCTAGTTGTGGTTGGCAGTGCACGCAGTGTCTTTGTGGTCAAGTTCATTGTGGCAAGCTCAGAGGTCATGTCAGATCACAACACAGGGACTTTGAATTGGGTGAACATCCATTCATTACGTGGCACACGTCACGAGCTTCAAGGTTTTGCTTCAAAAACTCTTCCGTCTTCTAGGTGAAAGTATAAGTTTAAACTTACTGCTCTTTAAGAAAGTAAATGAAAAATGACACTAAAGTCCCAAAAGCCAGAATTGTCAGCAATCCTAGGTGCAGTTCATTCATTCATTCATTCACGTATTCATTCAATAAATATTTATGGAGGGCCTATTTACCTGGCAGCACTTCATGAGGCCCTGGAAATACAATAGTGAGCAATAAAAACACACTCCTTCACCAGGTGGAGCTATAGTCTACTAGGGAGATATAGATGTTAAACAAATTATCACACAGGCCGGGCATGGTGGCTCACACCTGTAATCCCAGCACTTTGGGAGGCCGAGGCAGGTGGATCACCTGAGGTCAGGAGTAGGAGTTCAAGACCAGGCTGACTAACATGGTGAAACCCCATCTTTACTAAAAATACAAAATTAGCTAGGCATGGTGGTGCATGCCTGTGATCCAAGCTACTTGGGAGGCTGAGGCAGGAGAATTGCTTGAACCGGGGAGGCAGAGGTTGCAATGAGCTGAGATCGCACCATTGCACTCCAGCCTGGGCAACAAGAGCGAAACTCCAACTCAAAAAAAAAAAAAAAATTATCACACAAACAAGTACATAATTCTATATTGTGAAGTGTCCCAAAGAAAAATATGCCACTCTTAATAAGTACAGGAGGCTTACTTTAATTTGGAAAGTTAGAAAAGTGATGTTTAAAGTGAGAACTGTAAGACAAGTCACTTTGTCAGTGCAAAGTGGAAAGAAAGTATTTTAAGTAGCAAGGAGAGCATGAGTAAAGACCACGGAGAAGGAAAGCGAGGATGCAGTTAGAGACATGAAAGGACTGCATTGGTGGGGCACCGGGATGAAGGAGATGATGAAGAAGATGTAACCAGAAAGGCTGGCAGGGACAAGGTCATGCTGGGTCTTGCAGGCCAGCATGAGCACTTGAGATTCTTAAAGTAATTGCAAGGGAGCCTTTGAGGGTTTTAATGAGGGCAGTATCTTTATCAGATGTGCACTTGTTTGGGGTTTCTCTGGATTTTGTTGAAAGAACAATTTAAGCAGAAGGCAGATTAGGAAATAGGAGAATCGAGAGGCTGTATATGTTGAGACGCAGTGGTAGCCTAGGGTGACAATGCAGGAAATGGGAAGCAGTGGATGAACTGGGGATATGTTTTGAAGGTAGAATAGATGATGGCTGGGAAGACAGTGACTATTCAAGGGCAGGGGGGTTGGGGGAGGTATCAAGAATGTTTAGAATATAGCTAACCACATACCCTTTTAGAAACAGTCTTCTCTGAACATTTCTCCTGTCTCCAAGCCTCAGTTTCCTCATCTATGAAATAAGAACACTACTACTTCCTTTTTAAGGTTGTTAAACTGGTTAAATGAGATTATGCAGGGAAAGCATCACTAGTCAGTGCTCAAAAATGTGCTTTTTAAATTTCCTCCCTTTGCCTCTTATTCTCAACTTTGTCCTTTGTAATATTATTGTTCTTTAAGTGGGCTTGGTTTTGTCCTATCTTTGCCCATTCACTCACTGCTCCCCATCCACCCAAATCCCCTCTGTATTCTGTTTATGCAAGACTGAGTTTACCCCTTCTCAGTCCATTGACTTATCTCTCCTCACTCATTGACTTGTCCCAGGCAATTTATTCTGCAATCTTGGACAAAAATCTGGATTTTCAGCCAGGTGCAGTGGCTCACACCTGTAAACCCAGCACTTTGGGAGGCCAAGGCGGGTAGATCATTTGAGGTCAGGAGTTTGAGACCAGCCTGACCAACATGACGAAACCCTGTCTCTACTAGAAATACAAAAATTAGCTGGGTGTGGTGACGTGTGCCTGTAATTCCAGGCATGCCTGTAATCCCAGCTACTCGGGAGGCTGAGGCAGGAGAATCGCTTGAACCCAGGAGACGGAGGTTGCAGTCAGGCGAGCTCACGCCACTGTATTCCAGCCTGGGCAACAAAGCGAGACTTCATCTCAAAAAAAAATAATAATAATTCATTATGTAATCCAGCTTTGAAACACTCTTTGGCTACACTTTTGTATGCTTTAAGGAGGAACAAAACACAGATGGTCTCCAACTTACATTGGTTAAATCTACAATTTTTCAGCTTTACAATGGTGCAAAAACAATGTGCATTCAGTAGAAACTGTACTTCAAGTACCCATACAACCATTCTGGTTTGCCCCTTCAGTACAATGTTCAATGAATTATGTGAGATATTCAACACTTTATTATAAAACAGGCTTTATTTTAGATGACTTTGCCCAACCTTAGGCTAATGTAAGTGTTCTAAGCATGTTTAAGGTAGGCTAGGCTAAGCTATGATGTTCAGTAGGTTAGGTGTATTAAAGCAAGTTTTACTTAAGATATTTTCAAGTTACAGTGGGTTTATTGAGATGCAACCTCATTGTAAGTCAAGGAACATCTGTACTTCAGAAGTCATCAAAGCTGCATGAGCAGGACACAAGTCATATGAAAAGCCAGGTAGACATAATGCTATAAAAAATCCCTCCATTGGGCCGGGCACGGTGGCTCATGCCTGTAATCCCAGCACTTTGGGAGGCCGGGGAGGGTGGATCACGAGGTCAGGAGATTGAGACCATCCTGACTAACACAGTGAAACCCCGTCTCTACTAAAAATACAAAAAATTAGCCGGGCGTGGTGGCAGGCACCTGCAGTCCCAGCTACTCGGGAAGCTGAGGCAGGAGAATGGCAAGAACCCGGGAGGCGGAGCTTGCAGTGAGCCGAGATCGCGCCACTGCACTCCAGCCTGGGTGACAGAGCAAGACTCCATCAAAAAAAAAAAAAAAAATCCCTCCATTGTCAGAGTGTGAGCTTCCAGCTCATTATCCCAGAAGCCCGAGATAGCAGCAGTTCTCAGATCTTGTGATAAAGGTCATCTCCTATCCTGGGGCTCTCAGGACCATAATGCAAGAGTCTCCCTCTAAACCTGCCAGCCCCAGGGCTTTTCCCGCCTTCCTCATCCTAAGTCCTGAAAAGTTCACTGGGCCAAATGGTGAACCACGCACTTATTGCCCCATAACCCTTGGTACAAATGTCTCCAAATATATCCATCAAGCCTACATGTAGTACTGAGAATAACAACAGTAGCTAACATTGATTGGACACTTCTAAGCCCCTTAAATCCATTATCTTACTTAATTCTCACAACACTGATCAAGAGTTGGATAAAATAATCCACTCTCAAGCCAGCAAATCTAAACCAGCCACTCTTCCGTATGGATTCCTGCTCTTATGGTAACAAGGGCTTGCCTTCCCCACCTTTATTCTTAACCCTTCTGGAAAACCTCTGCTCCTCCTTTTCTGAGATGGAAAAATTTATAAGTGAAAAACCATTCCATCTTTCGAGGTGTGGAGGGAGGAAAACAATCACTCCTGCCTTCAACTAAGAGTGTGAAAAATAAGCTTAACTAAACCTGAAATACATTTTCAAATGCCTTTGAAAAGACTTATAAATCAAATCACATTTGTCCATCTCTCTGCTCTTCAAAATTATCATGCATGCACCTGAAGTTTAAGCAAAGAAATCCATTAAACAAACAAACCTAAAATCATAAAACCCAGATTTAGAGATTTATCCGCTCAGTCTAATGAATGCCCAATTCAGAATACAATTTTGTCTTCAAAGAGCCCTGAAGGTTCTTATCTTTCTTATCTTTCTATAGTGTTAACAGAAATATTACATCTTTGAAAAGAAGAAAAACATTATTCCCAGAGCTAAAACAGAAAAGGCTTTGAACTATTTTAGGGATAAATCAACTCACAGTTACCAATAAACCAAAAAGAATAAAAAAGACTGTTTCAAACCAAGTTGACTACTCTTACATATATTCAAGTGTCAACTTACAAATCAGTCTTTAAATATACACGTACACTTTCTAACTCTCCTGAAATGTCACCCAAGCCCCCATTCAATCAGCTAAAAACAATTTAATTCTTTCTCTAGGGAGGAAATCAGGTTATCAGATAAGTAAACCTTAAATACCATTTCTAGGCCTGATGTGGTGGCTCATGCCTGTAATCCCAGCACTTTGGGAGGCTAAGGCAGGTGGATCACTTGAGGTCAGGAGTTTGAGAACAGCTTGGCCACATGGTGAAACCCTATCTCTACTAAAAATACAAAACTTAGCCAGGCATGGTGACAGGCACCTGTAATCCCAACTACTCAAGATAATCTGCATACCAATTGTGGGTAGACATAGGTTTTTGTCCAGAGCCCTCCACAGACCCATCCCTTACCTACCATTGTCTCTCGGGCTTCAACCTTATTTGAAAGTCTTAATTTGCAGTTCCACATACTGCAAACACAAGACCCAGTCTTTCTGGTTCTTATTTTACCTGGAGATTAAAATACAGGCTGGGCGTGGTGGCTCATGCCTGTAATCCTAGCACTTTGGGAGGCCAAGGTGGGTGGATTGCTTGAGGCCAGGAGTTTAAGACCAGCCTGGGCAACATGGTGAAACCCCTGTCTCTACTAAAAATACAAAAATCATCCGGGTGTGGTGGTGTGTGCCGACAGTCCCAGCTACTCAGGTAGCTGAGGCATAAGAATCGCTTGAAACCAGGAGGCAGAGGTTGCAGTGAGCTGAAATCTCACCACTGCACTCCAGCCTGGGCAACAAGGCAAGACTGTCTCCAAAAAAAAAATTAAGTTTCTGTCTTACAATATCATAAGAAAATGGCTGGACAGGTTTTCACCAAAGTTGGAGGGTACTTTTGTGATGGGTTTGGTTTAAATTGGTTTAAAATATAAGACACATAGTCCATAGAGAATTCACCTATGGACTATGCTGCTAAGAGAATCTCAAAGAGATGCACTGTTATGCTCCAGAGTTTTGTGAGAGGCCACTAAGGTCAGGAGACACATGCCATATATATCAAGATGCTGTCAACAGAGAAAACCAGTGAGGTTTCAAACAGAAGCCCCGCTCCATTCAACCAGGCAGCCACTCCTCATTGCAGGTGCTGACCTGGGCTTTGGCTGCTTCTCACATGGGCAACTCTATACACTCTATTCCTGGGAGAAGGGCAGCAAAGACCCACTTATTAAATGATGTTTAACAATCCTCGGCCGGGCGCGGTGGCTCACGCCTATAATCCCAGCACTTTGGGAGGCCGAGGTGGGTGGATCATGAGGTCAGGAGATCGAGACCATCCTGGCTAACAAGGTGAAACCCTCTCTCTACTAAAAATACAAAAAAATTAGCCGGGCGTGGTGTCGGGCACCTGTAGTCCCAGCTACCCAGGAGGCTGAGGCAGGAGAATGGTGTGAACCTGGGAGGTGGAGTTTGCAGTGAGCCGAGATCGTGCCACTGCACTCCAGCCTGGGTGACGGCCGTCTCAAAAAAAAAAAAAAAAAATCCTCCAGGCAATTGTGTGACAGCTGGAATGAAAAATCAGGGGCAAATTGTACATATAAGGGAACAATTGTTCATATTTGTGTAAGCTACCCTCCGGAGTCTACAAGTTAAAAGGCACACTTTAATCAATTTGGCAACTTGCATGGCATTTTCCTCCACTATTTGTAGGATGCTGGTATCTCCTTAACAGCTACTGTTTTCCTATGCAACACACAATGACTTCTTGAACACATGGCAGCTTTTCATTTGTTCATTTAACAAATACTTATTGAGTTACTACTATGTGCCAAACACCATTATAAAGGTACTGAGGATACAGCGGTGAACAAGATGGACAAAAATCCCTGCCTTTGTACTACATTCTTGAGTGGGTGTGAGGAGACAATGAACCAAAGAATGAACAAACTGTGTATTGTGCAGGTGTGTCATGGGAAAAAAATGAAGGAGGGAAGAAAAGCGGAAAAGCAGAAAATGTCAGGAATGCACTTCCGTGGCGGGTGGCCAGACAGGTGGCCAAGAAGTGACATTTGAACTAAAGAAGGTATAAGTGAGCAAGCTATGAGGGAATTTGGCAAAACAATTTCGGAGGCGGAGGTCACAGCCAGCAGGTGCAAAGGCCTGGGGCAGGAGTGGGTCCAGGGCATGGGACGGATGGGGAGAAGGTCAGCATGGCTGAAGGAAGTAGGGGGTAAGCTCAAACAAGTCGCAGGTGGGAAACTGAGTGTATTGGACCTTGTAGGCAATTTTAAGAACTTTAGTTTCCACTCATTAACATGGAAAACCACTGGAAGGTTTTGAGCAAAGGAATAACATAATCTGCCTTTTTTTCTTCAAATGCTGTGAAACAAATACTTATTTGACCCTATCACCATTTCTACCTTTGGAAAGGCTATGGTGTGTTACTGGATGTTGAGGATAGCTTACTCTTCAATGTGCAGTAACCAAACTGAATTCATTCTTTCTCAAGATGAGAGAAAGATAAGCCAGGTATGGTGGCTTTCTTAGATAAGCCAGGTATGGTGGCTCACGCCTGTGAGCTGAGGCGAGAGGATCACTTGAGGCCAGGAGTTGAAGACCAGCCTGGGCAACATCGTGAGACCCCTCATCTCTTAAAAATTTTTTTTTAGTTAGCCAGACATTGTGGCATCCGCCTGTAATCCCAGCTCTTTGGGAAGCTGAAGTGAGCTATGATCACGCCACTGCACCCCAGCCTGGGTGACAGAGTGAGACCCCCATCTGTAATTTTGAAAAAAAGACTGGATAGGGCCTGGTTAATACAACTAACTCCCCAAAATTCAAGTTTTTCATATAGGTCTTTTTTAAAAAATAGCTTTAATTGACATAAAATTCACCCATTTAAAGTTTACAATTCAATGGATTTTTATATATTCACAATGTAGTACAACCATCATTATAATTTTTTTTTTTTTTTTAGACAGAGTCTAGCTCTATTGTCCAGAGCTGGAGTGCAGTGGCGTGATCTCAGCTCACTGCAACCTCCATCTCCTGAGTTCAAGCGATCCTCCCACTTTGGCCTCCCAAGTAACTAGGATTACAGGCATGTGCCATCACGCCTGGCTAAGTTTTGTATTTTTAGTAGAGATGGGGTTTCACCACGTTGGCCACGCTTGTCTCAAACTCCTGGCTTCAAGTGATCCACCTGCCTCGGGTCCAAAGTGCTGGGATTACAGGCATGAGCCACAGCACCTGCCCGTAATCTACGTTAGAACTTTTTATCATCCCATCACCCATTTAAGTCTTTACCCATTAGCCATCACTCCCCATTTTCTCAACCCTTCCCGCAAAACCCCTACCCAGCCTTGGGCAACCACTAATCTACTTTCTATACATTTGCCTATTCTGAACATTTCATATCAATGGAATCATACTACATGTGACATTTTGCATCTGGCTTCTTAGAATAAGATTTTCAAGGTTCGTCTATGTTGTAGCATATATCAGCACTTCAGTCCTTTTGAGTTTTTTTTTAACAATCTTTACCATTTTCAAGTGTATCGTTTCATGGCAGTAAGTATATTCACACTGTTGTGTAACCATACCCACCATCCATCTCCAGAACTCTTGTCACCTCTCCAAACTGAAACTCTGTACCCATTAAACAACAATTCCCATTCCCCACCCCACCCCAGTCCCTGGTATGGCAACCACCATTGTACTTTCTGTCTCTATAAATATGACTACTCATACTTCATTTTTTAAATTGCCAAGTAATGTTTCATTGTATGGATATACTGTACAACAATTTAACTATCCATTCAGCTAATGGACATTTGGGGTTTTTTTAACCTTTTGGCTATCATGAATAATGTTCTGATACTTCGTGTGTGTGTATAGATAGATAGATAAATTAAATAGAAGATAGAAGAGAGAGAGAGAGATTGGAGACAGGGTCTCACTCTGTCACTCAGGCTGGAATGCAGTGGCAGGGACACATCTCCCTGCAGCCTCAACCTCCCAGGCTCAAGTGATCCTCCCACCTCAGCCTCCCAAGCAGCTGGGACTACACGCATGTGCCACCACACCTGACTAATGTATGTATTTACTTATTTATTTATGTATTGTAAAGACAGAGTCTAGCTATGTTGCCCAGGCTGGTCTCAAACTCCTGACCTCAAGTGATCCTTCCTACCTCAGCCTCCCAAAGTACCAAGATTACAGGCATGAGCCCCCGTGCCCAGCCTGATACTTTTTTTTTTAAGTATTATTCCAGTTGCCTTGTTGAAAATAGACCCCAAGAAAGCAAATCTCAAACAGAGAAAACTGCTAGGAAGTTCTTGCTGGAATCCAGGTGAGAACGGATAGAGGCTCACATTTAAATGAAGTAGTCAGAAATAGCCACATTTGGATGTATTTTTATACAATTCCTGCTCCTGAAGTCTTCCCCACTCCTTTTTTTTTTTTTTTTTAACCATTACTACAATTGCTTTGCTGCCTTTTTGCTGATTTATTGGATCACGTGTTTAAAACCCTGATGTGAACACCTACATTTATCCTTCTTACTGGGTATGTGTTAGGTATTTAACAAAGTCTTAGTTCTCCTGGAGTCTGCCTGCATGAACCAACCAAATATAAATCTGCAAAATGGGAACTCTACAGTGTCTCTTCAGTTTTGCTGTCAAGATTTCACAGCCTCAGCTTCTAAAATTATTTCATCAAGTTCAATGGATACATATTCTTGAACTCTTTTCTAGCCTATATTTTCCAACAATGTTGCTAACTATATTTCCATACCAGCCTTCTTATCTAACATACTGGTTAAAATGTCAAAAAGCAGAGGGTTTAAAAAGCTTTTCTCGGTGGAATGTGCTTCTCCTTCATACATGATATAACTTGATTTGAACAATGTCACAAAGATATTTTCTCTGTTAGATTAAAATTTTGTTTGCATGAATTTTTCAATAGCTTTAAGCAGTTGAATAGCAATATATGCAGGAAGAAGCTGAGAGACTTATGTAATAGATATTTCATGTATCTATAACCCACACTGCTGCCCAGGAAAGGTGCGCTGCATTAATAGAGAGGATTTTTTCCTGCTGAATACCTTGAGGAGTTGGCCAACACGTTTGGGAGTAGAAGTAGAAAGGGCCAGGTGTGATGGCTCATGCCTGTAATCCCAGCACTCTGGGAGGCCAAGTGGGGAGGATTGCTTAAGCCCAGGACTTTGAGGCCAGCCTGGGCAACAGAGTGAGACTCCATCTCTAAAGAAAAAAAATCATAAAAAACTAAAATTCTCTGCCAAAATGGACACAGAAAAAACTGACAATCCAGAGAAAGATAATATGCAATGAAGCTAGACATGGCCAAATTAGAAAATGATATTGAGAGAGAACAAGAGCAAGAAAGAGGAGCCCTCAGCATTGAGAGGGCTGAGGAAGCACAGAAATGACTGATGGGTTGGTTAGTTAGTTACTTTTTGTGAAGTGTGCAATGTAAATTTCACTTTGGTCTCCCCACCGGAATCATCAACTAAAGTCTACACTGCTATATCGGCTATCTATTGCTGTGTAACAAATTATTCCAAAACTCAGTGGCTTAAAACAACACATTTATTATCTCACAGTTTCTGTGGGTTAGGAATTCGAAGATGGGCCCCCTGCTTCAGGGTCTCCCATGGGTTGCTATCTAGGTGTAAGCTAGGTCTCATCTCAAGACTCAACTGGGGCAGGATCCACTTCCAAGTGCACCCACATGATTATTGGCAGGATTCGTTTCCCATGAACTGTTGTCAGAAGCCGCTTTCAGATCCTTGCCACGTGGGCCTCTCCGAAGGGCAGCTCACAACACAACAGCTTGATTTATCAGAGCAAGCAGGCAATGAGGCAGAACAGGGACCTCTCTTAGGGACATGCAGCACTCCCACCCTCAAACATAGAAATAAAGAAAAATCTTAAGTTCCTTTAAGAAAAATTCCAGGCACTTAGCTAGCCCTTAAAAAATAAATAAGGCCGGGCACGGGGGCTCATGCCTGTAATCCCAGCACTTTGGGAAGCTGAGGCAGGTGGATCACTTGCAGTCAGGAGTTCAAGACCAGCCTGGCCAACATGACAAAACCCCATCTGTACTGAAAATACAAAATTAGCCAGGAGTGGTGGCGCATGCCTGTAGTCCCAGCTACTCAGGAGGCTGAAGCAGGAGAATTACTTGAACCCAGGAGGTGGAGGTTGCAGTGAGCCGAGATCATGCCATTGCACTCCAGCCTGGGCAATGGAGAAAGACTCTGTCTCAGAAATAAATAAATACATCAATAAACAACTTAATAAGCAAGAAGATAATAGTAGCTTAGAATAATGGGCAAAAAAGTTAAAATCATGGGATGTTTGGCTTCCCTATAAAAACTAATGTTCATAGATTGTTTTTCAAAAATGAGGACTCCCCACTAAATGGGTCCAGCAACACACAAGACTCAGATAAGGGGGACCTGAAGGCTAAACTCTTAACACTTTTCTCAGTTCTAAATTTCTTCCTAAGGGGAGTAGAGGAAGTCACACCCCAGGCCAGAACTAACATTCCACTGATCTCAAATTTTTAGACAAGGCTTCTCCTCCTAAGCCAATTACAAATCAAAACATCTTTAAATCTACCTTTGACCCATGGGTTCCCACTTTGAGACGTCCTGCCTTTTTAGGTCAAACCAATGTAGAGCCTCCCATATATTGATTTATAACTTTGCATGTAACCTCTGCCTTCCTGCAATTACAAATCCTTACCTATAAGCCATCCGGGAGCTTGGGACTTAAGCATTAACTAATTATCTTTGCTTGGTGCCCCTCCAATAAATACCCCACTTCCTCTTGCTACAATCCCAATATCAATGTTTGATTTTGCTGTGCTGGGCAGGGGGACCCAAGTTAGGTTCAGTAACAGCAAGAAGGCAAGACAGAGTGTGTGCTAGCAAGACAGAAGTCCGTGTGTTTGGTAACCTAATCTCAAACTGAAATGCCGTCACCTTTGCTGTGTTCTACTGATTAAAAGCTAGTCACCCATATGTTCATTGCAGCACTATTCACAAAAGCAAAGACATTGAATCAACCTAGGTGCCCATCAATGGAGGATTGGAAAAAGAAAATGTGGTACATATATACCATGGAATACTACACAGCCATAAAAAGGAACAAAATCATACCCTTTGCAGCTACATAGATGCAGCTGGCAGCTATTTTCCTAGGTGAATTAATGTAGGAATGGAAAACCAAATACTGCATGTTCTCATTTATAAGCAAGAGCTAAACATTGGGTACACATGGATATAAACATACGAACAATAAAAACTGGGGACTACAGCTGGGCATGGTGGCTCACACCTATAATCCCAGCACTTTGGGAGGCCAAGCTGGGTGGATCACTTGAGGTCAGGAGTTCAAGACCAGCCTGGCCAACATGGCAAAACCCTGTCTCTACTAAAAATACAAAAATTAGCAGGGCGTGGTGGCAAGCACCTGTAATCCCAGCTACTCAGGAGGCTGAGGCATGAGGATCACTTGAATTTGGAAGGTGGAGGTTGCAGTGAGCCAAGATCATGCCACTGCACTCCAGCCTGGGCAACAGAGCAAGACTCTGTCTCAAAAAAAAAAAAAAAACAAAAAACGGGGACTGCTAGATGAGAGAGAGGGAGAGACAAAAGGGCTGACAAACTATGCTCACTATTTGGGTGACAGAACCAGTCATACCCCAAACATCAGCAACAGACAACATACCCATGTAACAAACCTGCACATGTATCCCCTACATCTAAAATAAAAGTTGAAATTATAGGCTGTTCACAGTGGCTCATGCCAGTAACCCCAGCACTTTGGGAGGCTGGGGCAGAAGGATCACTTGAGCCTAGGAAATCAAGACCAGCCTGGGCAACATAGGGAGACTTCCTCTCTACAATAAAATTAAAAATTAGCCAGGCATTGTGGTGTGCACCTGTGGTCCCAACTACTTGGAAGGCTGAGGTGGGAGGATTGCTTGAGCCCAGGAGTTCAAGGCTGCAGTGAGCCGTGATTGTGTCACTGTACTCATCCTGGGCCACAGAGCAAGACCCTGTCTCAAAAAAAGAGACAGCTCACTGTCAGCTCACTGCAACCCCCACCTCCTGGATTCAAGCGATTCTCCTGCCTCAGCCTCCCAAGTAGCTGGGACTACAAGAGCGCACCACCATACCCAGCTAATTTTTGCATTTTTTTTTTAGTAGAGACAAGGTTTTACTATGTTGGCCAGGCTGGTCTTGAATTCCTGACCTCGTGATCCGCCCGCCTCAGCCTCCCATAGTGCTAGGATTACAGGCGTGAGCCACCGTACCTGGCCGAGAAATTATTTTTTAAGTGAAAATAAAAAAATAAAAGCTAGTCACTAGGTCCAGCCCACAGTCAGGGCAAGGGGTCACAAAAGGACGTGAATATGAGGTGGCAGGGATCATTTGGGGTCATCTTAGAAGCTGTCTACCACAATGTTCCACTATGAATTATTTCAGAGGATTCACACCTGGGGCAAGGAGGTACATCGATAGCATGCAACCAGAAGGAGTCCTGAGACAGTCATTTGCAGAAACCCTGGTGAAGTTTTGGTTTTCCTTGGCCATGCAATCAGGGGCTACTCACTGGCTGATGGACTCAGCTGACACCCAGATTAATTTGAGAACTGTATCCACAGTCATTAACTAGGGGGCAGTGCCCAACTGTCCCCAAGCCAGAAGTAAGAGGTATGCATCTTCACGACCTCAATGACAAACTTGATCATATAAAATAGGCAGCATTCATTGACCTGGTTCAGGCTACGCCGGAGGTGGACTACCACCTGGAAACAGAGAGACATTGCGGAAGCTTCCCTGAGGTTCCCCTTGCAGCCTTCAGGGGTGAATTCTTTGACACTGGGTGTTTGAAATGGAGCAATCAAGGCCCCAGCAAAAAACAGATGCACACTCCAATGGGGTAATTGAGGACAGTTTAGGAAAGAGATTATTTACAGAAGTGTGGACAGGATTAAGAGAAAACAAGGATGTGGAGCACGCTGGTATTATCAACAGTGGGGTCTAAAAGGGAAGGAGAGAGAGAGAGAGAATCCTGGAACCCAGAGAGAGCTGTCGCTGTAAGACAGAGCTGCCCAACAGGAACTGTGGCCTTTGGGGAGAAACTGAGCCACTGCAAACTCTCAGCCCGGAAGGAAAGAAGCCAAAGGAATAAATACCCTGACCTCCCCTTCCACCCTCCAATCTCCTACTGGGTCCCCACTGGCCAGTCTGGCTCCCTGGGCACACTAGAGTTGAGAAGAACGGACAGCGGATTTGGAGGCGCAAGCAGAAAGTATCCAAAACCTAGACAGAAGCCAGGCAGCTTCACATGAGCTTTTTAAAAGTGTAGAAGTCATAAAAATTCTCCTGGGAATGAGCAAACACATGGGCTTTCAGAAGCTGAACACAAAATAGCTTTTAAAATGAAAGTCTGCTCTGGAAGGGAAAAGGTGGTTCCTGGCAATGTGCAGAGGAGGATTAAAGTCCCCACCCTCAACTCCAGCCTGCTGCGTCTTCCAAGAGAGAATTCCCCAGAGCCTGGACTAGGGAAGCATTGGCGCCACTGGGAAAAGCTGCTACAGCCCTTGTTGGGCGGCTCTTTCTCACAGCTACTGAAGCTGCCTTTGCAAAGATTATGACAGTGAGAGAATCTGGTGTTGCTGACTCCATCTTGTTTCTAGCCTCACAGGCTAACTGTCCTCACTCATTCCTGGGCATAGGCCAAGTTAATCATGAGATGAATTTTTTTATTTTATTTATTTGCTTTTTGAGACAAGGCCTCACTCTGTCACCCAGGCTGGAGTGCAGTGGCATGATCACGGCTCACCACAGCCTCGAATTCCCTGGTCTCAGGGTGGTCCTCCCACCTCAGCCTCCAGAGTAGCTAGGACTGCAGGTGCATGTTAACTTTTTTGTATTTTTTGTGGAGATGGGGCTTCGCCATGTTGCCCAGTCTGGTCTTGAACTCCTGGGCTCAAGCAATCTGCCTGCCTTGGCATCCCAAAGTGCTGGGATTGCAGGTGTGAGCTACTGCACCTCGACAGGAATTTAGTTTATAGTTTAATTTGAAAGCAAGGATGATAATAGTGTTCCACTAAAACTGATTCCCTCATTGTTTCAGGGCTTAAACCACCTTTGTAAAACTAAGGAAAGGCCACAAGATTAGGGAGGGGCCTGAATTCTGCTAAAATGGAGGCATAGTCTTAGGCATAGTTTTAGAACCAGCCATTGTTCTATAAGTCACAAGATTTGTGACTTCCCCAATTGCTCCCATATATAACATCACTATTATAGAACCTAGGATTGGTCTTGTGAGATGTTTTTCAGACTTTGCATTCTGGCAAATAACTGACCCCACCTGGACTTGTAACTCATGACTCAACTGGTCCTGTGGCCCCTACCCAGAGGTGGACTCAGAGCACCAGGACCATTTCCCACACCTCTATTGCATCCCCAACTAATCAGCAGCACCCATTGCCTAGTCCTCTGCCCACCAAACTATCTTTGAAAAACCACAGGCTGGGTGCGGTGGCTCATACCTGTAATCTCAGCACTTTGGGAGGCCAAGGCGAGGGGATCACCTGAGGTCAGGAGTTCGAGACCAGCCTGACCAACATGGAGAAAACCTGTCTCTACTGAAAATACAAAATTAGCCGGGCATGGTGGCACATGCCTGTAATCCCAGCTACTTGGGAGGCTGAAGCAGGAGAATCACTTGAACCCGGGGGGCGGAGGTTGCGGTGAGCCAAGAGCACACCATTGCACACCAGCCCAGGCAACAAGAGCAAAACTCCACCTCAAAAAGAAAAGAAAAGAAAAGAAAAACCACAACCTCCAAGTTTTTGGGGAGACTGATTTGAGTGATAACTCCAGTTCTTCCACATGGCCAGCCTCAAGTTAATTAAACTCTTTCTTCACTGCAATACCACAGTCTCAGCAAACTGGTTTTGTCTATGCAGTGGGTAGGAAGGTTGAGTAATCACACTACAGTTCTTTCTGGATTCCAGGAGTCTCTCTCCCCTTCCCTTTTAGACCTGGTTGGTAAGGGCTCTGTGCTGTTGACAGTTCCAGAGTACCTCACATCCTTTGTTTCATTTAACCCAGTCCATGCTTCTGTAAATACTCTCTTTGCTAAACTGTCCTCAAGTAATTGATTTTAATGTGCATCCATTGCCTGCCAGGACCTGATTAGTCCATTTCAAGCATCCAATATCAAAGAATGCACCCAAAACAAAGATGCTGTTAGGAAACACAGAACTGGGCACTGCAAAGGTCTTTGAGCATGACACAAGGATGTTGCAAGAGCGGCAGGCCCAGAAGGCAAGTGGGGATTGAAGAACCTTAACAGCATATTCACGGGGCTCAGTCCTAGGATTCAGCATCATGACATATCACCTCCAAGCTTCCATGCTTTCATTTGTATAGCTAAGACTTGACAAGACTAGTGAGGGTGTCCGATGATGAGGACAGTCAAGGATGTTAAATTCCTGACTATACATTAACAAGGAGGAAAAAAACTAACAAACCTGCATCAGTGTGAAGACCAGAAAGGCCTGTCCACAGAGCCAGATGACAAGGTACAACAGGATGCCGTTGAAAAAAATCAGACTAGATAAGAGCAGGTTGCTGTGTGAGCAAACTCAGACCATACAAGAGAACTATAGGCCCCTCTCCTCCAGCCCAGAATTCCTGCCCTGAGTGATGCTAAATCAGGAGGAAGAAAAGCAGGAGATGATATTGGCTACCCTCCGGGGACAGGAAGCATCACCTGGTTGGACTACCAGACTGCCATTCACACTTATATACATGGAGTCAGTCGGGTATGACTCAGTCCCCTGAGGCCAAATGTCAGCGAGGAGAGTGGGAGGAGCAAATCTCTCTCCTCCATTAGAGTTGTCTCCGGAACAAACCCAGGTCTCAAGGCAAAGGCCTCACACACTATTTTGCTATTTTGTCACCCACGTAAAGTTTTCAGAAACAGGATCCCTGTAGCTCATCAGGCACTCAGGTGCATCAAAGCTGAATTCAGGGTAAAGATTGATGCTGTGGCCCAGTGAAGCTGAGATGCCCATACTCTCTCTGTTCAGGTTATAGAGAAAACGGGCACTTTGTGATCACTTATACCCATAATAAAAAACAATTTGTGTGCATCTCATGAGCAAGAAAAATAAACAGGAAAAAAGAAAGCAACCCAACTACTTGTAAGTATAAGGAAATCCAACCCATATTTGTTCATATAACTGAAAGGTCCAGGGGCAAACCTGCAGGTATGGTTTGATGCAGGTGCCAACATCTTTTGCCAGGACCCAGTGTTTCTCACACCCTTTCTTTTTTCTTTTTTTCTTTCCTTCTTTCTTTCTTTTTCTTTTTGTCTTTCCTTCTTTCTCTTTTTTTTTTTTAACAGGATCTCACTCTGTCACCCAAGCTGGAGTGCAATGGTGCAATCTCAGCTCACTATAGCCTCAACCTCCCAGGCTCAAGCAATCCTCCCACCTCAGCCTCCTGAGTGGCTAGGACCACAGGCATGCACCACAATGCCCAGCTAATTCTTTTCATTATTTATAGAAACAGGGAGTCTCACTATGTTGCCAGGGCTGGTCTCGAACTCCTGGGCTCATGTAATCCTCCCACCCACCTAAGCCTCCCAAAGTTCTGGGATTACAGGTGTCAGCCACCATGCCTGACCTCACACCATTTCTTAACTCCATTCTTCTCACTCCATTTCTTAATTTCATTCCTTTATAAAGCTTCTCTTCTTACTATTTCAAGATGGCTGCCCAATTCATGTGCAGAGGAAAGAGAAGTTCTTTCTCTTTACTCTGACAGTTGAATAAAAAATCCAAAGCCTGGCTCTCTTTGGTCCATCCCTGAATCAGTCATTATGGCCTGGGGAATGGAGTACGCTAATTGACTTAAGGGAATCAGGGCCCAGCACTGGAGTGAAGGTGGGGCTAATGCCACCTAATCCACTGGAGAGTACCAAAAGTGTGCTTCCCCAAAGGAAATTCACAATACTGTGGGAAAGGATGAATTGATGCTGACTCACTATAAATGACAAATGCAAAAGATAAACATACCAGGCCCCACTCCTTGCAGGAAGCAAAAGATCCTAGAGGGAGAGGCTGACATGGAACAGGATGTCTGACCAATAAAACTTCTTCCAATGAGGATTCACAGACATAGTCATACCTTCCAGGCTAAGTAAGGCTCAATTCCAGGCAGCTGTCTGTCTCAGCTCCTCATGCACATCCGTCGCTTCTGTCTACCCAGCATTTGTTTCTCCCTTATTCAGTTCTCATTGCTGTGTAACAAATTGACAGAAGTGCATCAACTAAAGCAACACAAATGTATTATCTCACAGCTCTATAGGTCAAAATCCAAGCACGGCTCAACCGGATTCTCTGCTCAGGGTCTCATGGGGCTGAAATCAAGGTGTCAGCTGGAGCTGTAGTCTTATCTAAAGCTCAGGGTCTTCTTCCAGGATGATTGGTTGTTTTCAGACTTCCGCTCCTTCTGATTATCTTGAGATAGGAGGCAGGACTTGACTCTGGAGGTGGGGCTTGGACACCGGACCAAGTTCAGGACTAACTAAAACAGAGCTGGGAGGGAAGCAGCTTTCCCTAAGACACACCCACCAGTGTGCCAGGTCAGTTTACCATTGACACGGCAATACCTGGGAGTTACCACCCCTTTCCATGGCAATGACCTGATGACCTAAAGTTACTACCCCTTCTCTAGAAAGTTCTGCAGAAACCACCCTTGAATCTGCATATAATTAAAAGCAGGTATAAATATGACTGCAAAACTGCCCAGAGATGCCACTCTCTGGTTACAGGGTAGCCCTGCTCTGCAGGAGCCGTCATGGAGCTGTAACACTGCAGGAGCTGTAACACCACCGCTTCAGTAAAGCTGTTTTCTTCTACCTCCAGCTTGCCCTTGAATTCTTTCCTGGGCAAGGCCAAGAACCCTCACAGGCTAAGCCCCAGTTTGGAGTTCATCTACCCTGCATCAATATGACTGAGGTCTTGTTTTCTTGCTGGCTATCGACCAGAGACCTCTCTTACCTCCTAAAGACAAACCTAGGTCCTTGCCCTGTGGCCTCTCCATAGGCTTTCTCACACTTTGAGCATCTCTGACTTCAGGAAGGGCCTAGTCCCTTTTAAAGGTGCACCTGATTAGGTCAGGCCCACCCAGATGTTCTCCCTTTTGATTAACTCAAAATCAACTAACTAGTAGCCCAGTCAGGGCAGGGCTATTCCATCACATCCTCTAATTGTGCAGCACTGGAGAGGAGGAGATTGCACAGATTGTGCACACCAGGGAGCAGGGATCTTGGGGGCCATCTCAGAATTCTGCCTACCACATTTTAGTAATTGATCTCTTCTGGAATCAGTCCTTTCCTGCTCAGTCAATGTTATTTGTGGTAGGATTTAGGGTAATCAGACCTAGCCTTGGCCAATTGGTGTAACCATTGTCTGGGCCACAGTGGTCAGATCAGAAATGGGCACCTGCCTCAAGCAAGCCCAATCAGACCTAACCTGGGGACTTTTGCTGAAGTAACTAGGAAAGATCTCTCTCTCTCTCTCTCTCTCTCTCTCTCTCTCTCTCTCTCTCTTTCTTGTTATTGCGGAAGTGTTAGGCTGTAAACTTAGAGCTGATGGTGGACACCATGTGCTATGATTCAAATGACCCCCCAAAACTCATGTTGAAACTGAATCCCAAAAGTGGGAGCATTGAGAGGTGGGACCTTTAAGAAGCGATTGTATCCCTCTTGAGGGCAGAGCCTTTACTGACCACCTAATGTTTTATTAAAGCTTGTTCTGCACCACCCCTATCCCTACCATCACCATCTGGAGCTCTCGATCCTTTCCTCCAGATTTCTTTGCTCCATAATATTTATCACTATCTGATACAGGGGTGTGTGGATGTGAACATGTATATGTGTGCATGTGTGTGTTTATGGTCCGCCTCTCCCAGCCCCCAGTAGACTGTAAGCTTCATGAAAGCAGGGCTTTGTGTACTGTTGCTTCTGTAGCATGGGGTCTGCCAAAAAAGTAGCTTCTCCATAAATGTTTGTTAAATGAATATATTCTGATTCTATCTCCCCCCTCCTCCAGAATGGATCTAAAGCTTCCCAAACTTTGCCTGAGTGAGTGTCCTACTGAGTTCAATTTTGTTTCAGAAAGGATGTGTGTATGTTCACCCATACGCTGCACAAATATGTAATGGACACCAGCCATGACCAGCCTACTGGGGACTGCTTGGCAGTAGCAACACGGCAGCGAACAAGACAGATGAGCCTCCTGCCCACAGAAGCTTACATTCGGGTGGAATACAGGCTGGTGAGTTGTCATGCCGATTCCTCCAACCCCAAACCCTTTCCAGTATGGCAGGTCCTGGAGCTGGACTGGCCACCATTGAGAATCCACCCAACTGCCCATCAGCATCTCAAGTTCCCTGTTGCAAGATGCCAGGGAACATGAGAGAGGACCGTGGGGGAGAGTGAGCTCTCAATGAACCTGGTGTGGCAGGGAGAAGACGAAGATGGGGCAGATCCCCAGGGGGAAGACAACTTAAGGGCAGATTTGTTGAACTAAGTTACTTCAAAGGGTCTTCCATCTTCCAGCATGAGCAAAGAAGATGACCACACACCTGGGGGAGAGTCAGATGGCTTCTTCAATTGGAACGTTCTTCCCTAAGGATGAGCTAATATAGCACATGACCTGAAAATCCTTCTGGGAGACTCCAGGTAAAAGGGCCTTGACTGCACCAGGGAGAGAAGCTAAGTTGTAGATTTGGGGGAAATGAGTGTTAGAACAGTGAGTGCTCAAGGGAAGTAGTTAAGTGAGCCATGAGATACAAAGTCTGCCATGGCAAAGTAGGTGGAACAACCATGTTATGAGTATAAGTTCTGACCCCAGCTTTCCTGTGATTTCTAGGACCCTTGGTCTTGAAGATGGGAAATAAATGGGTGCATGACAGAAGTTAAAGACCATTATTAGGTATCAAGTACCATAGCACTTTTTGGAGGCAGAAGAGCTTGACAAATGGGCATAGTGTACATAGTAAATGATGGTAAGGGTAAAGGATAAAATGTATCATCTTCCTGTCATCAGAATGGGACCAGCACTGTGTAAGGTGGGCATGTTAATGACATGATATATAAGACAGCTTTTGCTACAATAACAAGGAACTCCCTAGGCCTGGCACGGTGGCTCATGCCTATAACCCCAGCACTTTGGGAGGCTAAGGCGGGTGGATTACCTGAGGTCAGGAGTTTGAGACCAGCCTGGCCATCATGGCGAAACCCTGTCTCTACCAAAAAATACAAAAATTAGCCAAGCAAGGTGGCACTGCCTGTAATCCCAGATACTCGGGAGGCTGAGGCACTAGTGGTGCTTGAACCCAGGAGGCAGAGGTTGCAGTGAGCCGAGATCACTCCACTGCACTCCAGCCTGGGTGACAAAGTGAGACTCCATCTCAAAAAATAACAATAACTTAAAAAAAGAGAAATAGCTCTCAAATCCCAATAGATCCCTATAACAAATATTTGTTTCTTGCTTCTGAGTCTTCAGGTTGGCTGTGATTACACTGGGTTTGGCTTGGCTGAGCTCAGCTAGGTTCTGCTGAGCTCAGCTTGGCTCCAAGGTTTGGGTTGAGTTCAGGTCTGCTCCACATGTCCCTTCACATGAGAAGCAATTGCCAAGAGGTCAAGTCAAATCATGCAGCACATTTAAAACTTCTGCTGGGGGAAAATGTGTCTGCTCACATTCCAATGACCAAAGCCCAAAGTTAGAAGGGCAAGGAATTAGACTCTACCTATTGAGATGTACTACAAAGTCACATGGCAAAAAGCTTATAATTCTAATAAAGGAACTAAGCAGAATCACTAGGAGCAATCACCTAGTCCGCCACACATGGAGATGTGCCACAGGGACTCAGAGACTGGAAGGAATTCCCCAGGGCCAGAGTTCTCCTGGGAAACTACAGCCTCCACCATTGCCTCCCAGATTTCATCAGCATCTCTGTAGTCTGGCTCATCAGAGGCCACAACGGAGATAAAGGCAAATAAAGACTTCAGCTGCTGGCAAGCTGCAGATATCTCCATGGATCAGCCAAGCCCATGTCTCTTTCTGAAACAATCAGTAATCGGGGAAGTGACAACAGAAAAGCGTAATACAAACTACCTATGGTATTGGAAGAATCCCAGGAATCGTTGGAGGTCTTGAATGAATTTGAAGAGGGTACTCAGTTCAAGACTACTTTAAGACACACACTTTGTAGATGTCCCAACTAGACACTGTGTGGCCTGGGAATTCTGCAATGTTTACTTTTTTTCAATTATATTATGTTATAATATATTTATAAGAAATATATATCATATATAAGATTATATATAGCTTATGTATCTAAATATAATATAGATATATTATATATCTAAATATAATCTTTGATATATATCTCATATATTATCTTATATATGATATATTATCATATACATGAGTTATATGTATCTCATATATATTATTTTCTTATATATATGAAATATATCTCATATATATAAGATATGAGAGCTATATATCTCATATACAGATATAGATATCTATCTACATCTATATTCCCAGGCCACACAGTGTCTAGTTGGGACATCTACAAAATGTGTGTCTTAAAGTAGTCTTGAACTGAGTACCCTCTTCAAATTCATTCAAGACCTCCAACGATTCCTGGGATTCTTCCAATACCATAGGTAGTTTGTATTACGCTTTTCTGTATATGACATATATATCTCTCATATATGAGAGATATATATGTCATATACAGATAGATATAGATCATTCCATCACCCAGGCTGGAGTGCAGTGGCACAATCATAGTTCATTGCAGCCTCAAAATTCTGGGCTCAACTGATCCTCCCACTTCAGCCTCCTGAGTGGCTGGGACTACAGGTGTGTGCCACCAGGCGGGGGCTAATTTTTCTTTTTTTGGAGACAGAGTCTCACTCTGTTGCCCAGACTCAGATGTAGTGGTGCAATCTCAGCTCACTGCAACCTCCACCCCCCAGGTTCAAGCAGTTCTCCTGCTTAGCCTCCCAAGTAGCTGGGACTACAGGCACGTGCAACCACTCCCAGCTAATTTTTTGTATTTTACTAGAGACGAGGTTTCACCATGTTGCCCAGGCTGGTCTTGAACTCCTGAGCTCAGATACCTGCCCGCCTCAGCCTCCTAAAATACTGGGATTACAGGAGTGACCCACCCACTGCCCCCAGCCTTTTTTTCTTTTTTTTTGGTAGGGACAGGATTTCCCTATGTTGCCCATGCTGGACATGAACTCCTGGCCTCAAGTGATCCTCCTGCCTCAGCCTCCCAAAGTGCTAAGATTATAGGTATGAGCCACCAGGCCTGGCCCAATATTTCTAAAGGCCCCTCAAGAGGCAAAAGTGGGCAAAGGACTTTTAAGGACAAAAAATGCCTAGTATTGAATATTAAGTTGTTTACTGTGTTGTAACTCTCTTCCATGACTTCAGTAAAGCAGAGTAAACACACACATGCCCCAAGACACAGTAACCTCTGTTTGGTAGTACAGCCCATCACAAGCAGCTGTGGCTGAACCCCTGGGTACCAGGACTAGAGAGGATAACTTCATTGTAAGTTCCACTGGATGTTAGGCTGAAGTTGCAGCCCCCATCAAGCCAGGCTTGGTGTCTGGAGCGGGCCTGAAGGTAGAGATTCTGCAAAAGGATCTAACTGGGGTGATATTCAAAAAATTTAGAAGCCAGAATGGCACAGGTCCTGACCGATAAGAACCAGAGCCAACATGCTGTGATCTGCATACAAGTGCCAGTGATCCCTGCCTCCAGCTGAGGAGGGCTGTGAAGGATGGAGGCTAGAAATCCATCAGGAGAGCTGACATTGAAAGGTGAATGGGAGCAGCACCTGCCAGCGTGACCTGCTGCTTTCCTGCATGCAAAGGACGGTGCATTTCAACCTGAGACCCTGGGGTTCCTGCAGGGCATCAGCTAGATTTGTCTTCCTGCCTGGGAGGATCACCAATTATATGTGCTGTGAGGCAAACTGTCCTCCCGCCAGAGGAGGAGGTGAAGGGATTTACAGAATCTCTCTCTGATCTGACTTATTAGAGAAGTTAAAGGACACCCGTCCAGGAGGCAGCACAGTACAGAGATAAAGAAGTCAGGATTCAAATTTGTCCTATCTGGGAAGCTTAGACAAGAGCTCCTTAACCTCTCTCACACTCAGTCCCCTCATCTGGAAAATGGGAATCCTAACAGTGCCTACCTGGCAGGAGCATGGCCACAATGAAATGAGCTAATGACACAGTGAAAGCCCTTAGACAGCCTGACCCAGAGTCAGACCTCTGTAATGGGAGTCATTATTCAAGATGGGAGGAAAGAAACAGGAATTAGATCAGAAACAAATGACCAGAAAGAGAGATGAAATACAAAAGCTACATGAAGTCGGCAGTGTGAAGCCTGACTCGCAGGAGAGTGGATTTTGTTACTGTTTGCTTTTTCTTGTCCAGGATAATCCAAGACTGGCAGAAAGTGAGAATACCGATTGAGATCCAAGGACATCCTCATGGGAGTCTGTGCAGACAGGTTTTCATCAAGAACCCCTCTCCAAGCAGCTGGTCCAGCCCAGCTAAACTGGGGGCTGCTGTTTGTAAGAAAATTAATGCTCTGGGCCAAGCACGGTGGCTCATGCCTGTAATCTCAGCACTTTAGGAGGCCAAGGCAGGCGGATCACTTGAGGCCAGGAGTTCAAGACCAGCCTGGCCAACATGGTGAAATCCCGTCTCCACCAAAAATGCAAAACTTAGCTGGGCATGGTGGCGCATGCCTGTAATCCCAGCTACTCAGGAGGCTGAGGCAGGAGAATCACTTGAACCCGGGAGGTGGATGTTGCAGCGAACCAAGATCATGCCACTGCACTCCAGCCTGGGTGACAGAGTGAGGCTCCATCTCAAAAACAAAAACAAAAAAAATTAATGTTCTGTACCTGAGGAGCACCCATTTGCTGCTACTTCCCTGCCAGGATGAAGGAAAACCAAGTCAGACATTAAATAACACGTGCAGGATCACAGGATCACACCTTTCACACTGCAGTCTTAGTTTTCTATAAAACCACGTGACCTCTGAAAATACACTCCAGCCTCTGCAACACCTACTCATGACGCTTTGTAAAATCCACCGCCTTTTAGGGACACCAAGATTTTCGGAAACATGCAGTTTTCTTACCTCCAGATGAGATGTCTACTGTGGATAGGTGACTAGGAGGAGAACCCAAGGTGTGCTGATGGCAGAACAGAAGCACCTAGGATGCCACCAGGGAAACGCCCTGACAAGCAGCTGTGATGCTGTCTTCGAGAAGGTGTTTGCAAACACCACTGCTGCCCCCCTTCCCTGAGCCCTGACTTCCTAAACCTAAGGCTAAAAGCATCCTGGCAATTCCCGGAAGTAACTTCATTCTAGCAGGATCGAGCCAGTGGGTGGAGTTTTCTCAGCCCGCCAGGATCACATCAGTGACTGACTTACCCAATGTACTTTTATTTTTTATTTCAACCAATTCCCCAAAGCCCAGAGCAACTTAAAACCAGAAGAGCCACCACCATCTCCACCAAAAACAGGGAATATTTTGAGAGTTTAATGATAACTTCACAGCCATCCATTCAGCTGAGTCCCAAGGAAATGGAAGACACCTGAAAAATGTATTTTTAAATTGATTTAACGTTGAGCCATGTTAAATGTTTTAACTTCCAACCAATGCAATGCCCACCAAAACATCAATTAGTCCCAGCAATCAGGCAAGAATATTGGCTTCTGCTCAGGGATTCATTTATTTCAGCTCTGCTAAATATCGTAGAGGAGAAATCCAATGTAGCCTGTAGCTTCAAGAAAGTGAAATTAAGCCCAAGTAGAAACTAGATGAGGCCCTGGCTAAAATGGTGCCTTTTCTTGCACTGCCTCTCTCTGGTATCTCTCTAAAGTGAGGGCAGCAACTTGATTGTAAGGGTCTCGTGCTGTTAACAGAAAACACCCTTCCTTCCCCACAGGTTCTCTGTCTCCAAGCTGGAAAACAAAAGAGGCTGCAATGGGACAGAGAAGGGCTTCCTGCTGAGGAGATGAGTGGGCTTAAGAATTTGCAAAATCAAAAATCAAAACAATTAAACCCATGGAGATAGAGTAGAAGGAGAGTGAACAGAGGCTGGGAAGGGTAATGGGAGAGTTGGTGGGGAGGAGGCAGATGGTTAACGGGTACAAAAAAAACAGAAAGATGAGTAAGACCTACTTTTCCATAGCACAACAGGATGACTATAGTCAACAGTAATTTTTTTTTTTTTTTTGAGATAAAGTCACTCTGTCACCCAGGCTAGAGAGCAGTGGCATGGTCTCTGCCCACTGCAACTTCTGGCTCCTCAGTTCAAGTGATTCTCCTGCCTCAGCCTCCCGAGTAGCTGGAATTACAGGCGCACACCACCATGTCCAGCTAATTTTTGTATTTTTATAGAGATGGGGTTTCACCATGTTGGCCAGGCTGGTCTTGAACTCCTGACCTCAGGTGATCCACCTGCTTCGGCCTCCCACAGTGCTGGGATTACAGGCATGAGCCACTGCACCCGACCCTATAGTCAATAGTAATTTAATCGCACATTTTAAAATAACTGAAAGAGTACAATTGGATTGTTTGTAACACAAAGGATAAAGGTTTGAGGTAATGGATACCCCATTTTACATGATGTGATTATTACACATCGCATGCCTGTATCAAAACATCTCATGTACCCCATAAATATATATACCTACTATGTACTAACGAAAATTAAAATTTAAAAAAATTAAAAATAATTTGCAAGATCATTTTTAATAATTATTTTTCATTTGGGGTGCATTTTCACCATCAAGGCCCCAGGGTTTCCTTGCCCTAGATGAGGGTCTGGATCCAGGGAACGGTGTCCCACCATCTGGAGCATCCTGTCTCTACACACGTTGGCCAGCTGCTTGGGGCAACACAGGACGATGTGCTCAGGCCACTCACCACAGGAGCTTGGCCATTAGAACCAGCAGGGGACAACCAAGCCAAAGACCCCACGACTGGAGAGCTCCTAAAAGCAAATACAAAATAAGAGTACACATGAAGTTCTGGCAGCAAGCAGAAGGTAGACACATGATGTCCAACTCCCCGAGTCTCTCTCTGGGGCCACTTGATGCAGAGCCTTGATTTGTTCGTCTCTTAAATGGGAACAATGACCCCCAAAGAGGAGGAGGGGTGGGGGAGTGAGAATTAAATGAGATTGTGTCAGTCAGCATGTACTAGGGAGCTTGTTAGAAACACCAATTCCAGGATCCCCTAGAGATTCTGATTTAGCAAGTCTGCCAGGAGACCCAGGAATTTGTTGTATTTTAAGCATCTCTCCCAGGTGATTCTGATAATTAAGCAACTTTAGGAAAGAAAAGATTAGGGCTCTGGTCCATAGGAAGGGTTCATCCAATGGCAGCCCTCACTTAGGCCCTTGGGGTGAATGAAGGAGGGGCATCCAGGATCTTGCCCAGCCAGGGACATGCAGGGAACATCTTTTTAAGGGGCCCTCATCACTTTCTGACACTGCTGTTTCAAGGGAAAACTGGTCACACCTTTCTGCAGGGGATTTGACAACATCCATTACAAAAAAAAATTTAAGACAGAGTCTCGCTCTGTCACCCAGGATGGAGTGCAATGACGCCATCTCGGCTCACTGTAGCCTCTGTCTCCCAGGTTCAAGCGATTCCTCTGCCTCAGCTTCCCTAGTAACTGGGACTAAGGCATGTGCCACCACACCTGGCTAATTTTTGCATTTTTAGTAGAGACGGGGTTTCACCATGTTGGCCAGGCTCATCTCAAACTTCTAACCCCAAGTGATCCACTTGCCTCAGCCTCCCAAAGTGCTGGGATTACAGGCATAAGCTGCCACATCCAACCAACATCCATCAAAATTATAAATGCAGACCCTGTGATCTAGCAATCTCACTTTGAAGAGTTTATCCTACAGACATACTGCACAGATGCAAATTATATCAGGTCAGGAGCTGCAGCATTGTTCATAACAGCAAAAAAAAAAAAAAATAGAAACAACTGCAAGGTCCATCTACAGACCTCTGGTTGAATACAGTTACGGCATAGCCATAAAACCAACAATGGCACAGCTCCTGTGCACAGATACAGAACTCCCTCCAAAGTATATGGTTAGGTGAAAAATACAAGGTGCAGAATAAGGTGTATAATAAGCTTTTGTGAAAAGTGCAGAGATCATCTATATTTGATTTGCTGTGTATGCATAGAATATCTCTGGACAAATACACAAGAAGCTGCTAACATTGGTTGCCTCTGGGGAGGGAACAGGGTGGCTGGGGGACAGGGGCTGGAGGAAAAGATTTCACCACATGCCTTGCAGACTTTACATATTCGGAACCCTGTGCATTATCTATTGCACATATTATCTATTCATGCAAAATGCTATAACATTTACAAATAACTTTTAAATATATGCATATCATATTTCAATGGAAAGTTTTTTTTTGTTGCTGTTTGTTTGTTTGTGATGGAGTTTTGCTCTTTTGCCCAGGCTGGAGTGAACTGGCATGATCTCAGCTCACTGCAACCTCTGCCCCCAGTGTTCAAGCAACTCTCCTGCCTTAGCCTCCCGAATAGCTGGGATTACAGGTGCCCCTCACCACACCTGGCTAATTTTTGTATTTTTAGTAGAGACGGGGTTTTGCCATGTTGGCCAGGCTGGTCTCAAAACTCCTGACCTCAGGTGATCCGCCCACCTCGGCCTCCCAAAGTGCTAGGATTACAGGCATGAGCCAATGTGCCCAGCCTCAATGAAAAGTGTTTTAAAGTAATAATATAATACATCAAAAGGCATGATTTATGTTTTCAAGTGCCACCTCTGGCCACTTGTGGCTGCAGAAATGGGGAATACTCCAATTCACCATCCCTATGTGAAGGCAGGACAGGGAGACATTCAAGTCAGGAAAAGGTGGAGTGGAGGTTTTAGTCAAGCACCAAGTCCTCTGACTTCTCTGGGCACTTGCCCATGCCGGTACCTACTCCTGAGACACTGTCTACCTCGCTAAGCCCATCTTCTTCTCACCTTGTGTCTCACCTGAGACATCACTGACTTTAGGAGGTTTCCTGACCCATGTGTGTTCCCCATCTCAGCACCCAGCACCTGCCTCATGTTCACCAGGGTACATGTCTTCCCTCCCCGCCAGGCTGCACTGAGAGCTCAATGAGGGTAGGGAACATCTCTGTTCCCCATCTTGTTAGAAGCTATCTCCCCAGAGCATGGTCCAAATGTGGTGTTAAGAACAGAAGGTACCACAAAGAAGTGAGAAAGTGAAGGGGAAATGGGGAGAGCTGTAAGAAAGGCATGGGGGAGAAAAAGGAAAGAAGGCCATGTTCCCAGGATCCAATGCCACTCCCTGGGGAGGCTTCTCTATCTTAGCTCAGCCCTCAGTCACTATCACCCTCCCTGGTCTTGTCAGATTTGAAATATCTTCTTCATTTACAAGAGGGCCTTATCTATCTTGCACACCTCTGTATTCCCAGCCCCTACTGCAGACTTGGAACATAGTAGGTGCCCAGTAAACATGGGTTGAATTAATTAATATTGGACAGGCCAGGCTTGGTGGCTCGCGCCTGTAATCCCAACACTTTGGGAGGCTGAGGTAGGCAGATGACCTGAGGTCAGGAGTTCAAGACCAGCTTGGCCAACATGGTGAAGCCCCATCTCTACTAAAAATACAAAAATTAACCAGGTGTGGTGGCACACACCTATGATCCTAGCTACTGGGAGGCTGAGGTGGGAGGATCGCTTGAGCCTGGGAGGTGGAGGTTGCAGTGAGCCGAGATCGCGGCACTGCACTCCAGCCTGGGCGACAGGGCGAGACTCTGAGTCAAAATAATAATAATAATAATAGTTCATTATTATTGGATAGTGAGGAGGGAGTTTGCAAAGGAGCGGCTAAAATGAAATTAGTCCTGAGTTTCTGATGTTATGCGTTCTGGGTAGGGGCGGGAGAACTGGAAGATGTTTAATGCCCCCCACCCAAGGGCAGCCATAGTTGAGAATCACTAATTCTGAAGCTTGGTAGGGAAGCTTGATAGGGACTTTGGGTTTTTCACTGAGGGCAGAATCCCCAGTGACTGTCAGAGACCTCGCTCTGAATCTTAAGAACCTCCCCACCCCAGGCCTGACAGGGAGGACAAGGAAGGAGAGTGGGGCTGGGACGCGGGGCAGAGGGCGGCTCTGCTCACCTGCGGGAGAACGCGAGGATGAGGTTCTAGTGGGACCGGCGCTAGCGGGCGCGTCCTGCCAGGAGTGAGTCTTGGCGCCATCTAGCGCCTGCTGGAGGCTCTGCAGCTGCAGTGGACTGAGCCGCCGGCGCTGGGCGTGGGTCACCGCCGCCGCGTTCTCCGGACCCAGGGAGGCGATCTGCTCCGCGGACAGCTCCTGCAGGAGGCAAAGGGGCAGCACCCTCACACGGGGCCCCTCCCCGGATTTCCCACATCTCGGGCGTCCGCGCAGGATGCACACAACTTTGCCATCCCCTTGTGTGTATCATGTGTGGTCCTCTTTAAGATATTTCCTTAAAATTAGATCACTCTTGCACTACCAAAGTAAATGCATTTAAAAATAGAAAATTTAAAATGGAAGTTTCCAAAAATGGAAAGCCGGCAGACTTGCCATAAGCAAGCATTAAATAGGAGCCGCAAAATAAAAATAAAACAATATTGTTGAATCCTAGCTAGATTTGTCCGCCAACAATATCTGAACCCCTGGCCTCTTGAAAAAAAAGAGAGAGAGAGAGAATATAAAATGTATTATACAGGGTTAAATTGACACTTCCTTCTTGAGGTATTTAGAAGTACTAATGGAGAGTTGAAAAGGGAAGCATGATTTCCTCCCTATGTGGCAATGTTGTTTAATGCAATGCAAGACAGCTTCCCAGTGCTTCAAGTCTTCCACCTCCTGAAACACTGATGTGGAGGGGGAAACACAGGCCTTAAAGATCAGAGGCCTGAATTCGAGCCCCTGCTCTGCCACATACTTGCTGTGTCACCTTGAACAAATTACACAGCCTCCCTGGGCTTTGGGGATAAATGTGAGATGGCATAGAGAACTCATCTCCTCTGCTGACTGATTCTGATCCTTTGGTTTGACTGCCTGAGCACCATGTGATGAGCTCTGTGAGGGCTCCATGGAGGGAAAATGCAGTCATCTATTGGTGATATCTGCTATGGACAACATGAGTTGGGAATTCTGCCGGCCAGACTATGTCTTCAAGGACTGTGAACAAGGTGTCTTCTGAAGTCACTTCCAGATCAAAGGACTTGGTGACTCGTTCCAATGGGACTGGAATACGAAGGGGACTCTATATCATCATGTTTATTTTCTAAAGGCCCTGAAGAATCTGGGAAAGATGCTTATGCTCCCTCATCCCTTCCTCTCCTGTCAGTCACCCTCTCCTCCTCTTTTGTCCAGGTAGATACTTCCCTGGAATCATATCCCTCTGTGTAAAGCCCTTCCAGGAACCCCACTCCAGAACACAGTTCAGGCTCCTGGAAAAAACTCTGCCCACCTCTCCAGCCTCACACATGGCATTCTTCACTCCAGGAGAGTGGGTGCCAATATTTACAGTTCCCTAGAGGCAGCATCTTCCTGTGCACCTCTTTCTGCCTGGAACACTGTTTCTTCTTCATCGCCAGCTGTTCTCCAAGATTCAGCATCTGGTCGGTCAAGCGCCATGGCTCATGCCTACAATCCCAGCACTTTAGGAGGCTGAGGCAGAATGATTAACGGAGCTCAGGAGTTCGAGACCAGCCTGGGCAACACAGTGAGACCCCCCTTCTCTACAAAAAGTTTTTTTAATTAGCCAAGTGTGTAGTCCTAGTTACTTAGGCTGACGTGAGAGGATTGCTTGAGCCCAGGGGATCAAGGGTGCAGTGAGCCATCATTGTGCCACTGCACTCCCTTGGGCAACAGAGTGAGACTTTGTCTCAAAAAAATTAAAATTCAGCATCACCTCCTCTCCTCTCACTACACACACACACACACACACACACACACACACACACACACACACACGGTGGGGTGGTCAGAGAGGTACTTTTTTGGCTTCCATATACCATTAACACAGAGTCTGTATTCTAAAAATTATCTCTTTTATCAATGTTGCTGACTTGCGACCCACAGGCCAGATTGAATCTCTAGGCCTACGGCACTGTGTTTTCAAAAATAAATTCAGATTGGCTGCCAACATTTAATTATCAAGCAATTCCATATGAAAATGAAGATTTCTGACTTCTTCTCGAAAAAAGTGAAAAGGAAAATTCAGCAATCCTGGGCCCACATGGCCACACTGCATGAATGTGCTAGGAATGAGAAGCAGCCTCCACATTTAGACAAGGCTCTCCAGTTCACTTCGGTCTCTACCCAGCCTACTGCACCTTATGTTACCTTTTAGGCCCCTGAAGGCACTATGTGATAACCCCTTCACCTGTGCATCCTTAGGTGCACCTACCCTGGAGCCTGCCACAATGTAGGTGATCAGTAGGGATTTCTGGAATAGATAAATACCTGTACAAGGAAGCAGCACAACAGCACTCCAAACAAGACCAAGAGAAAGTGCTTAGCAAAATGCCAGCATCCAAGACCAAGCTGCTTGTCCCATGCAGAGTGCCCCAGAGGGGAAGCAGGTATTTGCTCAATGGCTTTGAGGACTGCTATTTATTGCCCTCAAACAGCTATTATGCCTGCAATGTGCTCGGAACTGTCCAGGATGCTGAAGTGATTGAAGGTTGGCTTTCTTTTTTTTTTTTTGAGACAGAGTCTCGCTCTGTCGCCCAGGCTAGAGTGTAGTGGAGCGATCTTGGCTCACTGCAAGCTCCGCCCCCCGGGTTCACACCATTCTCCTGCCTCAGCCTTCTGAGTAGCTGGGACTACAGGCACATGTGACCACCCCAGCTAATTTTTTTGTATTTTTAGTAGAGACAGGGTTTTACCATGTTAGCCACGATGGTCTCAATCTCCTGACCTCGTGATCCACCCTCCTCAGCCTCCCAAAGTGCTGGGATTACAGGTGTGAGCCACTGCACCCGGCCTCAGCTATCTTTCTTGAAATGAACAAGTGATGTGGCACTGGGGGAGTTTGTCGAGCCTGGTTTGTGTGTTTTATCCAGAAGTGCTGGACAAAATGTGTTCCCACATTACGCAGCAAACAGGAACACCAGAATGACTGCCTCCTCATCAGAGCAGACTATTCCCACCAAACACTCCCCTAATCTTGTATACAGACAGAAAAAAAGGACCTGTCATTAGATACCCTGCTTCCCTTCCTTCAAATGATCCAATTTCACCCTCTCAATTTTTTCATAGCAGTTTTTCACCTGTCCTCTTGTGATTTTCCTAATACTTTTCTTTAAATCAACTAAAAATATATATATATAGAAAAAAATATATATATAGAGAGAGAGAGAGATGGTTTCGCTCTTGTTGCCCAGGCTGGAGTGCAATGGTGTGGTCTTGGCTCATTGCAACCTCTGTCTCCCGGGTTCAAGTGATTCTCCTGCCTCAGCCTCCCAAGTAACTGGGATTACAGGCATCCACCACCACGCCCAGCTAATTTTGTATTTTTCATAGAGATGGGGTTTCACCACGTTGGCCAGGCTGGTCTCAGACTCCTGACCTCAGGTGATTGGCCTGTCTCAGCCTCCCAAAATGTTGGGATTACAGGTGTGAGCCACCATGCCTGACCTAAATCAACTAAAATATTTTTATTTAATTATATCTTAAAAGGAAATGTTACAGAGGTCCACAATCCCTCATCTGCAATTCCAAAGTCCAAAAATAATCTGAAAACTGCAAGTTTTCCCCCAAAGTTTAAGTCAAACTTATTTATCAGCAAAACTTGACCTGAAGTAATGTGAGGCTATTTATTTATAGTCTCTATTTATTCCAATTAGTGTGGCTTGTCACAGATTTCTTCACAGAAATATTAATGTGTTTGCTTACAAGGTGCTTCCCCAGACACTGCTGGGGGTATGAAGTTACATACAGTAAATGTACAGGGTGATCTTTTCAAAATCTGAGAAATTCTGAATTCTGAACTATATCTGTCCCCAGGGGTTTTCGTAAGGGTTTATGAACCTGTCATACCACCATAAGTAGAAAATCAGTACCACCTGCTAGAAGAAGAGAAGATGACCGTAAAAATAAATATAATTAAACTACATATTGTAATTTTAAGAAAAAATGTTTTTTAAAAACACCTAAACTCACACAGATCTCCTCTGACCCCATCAGCAGAGCCTGGTCACAAGCCTCTAAATTCCAAGGCCCATCACCTGTTTCCCTGTGTGATTTGAAATGGGGTCAAGCTCCCATTTCTCCTTGAAGAACTGAGCACCTACTTTGAATATCTCATCAGGAAGGCATTTTATTGCTGATGGCTGGAAATATGGCATCAAATCCTTGTCAAGCATCCGGAGCTCTGCCTTAGTTAATCCAGCTGGGGAGAAAAAGGAATCACGGGGGTTTAGTTCAAGCCATCAGAACTCCGCTTGTTTTATTAATGGTGCTGCATAATGTTCAGATCTGAGTGTTCTAGGCAGGCATCATTCCTTACAAAAGGCCCTGGAAATCACACTGGGGAATCAAGTTCCTTCATCAACTCAGAAAAAAAAAATGTGGGTCACATTAGCCCTGATTGGCCTCCTACAGTGAAACGCATGCCCAGAAGGAACTTCAATTTACACACTTTCAAATTTTGTATAAACCTACTTAGGGGCCAATTAAATCACATTCTAAACTAGCGGTTTTCCAAACTTTAGTGTACACAAGAATCTCCAAAAGAGCTTGTTTTAAAAGCAGATTTGCAGACCCACCCTCTGCAACTTCAAATCATGAAATGTAGGTTCTACTGTAACGCCACTGATGTTTGCTACACATGGCCAAGGATAATGTTTTATTTTGTGTCCCCACATTTAAGTTTGGAAAGAGAGAGAAAGGTATGCTCAGGGTGAGTCTTACCTGCAATGGTCCCAAGCTCCTGCAAGACAGAACTGGTCCACTCAGTGGGATCCCCAAACACAACTTCAGCCTTCCTCTTAAACTCGGCTAAGACATGTGTGCTGCAGAGCAGGGTCCCAATTCTGGCCACTACCACCCTGGTAGTGGTTAAAGAGGGAGGGATATAATATGAGCTTGGACTCTTCAGCCAAAAACAAACAAACACACACACACACACACACACACACACACACATACACACACACACTGCACAGTAGGCTCAGCAGGGACAGCAGATCCAGCTTATCCCATTAGCCCAGTGGGATTTTAGCCCAGAAAGGTGCCAAGTGTCAGGAGGTGGAATATCTGGATGGATGGATGGATGGATGGATGGATGGATGGATGGATGGATGGATTAACCCATTTGCCATTTTGCACATTCATATTTTAGTTACCTGAATTCTGAGATCTTTATAAGTGGGATTTCAGTGATGTTTATAGCACACAGGGTTGCACCAAGTCCTACCAAATGAAAGCTCTTCAGGTCCTGGATACTGTATCCTGAATCATCCAGGTACCCTTGCAAAATGGATTCAGCCTAAAAAATAGTAAGAATAAAAGATAAACCATCCAGGAATGATCAAGGTCCCCAGGCCTGAGGGGATAAATAAGCTGTTGCTGTAGTCTCCTGACTGATCTCCCTTCCTACTCCTCTGGAATCCCCACTCCAAACCATCCTGGCCTCTGCATCCAAGTTCATGTCCTTAAGATACTACTTCAACTGAGTATGTCCCCTAATCTATGGAAGTGTCTTCAGGCAACGAATCTCTTACATCCTTCACCAATATTAAAGGCACTTGTGTCCTGTGTGTCTGCTGCTTATTTCCTTCAGTCACTCTTATGACCCTCAGACAGTTTGGACATACAACTTCTTCTGCATCAGGATCCAAACTTTTCCAGCATCTTTTTCCACAACGTTTCTTCTCCCTTTTTTTTTTTTTTTTTCGTTTTTTGGAGACGGAGTCTTGCTCTGTCACCCAGGCTGGAGTGCAGTGGCACAGCTCGCTGCAACCTCCACCTCCCCAGGTTCAAGCAATTCTCATGCTTTAGCCACCCAAGTAGCTAGAATTACAGGTGCACATCACCACATCTGGCTTTTTGTATTTTTTGTAGAGACGGGGTTTCACCATGTTGCCCAGGCTGGTATCAAACTCCTGACCTCAAGTGATCCACCCACCTCGGCCTCCCAAAGTGCTGGGATTATAGGCATGAGCCACCGCACCCAGCCTTTCCACAACCTCCAACAAAACCTTATAATTTCCTGTCTCTTTGCCTTTGTTCAAACCAGTCCTTTCATCTGAAATGCCCTTCTGCACTTCCAAGTGCAGACATTCTTTTTTTTTTTTCTTTGGTTCAACTCAAATGTCACCTTCTTCATGAGGTTTCAGCCAGAATGATTTTTTCTTCCTCTATGGTCCTACAGAAATATGTTTACCCCTTAATGATTTTTTCTTCCTCTGTGGTCCTACAGAAATATGTTCACCCCTTCAATTCCAATGTTTACTCTTCAATTCCAAGAGTAGCACACAAAATACTTTGGTGTTAAACTATTTTAAACTAAGCCTTGATTTAAGGCGGCTGACACATAAGTCTCCATAATTCTAGCACAGTGGCTATTCATCATTCATAACTTCCTCTGGAGAACCACCTCTCTTGTATTCCTGCTTCATGTGGTTCAGTCAAAGCTAACTGCACCAAGTTCCAGGAGTGATGAATTTCAATTCATACCTTAGCCTAGCTGCAGTCACTGGTTCTGGATTGGACATGTGATTTAACCAGAGTCAACCAGAACTTTGAGTGGAGCATTAGGGGAAGAGCTTTCTTTACTCTGGACTTGAACTTAGAAGGATATACACAAGGATCTGCTGGAACCTACCACATGCAGGCATAGAGCCTGTCTCTCAATGAAGCCAACACAAAGAAAAGCAAAGTTCAAAAACATGATAAGAGACAGATTCCCACCCAGAGTGTTGAAGATCCTGGATCCAGCTGTATCTGAACACTACCCCTGAACTTTCCAGTAATGGGAGTCAATAAATTCCTTTTTTTTTTTTTTTTTTTTTTTTTGAGACAAGGTCTCACTCTGTCACCCAGCCTGGAGTGCAGCGGCATGATCTCTGCTCACTACAACCTCCCTCTCCCAGGTTCAAGCGATTCTCATGCCTCAGCCTCCCCAGTAGCTGGGATTACAGGCAGGCATGAACATGCCTGGCTGATTTTTGTATTTTTAGTAGAGAAGTAGTTTCACTGTTGGCCAGGCTGGTCTCAAACTCCTGACCTCAAGTGATCTGCCCGTTTCAGCCTCCCAAAGTTCTAGGACTACAGGTATGAGCCACTGCACACTGCACCCAGCCCCTTTATTTGTTCAAGCCAGTTTGTGTTGGGTTTTCTGCCACTTGTAACTAAACATGTGCTGATTCATTTTATCTACCTATGTAGGACCTGAGGAGGCATCCAAGCCAATCCTATGAAGATCAGCTACAAAATAAAGTCTGGGCTGGGCACGGTGGCTCACACCTGTAATCCCAGCACTTTGGGAGGCCGAAGCAGGAGGATCACTTAAAGTCAGGAGTTTGAGACCAGCCTGGCTGACATGGTGAAAGCTTGTCTCTACCAAAAAATACAAAAATTAGCCAGGCATGGTGGCACGTGCCTGTGGTCCCAGCTACTTGGGAGGCTGAGGTGGGAGGATTGCTTGAGCCTGGGAGGTGGAAGTTGCAGTGATCCAAGATTGTGCCACTGCACTCCAGCCTGGGTGACAGAGGGAGACTCTGTCTCACAAAATAAAGTCTGGTTCCTTCAGTGCTCATGGGAGCAAGTAAAAGAGATTATAAGACCTCACAAGGCAAAGATGAGGAGACATCCAAGGAGAGACCCCTAAGTGGAAGCGAAAATCACAGGCTATAGTCAATCTTCCCAACTCTCTTTGCTTTTTTTTGTTTTTTTTTTTGAGACAGCGTCTCACTGTGTCACCCAGGCTGGAGTGCAGTGACATGATCTTGGCTTACTGCAACCTCCATCCCCCAGGGTTCAAGTAATTCTTATGCCTCTGACTCCCAAGTAGCTGGGATTACAGGCGCCCGCCACCACACCCAACTAATTTTTTGTGTTTTTAGTAGAGACAGGGTTTCACCATTTTGGCCAGGCTGGTCTCAAACTCCTGGCCTCAAGTGATCTACCCACCTCAGCCTCCCAAAGTGCTGGGATCACAGGCATGAGCCACCATGCCCGGCCCCCATCTCCGTTTAATGTTAGTCATCCCCATCACACAATATAGATCATTAAGGTGTTGAGAGAAAGTGTTGAGGAAGATTGTGAAATGTTGCAATGAAATTCCGTCTTCATGGGCTGGTGCTTCCCACCCCTCAGGTGTGTTTAAATGCTACCTACTCAGAGAAAACTGCCCTCTGGACTCTTTTATCTCAAACAGCCCTTCTTCCCACTATTCCCATGAGCACCTTGTCCATTTTCCGCATCACTTATCGTGATTTTTCAAATTTTTCACTTTGATTACTCACTTTTTTGTCTGTATCACCAAGTAGGCTCCCAAAAGAAAAGGACCATATCCAGGTAGTTTACCAATGAGTCCCCAGCACCTAGCATAATGCCTGCCACAGAGTAGGAGTTCAATAAGTACTTCTTGAGTAAGTAAATGAATGAGTGAATGAATGAATGAATGAAACAACATCTGAGTGAGTGACTTACAAAAGTCGTGGGCAATATATATTATTTGACATGCTTCATTTTGCTGCCTTCATGTAATAGACTGGCTTCAGGAAGATTTCTCATGTTTCTGAAAATCGGACTGGTCAGTGTCCTCATCAAGTTGTCCTCCATGATTACAAAGCTCACAGCTACTATGGGGGCGGGGGATGCAGTAACACCATGCTTAGACTTATATGTCTTTGACTTAATGGGACTGTATATCCAAAGTGGTAATAGCTAACATTTATTGTAGCTAACATTTCTTGAGTGCATACTGTGTGCTGGCACCACTTTGACCACTTTACACATACTATCTCATCTAATCCTCCTAAATAACACTATGAGGTAAGTATTAATAGTATCCCTAGTTTGCAGATGAGCAAACTGAGGCAAGGAGAGGTTAAGTAACTAGGCCAAGATCACACAGCTAGAAAATGATCGTTCTGGCCAGGCGCCGTAGCTCCTGCCCGTAATCCCAGCACTTTGGGAGACAAAGGCGGGCAGATCACCTGAGGTCGGGAGTTGGAGACCAGCCTGACCAACATGGAGAAACCCCGTCTCTACTAAAAATACAAAATAAGCAGGGTGTGATGATGCATGCCTGTAATCCCAGTTACTCAGGAGGCTGAGGCAGGAGAATTGCTTGAACCCGGGAGGCAGAGGTTGCAGTGAGTGGAGATTACACTCCAGCCTGGGCAACAAGAGCAAAACTCATTCTAAAAAAAAAAAAGAAGAAGAAGAAAGAGAAAAGAAAATGATGGTTCTAGGATCAAAACCCAGGCAGTCTGATTCCAGGGCCCATACTCTTAGCCAGTGAAGGTGTTTGGCTATGGAGAAAAGATGGAGATTCAAGTTAGTTTTCAAATTTTTCTTATTAAGTCTTCATAATCAGGTTTCACTAGTTGACTCAGAGCAATTTGGGCTCCTCAACTATCAGGCATGCTCACTTTAAAATGAAAGTGCAAAAATACAATTTAAATAAAATTACTTTGAAGATATGGTATTAAATTGTCCTTGCCACTGAAACCCGGAAAATGCAAGCTCAGCCTGCAAGGTGATAAGTTAAAATAAATTTCCTTGAGTGACGAGACCAGTGTATATGTAATGATTCCAAGACAATTAATACCAACACTTTTAGGCAATATTAACTGTTGAAAAATGAATAGCTTTAAGATTTCAATCTCTCTGTTCATCCCTCTGGCTTCTATAATAGTTTTTTCCCTTATATTGGTTTTTGAGCTGAACTATCTGTTAATGTAGTTCCGTCAGGTCTGACTATTAATCTAGAAACCTGCATTTAAGGTTGATTGGGAGCTAAAGTTGAAGAACTGACTACAAATGATACATGCAAATGTTAGGTTTTCATATCCTCTTCAAACATATTGATAAATCTCACTGCCATCCATGAGAATTAAAATCGGTGCGAAGGGAAGGAGATACCCTAGTTTCTGGATGTATTTTTCTGTTTCTCCGAGCCTGCAAATAGAATGATTTTAATAGCACAGTGTGATGTGGCACTTCTCAAACTAGTCAAAACCAGTTTTAGAGTCAAAGAACCATGGGATTATAGAATATCAGACTGGAAGGAACCTCAGATTGTTGGGGCTAACCCTCTCATCTTGCAAAGGAGGAGACTAACCCAGAGAAAGGGGCTGTAATGATGATAATGTTGATGATGACAATGCAATGATGTCAATATCAACATAAAAACAGCTAATTTTTATTGACTACTATGTACCAGACATTGTTCAAAATGTTTTCAAGTATTAACTCATGTAATCTTCATGGCCAGGATCTGCATGTTGCCCAGCTCCAGGGGTGCACCATTCACAGTGTATTCTGTTTGAATGGTGCCACTCAGAGTTATGAAACATGGCCACCGTGATTACAAAAAGCTCAAAAGAGTAGGGGGACATTCATTGGTTTTGGCTGCTCAGCGTCCACACTTTTTCTTTGGAAAATTACCCTCCATTAGCTTCCTATTGCTACTCTACCAAATTACCCCAAACATAGTGGCTTTAAAACTACACGTTTATTCTCTTATAGTTCTGGAGACTGTATGTCCTAAAATGGACTAGAAGGATGGGTTCCTTCTGGGAGTTCTAAGAAGAATTCATTTTCTTGCTTTTTCTAGCTTCAAGAGGCCACCTGCATTTCCTTGGCTCATAGCCCCATCCTCCATCTCCAAAATCAGCAGCAGAGCACCTTCAGATCTCTTTCTAGGTCCCTCTGCTTCCATTATCATGTCACCTTCTCTATCTATGACCCTCCTTGCTCCTTCTTAAAAGGACCCTTGTGATTACATTGGGCCCACCCAAATAATCCAAGATAACCTCCTCATCTCAAGATCCTTAATCGCATCTTCAAAGTCCCTTTTGCTCCATAAGTTAACATAGTCACAGCTTCCAGGGGTTCAGACATGGACATCTTTGGGGGACCTTAATCAGCCCACCACATATCCTTCCCCACTCGGCTCATGTGGTCATGAGATGCTGATAAGATGGACTCCGCTCCCTGATGCAGGCCTCGCCAACCAACATATTCAACCCCTGACCAGAGTGGTTGCTCAGGGGCGGGCAACTACATGAGTGGAGTCAATGCTGAGGCTTTTCCAAAAACTAATAAAGAAGAGGCACATTTTTATGGGCTTGTTAATTAGGTTGTATATAAGCCTAGTGCTGAAAATGACCACTGAGAGAGCTGCCTAAGAACGAAGATAACATGGAAGGGCTAACACTTCCCTTTCCAGCAGTACAGTGGATTAGACACCCTAAACTCCTCTCCCAATCAAAACAATTAAAATTCTGGGAAGAACTTCTTCTTTAGCCCATGAAGGATTAATTAACATAGGAATTGGCCACCCACCATAAACAACTAGAAAATTTAACAAAATACATCAGACAACTGCATCCGGATATGGAACAACAGAATCATAATCCCAGAAGAAGAAAAACAAACAAGATGAGCCTTAAAATTACCCTCACTTACTGCCAAAAAGCAGTTTCCAAGACATGGATCAGGAAGAGGAACCAAAACAAGCCCAGTGGCCCAGCTGAGTTGAGGATACAGATATCCAAGTTCAGAGAGGCCACGGCACTTATCACTTGGGCAAAGTATTGGAGAGGAGGAAACTGCAGAGGGTTCCAGAAAGCTGCAGAGATGTCTAGTACTGACTGCTATTTTGCACATGCAAAGAGTGAAACTCCACATAGGCAGGAAAAGAGTCATCAGTAATCAGAAAGGATTAGGCTGAGCAACTTCCAGAGCTCATATGGAGCTGGAAATAGTTCACATTCTCACCAGCCAAAGTAGAGAGATCTTGAAATACATGGAGCATTAGGTAACATCCTCAAAGGAATCATGTCACAGTAATGATGATAAATTAACAACAGAATAAAGGTCACTCTGGTTTTACCCTAACAAAACTCAAAAGGAAGCATCAAAAGGATCAAGCTGATTTGAAAGTAACTTAAGTGTATGACAGAACAAAGCCCAATACTCTTCAAAGAAATACAACTAAATCAAATACTCAACAATGTAAAATCCACAATGCTCATCACCCAATCAAAATTGCTAGGCTTGCAAACAAAAAAAGAAAATATGACTCATAACTAAGAGAAAAATCAGTCAACAGAAACAGACTCAAAAATGACCATCATGAGGAAATTAACAGTAAGGATATGAAGGCAGCTCTTATAAATATGGAATAGTTAAAAGACCCAGAAACATCCACCCACCTGTCCCGGGGTCCATTCTGTTTGCCAGCTTAGGGAAGCCACAGTGTCTATGGAGCTGAGGTCCAGCTGCTCCAGCTCACTCTCATTAAGAGCCAGAGCAATGCGCCCCAGGGAGACGATATGGTGTTCTCTCCAGTAAGATGGCATGTCCCAAACCTTTAGGCAAAAAAAGAAAATAGATTAGACTGAACACTGTGATGGTATTTACAATGATTTGAATGTTTGTGCCCCTCTAAAATGCATATGTTAAAACCTAATCTCCAATGTGATAGTATTGGAAGGTTGGGCCTTGGGAGATGATTAGGTCATAAGGGTGGAGCCCTCATGAGTGGGATTAGTGCCCTTGTAAAAGAGACCCCAGAGAGCTAGCTACAAGCTAGTCCCTTTCCACCATGTGAGGACACAGTGAGAAAGCACCATCTATGAAAAACAAGTCCTTACCAGATACTGGATCTGCCAGTGCTTCAATTTTTGATTTCTCACCCCCCAGAACTGTGAGAAATAAATTTCTGTTTATAAGTTACCAGTCTATGATATTTTGTTATAGCAGCCTGAATGGACAAAGGCAGTATCTAAAATAGACATAAGGAGGCTAGGTGCGGTGGCTCACACTTGGAATCTCAGCATTTTTGGAGGCCAAGGCATGCAGATCACATGAGGCCAGGAGTTCAAGACCAGCCTGGCCAACATAACGAAACCCTGCCTCTACTAAAAATACAAAAAAAAAAAATTAGCTGTGCATGGTGGCGCACATCTGTAATCCCAGCCACTTGGGTGGCTGAGGCACAAGACTCACTTGCAGAAGTTGCAGTTAGCCAAGATGGTGCCACTGTACTCCAGCCTGGGTGACAGAGCGAGACCCTGTCTCAAAGAAATAAAAATAAAACAGACATAGGGAAACCTATTGTGCAGCATGGTGACCACAGTTGATAATAATGTGTTGAACGGTTGAAAATTGTGAAGAGAGTAGATGTTAAATATTCTCACAACAAAAACTGACAACGGACAAGTATGAAAGGTGATTGACATGTTAGCTTGCTTTAACCATTCCCCAATGTATACATACATCAAAACATCATATTGTATATATGTATACACCATAAATATATATAATTTGTATTTGTCAACTATCCCTTAATAAAAAATAAATAAAAATTAAAAAGACATAGGGTAAATCTTAATATAAAGCTCTCTTTTAAATCAATAATAAAAAGATGACTATATTTGTTTTAAAAAAAAGATAGACAAAAGACATCAACAAGGAATTCACAAAAGAAAAATTAAATGTATGGGGAAAACTTTATTCTCAGTCATAATTAAAGAAATATACATTAAAAACAATCAGACCATGTTGATTCATCACATGTCAAGAAGTATAAAGACTTATCACCATTTACGATACTGGAAAGATACAAGGTAAGGGATACCCTCATTTGTTGTAGTTGAGAATATAAGTTGGTACATACTCTTGAGAGGGCAATTTGGCTATCTGTATCAAAAGCTTTTAAAGTATTTATATTCTTTGACCCAGAAATTCCACCTCTGGGAATTTAGCCTGAGTAAATGAGACAAGTACCCAACAGTATATGTATAAAGGCATACATTGAGGCATTTTTTTAATGCAACCTGAAAGTCTAACAATTAGCTAAATAAATAAGAACTAACCATAAATAAAATGAAGTTGCCCCTGTGGATACCTCCACCAAGGATTGGTTCCAGGACTTCTTAAAGATACCAAAATCCATGGATATTCAAGTCCCTTATATAAAATAGTGTAGTATTTGCATATAATCTATGCACATCCTCATGTATACTTTAAATCATCTCTAGATTAGTTATAATACCTGATGCAATATAAGTGCTATGTAAATATGTACAAAATGTTATGTCAAAAATGCTACTGTATTTTTATGTGTATTGTTTTTTATTGTTATATTGTTATTTGGATCATTTTTTCTAAATACATTCTACCTGAGGTTGGTTGAATCTGCAGATGTGGAACCCACTGATATGGAAGGCTAATTGTATTACAAAGCTATTTAAAATACTGATATAGGCTAGATGCTGTGGCTTACGCCTGTAATCCCAACACTTTGGGAGGCCAGGCAGACAGATCACTTGAGGTCAGGAGTTCGAGACCAGCCTGGCCAACATTGTGAAACCCCATCTCTACTAAAAATACAAAAATTAGCCGGGCATGGTGGCGGATGCCTGTAATCTCAGCTACTTGGGAGGATGAGGCAGGAGAATTGCTTGAACCTGGGAGGCAGAAGTTGCAGTAAGCCAAGACCACACTATTGTACTCCAGCCTGGGCAACAAGAACAAAACTCCATCTCAAAAAATAAATAAATAAATAAAATACTGACATAGATGTACATTTTGGATATGAAAAAATATGCAGTCTGTACTGTTGGGTGTAGAAAGCAAGTTATTGAATAGTAGGTAAGTATAATATCATTTTTGTAAAACATGAGATATATGTATGAAATATATAAAATAATATTTTTTATATACATAGTTTTGGAGTCTGGTAAGCTTCAAGTGAATATACCAAAATATCAACAGTGCTTATCTGCTGAACAGTGCTTATCAAAATATCAACAGTGAGTAAAAGATTATCACTGATTTTCTTCTTTATTATTTTCTGACTTTTCTACAATAAACTTGAAGTACTCATATAATACATAAATACAGTTATATTTATAATTTTAAGACATTGAATTGTTTAACCCTTGAGGGTAACTAGATATTCCACAACCATGTAAAGAGCTAAAACAGGGCTGGGTGCAGTGGCTCATGCCTGTAATCCCAGCACTGTGGGAGGCCAAGGTGAGCAGATCTCTTGAGGCTAGGGGTTTGAGACAAGCCTGGCCAAACAAACCCCGTCTCTACTAAAATACAATTATTAGCCAGGCATGGTGGCTTGTGCCTGTAGTCCCAGCTACTCAGGTGGCTGAGACACAAGAATCACTTGAACCCGGGAGGCAGAGTTTGCAGTGAACCACAGATCGCGCTGCTGCCCTCCAGCCTGTACGACAGAGCAAGACTCTGTCTTAAAAGAAAAAGAAAAAAAAAAGAAAGAAAAGCTAAAACAGGCCACAAAGGGACCTTTTCCTTTTATTTATTTATTTGAGACAGAGTCTCGCTCTATCACCAGGCTGGAGTGTAGTGACGCAATCTCGGCTCATGGCAGCCTCCGCCTCCCGGGTTCAAGCAATTCTCCTGCCTCAGCCTCCCGAGTAGCTGGAACTACAGGTGCATGCCACCTGTAGAGATGGGGTTTCACCATGTTGGCCAGGCTGGTCTCGATCTCTTGACCTCGTGATCCGCCTCCCAAAGTGCTGGGATTATAGGCATGAGCCACTGCACCCAGCCTATTTTTATTTATTTTTGAGACAAGGTATCAGCTCTGACGCCTAGGCTAGAGTGCACTGGCGCAATCTTGGCTTACTGCAACCTCCACCTCCCGGGTTCAAGCCATTCTCCTGCCTCAGCCTCCTGAGTAGCTGGAACTACAGGCACATGACACCACGCCTGGCTAATGTTTGCATTTTGAGTAGAGACAGGGTTTCACCATGTTGGCCAGCCTGGTCTCGAACTCCTGACCTCCTGTGATCCACCCGCCTCGGCCTCCCAAAGTGTTGGGATTACAGGCATAAGCCACTGCACCCAGCCAACAAAGGGACCTTTTTAAAGATGGAAAGCTACTTCCAGTCCTCTTTTTACTCCTTTCTGTTATATTTTCAGACAAATTTGCAAATGATTCTGAGAAAACCTGCTGTGAGCAGCAGCTGGGGCTCTCCAGGTGAAGGAATAAAGCCTAATTCCTGCAAACCGCCTTGGTCAGAGGCACTGGGACATCCACAGAACTTGATTCACTGAGCATCTGCTAGATGCCAAGACACATCTCATCCCATTCTCTGCCACAGCCCTAAGAGGGAGGAACTGGAAATTTCCTCCTTTCTCAGATAAGGAGATCACAATATCACTGAGCTGATGCAGTAAAATTTCAAGATGATGTATGGGAAAACTGCTCGAGGAGGGTTCTATGTGCAGAAATGCTGAACTGGTTTTGGTGTTTTTCTTTTTTCCTCTGTTTAATGTTTCCTCCCTGAGGTGGGCTTCACCTGTATTGCTTTCTCCTTCAGGGTCATCAGCTGAGGCCGGCTGAAACCCTGGACAGCTCCCAGCAGTTCCACGGTCCTGATGAATGTGTCTTCCTCCATGCACCGCAGGTCCTCCAGGGCCCAGCAGGCGTTGGCTTCGGCCAACTTGAAGATGTCATCAGAAGAGGGGGCCACGACTCCATGGCAACCTGAAGAAAGGAGAGATGCAGGGAAGGAGAAGAGGAAAGAGAATTTCAGGAAATGTTAGTGTATTGAAATGAGTAACATTCTTTGCCAGTCAGATTTATGCATGGAAGGGACTACAGAGTAAAAGCAGAGAGCAGGAGGCAGGGACCAGTTTGAATCCCACTTCTGCCATTTCTTGCTAATTACTGGGTAACAAAGTCATGGAAATGCCAGCTTTTTGCACATCCACATGCACAAACTAGGAGCGGTGCAACATTACAATTAAACTACAAATTCCTTGAGGGCAGTAAGAGCTGGTGGTGAACAGTCCTGACTTTCGATTCAAATCCAAGGCTATTTAACCTCTCTGTATTTCAGTTTTCTTGTCTATAAAATGGAAATAAAATCGCCTCATAGGATGGTTGTGAAAACTAAATGTGTTATATGTAAAGCACTTAGAACAGTGCCACGCATACAGTAAGCACTCGATACACAATTTCTGTTGCCTATCTTACCCCCTATGCCTTTGAGTTTGCAGCCCAGCATAAAGATTCCAAAATTATGCAGCAGCCTTCCTATAAAAATGGGAAGATGGGCTGTGCGGTGGCGCATGTCTTTAATCCCAGCACTTTGGGAGGCCAAGGCAGAAGGATCACTTGAGCCCAGGAATTCAAGACCAGCCTGGGCAGCATGGTAAGACCTCACCTCTAAAAAAAAAAAAACTACAAAATATTAGCTAGGCATGGTGGCACATGCCTGTAGTCCCAGCTACCCAGCAGGCTGAGGTGGGAGGATCACCTGAGCCTGGGAGGTCAAGATTGCAGTGAGCCGTGATCACACCTATTCTCCAGCCTGGGTAACGGTGAGACCCTGTGTCAAAATAAAATAAAAAATAAAAACCAGGAAGATGAGTTGCTGTCCATGAAAATCATAGTGGGGGTTGTGGCTTTCCCATCCCAAGAGAAAAGAGAAATGAGCCCATTGCATTTCTCTTGGCAACAGGAAAAACATCCATTTCGGTCTTTGAATAATGTGAACCTTACCTACTCAAACCAGCTACCAACCAACATGCAAGTGAGATATTGTCTTTGCTGGATCTGATGTGCCCAACCTGGGAGAAAACTCTAGGATCCTTAAGAGCAACCCTGGATTTCTTATCTTAGCCGCAGACCACCACTGATGCTGACAGATGCACCAACCCCACCCAAGGCCAGGGTATTTCCCGAGCCCCATGGCCTCTCTCTTCTCATTGCACCTTCAATGGAAATTCACTGCATTCCAATCACGAGGCAAAAGTAGACCAGATCAAAGATGCCAGTTGTGGTCCTCAAACATCTTTATCATAAGCCACTTGGAGAGGACTAAAGACCCATCCCTCCCTAGGCCAACCCCCAGCCCACCCTCTAGTGAAAACAACATCAGTGATAGCACAGAACTAGAGAGGGCAGAATGGTTGACTAGTATATCAGGAACTTGGTCTTATCACTGTGTCTGTCCAGGGCTTAGAATAGAGCCTGGTACATCGTAGGTGTTCAGCAAATATCTGTGGAGTGAGTGAACACACACACACAAATTAATATAAAACCAAGCGGTAATTCTGCTAATCCATCAATCACTAAAGCACAGCAGCAATTAATACCCAGAACCAACTAAAGAACACTCAAACTATGCACTGATACCAGAGCTTCCTTCCCCTGAGCATGGAAAGCCTTATTTTGTGTACCACATGCACACAGTAAGAGCTCTGCAATATGATGACATGGACTGCTAGACCTTGAGGGCAGTGGGAGCCAGTGGTGGTCACCACCAACTTTGGGTACAAATCCAAGAACTGCCATTTACTAACTCTGTGACTTTAGACAAGTCCCTTAGTCTCCTAAGCCCCAGTTTCCTTCATTTAAAAAACAAGAGAACACCCAAGCCTGGAAATCTGCAGCCCTAAATGGGAATAGGCATTCCTGTTTTCACGCCCAAATGTTAGGTTTTGGCCTGCCACATCCCACTATCCTGTACCCATATAAACCCCAAACCCCAGGCTCCATGAGCATACAAGCAGATGAGCAGATGAACAGAAGAGAAGAGGAGCAGAAGAGCAGCATGGCAGAGAAAGGAGCATCTGAAGGCCAAGAAGAGTTTGGCTGGGGACAGTTGGAGAGGAGATTGGTCACAGGACAGCCAAACTCCAGGGGAAGATCATCTTCCCACTCCATCCCCTTTCTAGCTCCCCATCCATCCCACCGAGAGCCACCTCCATTACCCAATAAAACCCCACATTCACCAAGAAAAAAAAAAACGGGAGAACAAGATAATGCATGGAGGGATAATCACCCAAGGTAGACACAAATCCAATTGTGATACTTCTTTGCTCGATGTCACACGATGCCTCCACCCAGAGTAAAAGCCAAAGTCATTAGGGTTTCCTTTAACAGTCACTACATGGCTGGCCTTGTCTCTCACTCCCCTCCAAACACACTGGCCCTTACCTCCCACTCATGGAAGTGGTCCTGTTGCACTCTCTGCCTGGAAGACTCTAATTGAAAATATCCACATGGCCCACTCTCCCTTGGGTCTTCATTCAAATGTCACCTTCTCAATAAGATGTTCCTTCATGATTCTCTTTTCACATGACAGTCCCCTCTCAACACTCGTGGTGCATTCCCTTGCTTTATTTTCCTTCTTGGCACTTTTCATACAATATACCATATATTTTACTTATGTATGGAAATTTATTGTCTTGCTACCCTCCATTTGAAAGTAAGCTCTTTATTTACAAAATTGGTGCTTAACGAATATTTGTTGGGTGGATGAAAGCAAGCACTGACTGTCAACTACTATCACTGGGGGTGATTAACTTTGTCTCCTCATGCCTGGCCCCAGTCTGCACTTAGTAGGTGCATGGTAATAATAATAAAATATCTAACACTTGGACAGGCATGGTAGCTCACATCTATAATCCCAGCACTATGGGAGACCAAGGCAGGAGGATCACTTGAGGCTCAGAGTTCAAGATCAGCCTGGGCAACACAGTAAGACCCTATCTCTACAAAAAAATAAAAAATTATCCAGATGTGGTGGTTCATGCCTGTAGTCCCAACTACTTGTGAAGCTGAGGTGGGAGGATCCCTTGAGTCCAGGAGGTCGAGGCTGTAGTGAACCATGATTGCTGCACTCCAGCCTGGGTGGCAGAGCGAGGCCCTGCCTCTATAAAATCAAATTTTAGGCCGGGGGCAGTGGCTCACGCCTGTAATCCCAGTATTTCGGGAGGCCAAGGCAGGTGGATCACCTGAGGCCAGCGTTCAAGACCAGCCTGGCCAACATTGTGAAACCCCGTCTTTACTAATAATACAAAACTTAGCCAGGCGTGGTGGCACATGCCTATAATCCCAGCTAGTCAGGAGGCTGAGGCAGGAGAGTTGCTGTAATCTGGGAGGTGGAGGTTGCAGTGGGCCGAGATCATGCCACTATACTCCAGCCTGGGTGACACTCCAGCAAGACTCCATCTCAAAAAATAAAAAAAATCAAATTTTAAAAATATATAATACTTATTAAAGATCTGCTACATGCCAGGCATTCCGGTAAACATGTTTCTGGGTTTAAACCCATTAATTCTCACAATAACCCAGTGAGGTAGAGACTTTCATTATCCCCATTTGATAAAGGATGAAAACTGAGGCACACAGAGGTTAAAGAGCTTACCCAAAGCCACACAGCCAGTAAGTGGCAGACTCAGGAGTGAAATGTAGCCAGCCCGGCCCTGTCACTGCTATGTTAAACCACTAATCCATGTTGGTCCTCTAAGTCAATCCTACTGAAATGTTTGTTACACATATTCACGCATTAAACCTACTAGCCTGGGTATGGAGTATGGGACATGATACCAGGTCACTTTACAAAAGTGTAACTCTTTTTTTTTTGAGACAGAGTCTCGCTGTCACCCAGGCTGGAGTGCAGTGGTGCCATCTCAGCTCACTGCAACCTTCACCTCCTGGGTTCAAGCAATCCTCGTGTCTCAGCCTCCTGAGTAGCTGGGACTACAGGTGTGCACCACCACACCCGGCTAATTTTTGTGTTTCTAGTAGAGACAGGGTTTCGCCATGTTGGCCAGGCTGGTCTCGAACTCCTGACCTCAAGTGATCTGCCTGCCTCAACCTCACAAAGTGCTAGGATTACAGGCTTGAGCAATCGCACCTGAACCAAAAGTGTAATTCTTTTGCTTATAGATTTTGTCATTCTATTGCTTTGCAGACATTTCATCCAGTTCCCTGCATAAGGAGGCCTCTTGATGTTAGGGACCCTGCCCAAAACATTAATTACTATGCCAACAGTGGCTCAGATACCCTGGAAACACTCACCAGGCATAGGGTCAGAGCTGGGGATCTTATCACTGCTGTTCCGAACAGACTGAAAGACAGCCCAGAGGAATTATTTAGGGGGCAGGGTCCTGGCCATCTTGGAAGCTGCTTGCAGAAGGATCTCAGGAAACTGTGTGAAAGAAGATGAAAGAAGAGGAATAATAATTAAAACCCCTTAAATACAGATTGAAATTAGAGTTGAAACTGTCACACTACTTACTGCCTTCATTCTTTGTTATAGCAACTTCTCATATAAATCTATTCCCTAGTCCCACTAATGTGGTCTCTATAAAGAATCCTATAAAATGATACTCAACTTCAATAAAAATCCAATAAAGTCTAAAAAACATAAGTAAATCACTTTTCACCCATCAGATTGTCAAAAATAAAATAAAGTGCTAATACTTAATGCTGGGCACATTCATTTTTCCGTGGGACTGTCAAACTGTGCACTATTAGCAGAGCAATCTGGTAATATCGACAAAAAAATTTAGGTTAGGCCAGGTGTGGTGGCTCATACTTGTAATCCCAGCATTTTGGGAGGTCGATGCAGGCAAATCACTTGAGGTCAGGAGCTCAAGACTGGCCTGGCCAACATGGTGAAACCCCATCTCCACTAAAAATACAGAAATTAGCCAGGCGTGGTGGCATGAGCCTGTCATCCCAGCTACTTAGGAGGCTGAGACAGAAGGATCACCCGAGCCCAGAAGGCTGAGGTTGTAGTGAGTCGAGAGCATGCCACTGCACTCCAGCCTGGGTGATGGGAGTAAAACCCTGTCTCAGAAAAAAACAAAAAAAAATGTATGTGTACCTACCCCTTTTTTGGTTTGGTGCTATTTCTAAGTTTTTACTAAACTTTATATTTGATATAGTTTGGATGTGTACCCCACCCAAATCTTATTGAAATGTAATCCCCAGTGTTGGAGGTGGGGCCCAGTGAGAGGTGATTGGATCATGGGGGCAGATTTCTCATGAATGGTTAAATACAATCCCCTTGGTACTGTCCTCACAATAGTGCGTGCGTTCTCTCGAGATCTTGTTGTTTAAATGCATGTAGCACCTCCCCCATCACGCTCTTGCTCCTGTGTCGGCCAAGTAAGATGTGTCTGCTCCCCCTTTGCCTTCCGCCATGATTGTAAGTTTCTTGAGGCCTTCCCAGAAGCTGGGCAGATGCCAGCATCATGCTTCCTGTACAGTCGGCAGAGCCACGAGCCAATCAATCCTCTTTTCTTGTCTCTTTTTTTTTTTTTTTCAGAGTCTTGTTCTGTTGCTCAAGCTGGAATACAGTGGTGTGATCTCCACTCACTGCAACCTCCACCTCCCAGGCTCAAGTAATTCTCGTGCCTGAGCCTCCTGAGTAGCTGGGATTACATGCATGCAGCACCAAGCCAGGCTAATTTTTTTTTTATTTTTATTGTAGACAAGGTTTCACTATCTTGGCCTGGCTGGTCTCAAACTCCTGGCCTCAAGTGATTCGCCCACCTCGGCCTCCCAAAGTGCTGGGATTACAGATGTGAGCCACTGTGCCTGGCAGTGTTTGTTTGTCTGTTTAGACGGAGTCTCGCTCTATCACCCAGGGTGGAGTGGGGGGCACGATCTCGGCTCACTGCAAGCTCCGCCCCCTGGGTTCACGCCGTTCTCCTACCTCAGCCTCCCGAGTAGCTGGGACTACATGCGCCCACCACCACGCCCAGCTAATTTTTTGTGTTTTTTTAGTAGAGACGGGGTTTCACCCTCTTAGCCAGGACGGTCTCAATCTCCTGACCTCGTGATCTGCCCGCCTCGGCCTCCCAAACTGCTGGGATTGCAGGCATGAGCCACTGCACCTGGCCCTTTTCATTTTATTTTTTTTAATTTAACTTTTATTTTAAGTTCAGGGGTACATGGCAGGTTTGTTATATAGGTAAGCTTGTGTCATGGAGGTTTGTTGTACAAATTATTTAATCACCCAGGTATTAAGCCTAGTACCCATTAGTTATTTTTGCTGATCTTCTCCCTCCTCCCACCCTTCACTCTCCAATAGGCCCCAGTATCTGCTGTTCCATTCTATGTGACAACGTGTTCTCATCATTTAGCTCCCACTTATAAGTAAGAACATGCGGTATTTGGTTTTCTGTTTCTGCATTAGTTTGCTAAGGATGATGGCCTCCAGCTCCATCCATGTCCCTGCAAAGAACACGATCTCATTCTTTTTTATGGCCACATAGTATTCCATGTAAACCTCCTTTCTTTATAAATTACCCAGTCTCAGGTATTTCTTTATAGCAATGCAAGAATTGCCTAACACAGGTCAGGTGCGGTGGCTCACACCTGTAATCCTAGCACTTGGGAGGCCCAAGCAGGCAGATCACCTGAGGTCAAGGGTTCAAGACCAGCCTGGCCAACACGGTGAAACCCCATTTCTACAAAAAATACAAAAATTCACTCGGCGTGGTGATGTATGCCTGTAATCCCTGCTACTCAGGAGGCTGAGGCAGGAGAATCACTTGAACCCAGGAGGCGGAGGTTGCAGTGAGCCGAAATCATGCCACTGCATTCTGTCCTGGGCAACAGAGCTAGACTCCATCTCAAAAAAGAGAAAGAAAAAAAGAATTGCCTAACACAACATTTGTCATGAAAAGGAGGTGAAGAAGGGTTGTCTCAACATCCTGGGTGGAGACTAGCAATGAGGGGACTTAGGGGACTTTGGGTTGCCTTGGAGAAAGTGCCATTTCTCATCTAGAACGAATACACTTTGTCAAGACTTGGGATTTTATTAGAAGGCCTGCCCATGGGCCCAGATAATCCATCAGGCTCTACAAACAGCTATGCCTCACTGGGTCCCGGCTCACCCAGAGAGCAAGCCTCTCAGCCTATGTAGCTCCCCTTTCTAGTCTCATCTTCAGAATTAGAGTCACAGTCTAGGCCAGCAGTTCTCAACCCTGGCTGTACCTAAGAGTCACCTGGGACACCCAGAGCCAGCCCCTAAAGATTCTCACTCAGTCGGGCTGGGCTGGATACCATGGATTGGTCCCTCTTGGAATCTCCCCAGGTGATTCTAATGTGCAGCTGAGGCTGAAGGCAACCACTCTAAGACAGTTAACTTTTAGAAAGCAATATGCATAGCGGAGTGAATGGCATTTTCCATTTTGTATTTTCTAAAGAAGAGTGTGTATATGCTCTTGTGTTTTTAGTAGAGACAGGGTTTCGCCATGTTGGCGAGGCTTGTTATATAGGTATTTTTATACCTATATAAAACTTGTTATATAGATATTCAGGATATTTCTGAAAGGATGCAGAAGAGATTGGGGACAGCAATTGCCTCTGAAGAGGGAGGCTAGGGAACTAGAAGTCTGGGGTGGGAGGGAGACTTGCTTCTCATCCTATTACCTTTGGTGCGATTGGGATTTGTTAACCAGGAGCATGTATTACTTGCTTTATTAAACATTTCCAGTATTTAAAAAAAGAGTATACAGAATAATACAACAAAACACCCATGTCCTCACAACCCAACTTAAGAAATAAAACATCACAATATAAATAATAAGTCCCTCCATCACTCTTTGCCTTCCTCCTTCCCCAGAAGTAACTGTCACTCTGAATTTGGCATTCACTTTTACACTTCTCTTACATATAAACTTGGCTTACATTTGCTTTCAATTAATTCAGCTACTATTTATTTATTTACTTTGTATCCTACCATAGATATTCTTTTGCAATCTGGGTTTTTTTTTAACTCTACACTGTGTTTTTGAGATTTCACAGTGTTGATACAAGACTTTTTCAATTTCAGAAGTTGATTTTTTTAAGATTAGATAGATATATGGATGTTCTCACTGATATGTGGGAGCTAAACTATGAGGACCCAAAGGCATAAGAATGATACAATGGACTTTGGGGACTTGGATGGAAGAGTGGGAGGGGCCAAGGGATAAAAGACTACAAATATGTTGCAGTGTATACTGCTCAGGTGATGGGTGCACCAAAATCTCACAAATCACCACTAAAGAACTTACTCTTGTAACCAAACACCACCTGTACCCCAATACCTTATGGAAAAATAAAAATAATAATAAACATCTAAACATAAGAAAAACAAGGAAGGAAAAAAAATAGATGGATATATAACATTTGTGCATCAGGGCCGGGCATGGTGGCTCACGCGTGTAATCCCAGCACTTGGGAGGCCGAGGCGGGCAGATCACTTGAGGTCAGGAGTTCAAGACCAGGCTGGCCAACGTGGTGAAGCCCCATATCTACTAAAAATATAAAAATTAGCTGGGCATAGTGGCAGGGGCCTGTAATCCCAGCTACTCGGGAGGCTGAGGCAGGAGAATCACTTGAACCCAGGAAGCAGAGGTTGCAGTGAGCCGAGATTGCATCACTACACTCCAGCCTGGGCAACAGAGGGAGACTCCATCGCAAAATAAAATAAAATAATAAAATAAAAATAAACATGTGTGCATCAACTGCTTATAACTATATATTCAGACATCCAGAATATGATTTTACTGTGACTGGACTTCAGAATGTGTGCTGCGTGTGATCCTAGGTGAAGTTGTGTGTGTTCAGGCCCTGCTGAGCATGTGTGACCATGTGTACCTTGTGCCTGCAAGTGCAGGTATGAGAGTGTGTGGATGTGCTTTGTGGGGGATCTGATTGTCATTCAGCAAACATTCACTCCTTTCCTGCCCTCCACCTCCATGGAAGGAGACTCCTTCCTGCCCCATTAAAGTTGGTCTTGGTCATGTAACTTACTTTGGCCATTGGAGTGTGGCAGAAGTGATAGTGTGCCAATTTCCAACCTAGGACTTAAGGAGAATTGTACTTATCCCTTCCCTTTTTTGGTAGTTTCACACCTTCATGGTGAGAAAAACAAGTTCTAGAGCAGGGCTGCCCCAGTGACCCACAAATCAGGCAGCAAGAAACATATGCGAATTGTTCTATGCCCTTGAGATTGTGTGGCTTTGTTATGCAGCACAAATGACTAACTCATGCTTATTTTGCAGGACCCTTGGCCTAGACTGTCTAACTTCTGGGGCCTTACTCCTAGAAAAGTGTCATGCCCAAATGTAATGATGAATAAAGACTTGTTATTGGATTAAATGTGCTTGCACATGTGATTGCATACACTGGACATACATGTGCATGTGCATAGGGCACCAGCCAGTGTGAGAGCCACAACAGGCATGCGTGTGAGATGTACACTAATAGCAGAGTGGTAGCTAAGTAATATCTGTCTGCACACATCTGCCTGGGGGGCCACACAAAAGGGCCTGAGTTCATTTAGCTGTGGACTCACTCCCTTTTCCAGAACCTTGCACATCCTGGAATGGAGCTGGAAACATCTTAGCCCTTGGAGGCAGGGAGGAAGCTTCCAGAACCATAGACAGCAGTAAACCCAATGCTGTATAACTGACCACACTTTCTCTCCCCTTCAAACTCCTTCAGCCTTCTTAAGATGGAGCACAACATTACCTTTGTGGCTATAGAGCTTAATTCATCTCCTGAGAAAAGTACTAGAAAGGGTCCCAAGTCCTTCGTGGTCTCAGCTGTCCAGTGCTGAGGGAGTCTAAAAAGAGATAATAACCAGTAAAGTGAAAAAACATGCTGTGGTGGACATCTGTTGCCTTTTCCCCCAGCACCCTTTTCTTTCAGGAACAGATTGTCTTATACTCATGTCAATCACATGGTCCCACTTCCTTGACCGAGAAAATTGGCATGTGATGCAGGCTGACCAATCAGAGTCATCCCTGGGAGTTTTGATGGAACTATCAGAGAAGCTCTCCTTTCTTGGTATCTCTGGCAGTAGGGGAGGATATTGGAGGACATTCATATTACCAAGTGGAAAAAGTAAAGACCACACCAAGGAACACAGAGCTGAGGGATGGGAGGAACATATTCCTGAAGATATCATTTGAGACACGGGATTCAGCCATGCCTGAAGACCACCAGTGGAGTTTCCCGTTACATTCCATTCCTGAATTCAATACATTCCCGTTCTCTTTAGTTTGAATTAAATTATTGAATTTCTGCCATTTACATCACAGTGTGTCCTTCTTCTCCCTCCTCAATAGAAGAGTAATTATATATTTCTTCCTTTTACTTTACCATAACAGTCTTCTCTTAGAATAAGAAAAAACCTTTCTCTTGAACTTGGCAGGATAAAATAAAGGCACTGACCCAGAATCCACTGTTATTCTTGTATAGATCATAAATGCCTACAGTGAAGAGCATTACACTATCTTTGGCGACATCTCTAAAGGAGGTCTGCCCAATTAGCAGTGACAGCTGGTGGGAATGCAAAATCATACAGCCACTTTGGAAGACATTTTGTTGGTTTCTTACAAAAGCAAACATGTTTTTGCCATATAACCCAGCAAACACACTCTTTGGTATTTACACAAAGGAGTTGAAAACTTACGTCTACATGAAAACCTGTATATGGATGTTGATAGCAGCTTTATCCATAATTGCCAAAACTTGGAAGCAACCAAATGTCCTTCTGTAGGTGAATGGCTAAATAAACTGTGGTTCATTAAGATAATGAAATATGATTCAGCACTAAAAAGAAATGAGCTATCAAGCCAAAAAAAGACCTGGAGAAAACTTAAGTGCATATTACTAAGTGAAAGAAGTCTATCTGAAAAGGCTATCTACTGTATGATTCTAAATATATGATATTCTAGAAAAGGCAAAAGTATCAGTGGTTGCCAGGAATTAGGAGTAAGAGAGGAATGAACAGGCAAAGCCCGGAAGGATTTTTAGGGCAGTGAAAATACTCCATATGATACTATAATGGTGAATACATGTTATTATATACTTGTCTGAACCCATAGAATGTAAAGCACCAAGAGTGAACCCTAATGTAAAATATGGACTTTGGATGATAATGAGAATCCAATGACGATAATGTCAACATAGGTTCATCAGTTCTAACAAATGTACAACTTTGGTGGGGGATATTGATCATGGGGAGCTTATGCATGTATGGGGTCAGAGGGATATGGGAAATCTCTATCTTCTCCATTTTTCTGAGAACCTAAAACTAGTATTAAAAATAGTCTCTAGGGTCAGGCATGGTGGCCCATACCTATAATCCCAACACTGTGGGAGGCTTAGGTGGGTGAATCCCTTGAGCCCAGGAGTTCAAGACCCACCTAGGCAACATGGTGAAATTCCATCCCTTAAAAAAAAATACAAAAATTAGCTGGGTACAGTGATGTGCACCTGTGGTCCCAGCTACTTGGGAGGCTGAGGTGGGAGGATCACCTGAGCCCAGGGAGGTTGAGGCTGCAGTGAGCTGAGATCGCCCTCCTACACTCCAACCTGGGCAACAGAGCCAGACCTTGACTTTAAAAAAAAAAAAAAAAAAAAAATTCTGGGTTTCTGGCATCTCAAAAAAAAAAAAAAAAAAAGGAAAGGTCAGGGCACATGGCTGCTACAGTCCTCTATTAAGCAATGTGCCACAGCAGGGGTCCCTGACCCCTGGGCCATGGACATGTACTGGTCTGTGGCCTGTTAGGAACTGGGCCACAGAGCAGAAGGTGAATGGTGGGTAACAATTGAAGCTTCGTCTGTATTTCTGGCTGCTCCCCATTGCTTGCATTGCTGCCTGAGCTCTGCCTCCTGTCAGATCAGCAGCATCATTAGATTCTTACAGGAGCATGAACCCTGTTGTGAATTGCACACACGAGGGATCCAGGTTGCATATTCCTTATGAGAATCTAATTCCTGATGATTTGTGGTGGAACAGTTTCATCCCAAGACCATTACCATCCTGCGCCCCATCCCATGCCGCCTGTGGAAAAATTGTCTTCCACAAAGCCGGTCCCTGGTGCCAAAAATGTTGGGGACTGCTGTGCTTTAGAATCTGCCATGAATCTGCAGCCTCTATTATATAGCTCCCTATAGACTTTGCTTCCTGATCAATGTACTTTGTAATCTGCCCCACTCTTAAGAAGGTTCTTTATAATCTCCCCCACCCTTAAGAAGTTTCTTTGTAATTCTCCTCACCCTTGAGAATGTACTTTATGAGATCCACCTCCTGCCCCCAAAACACTGCTCTTAACTCCACCGCCTATCCCCAAACCTATAAGAACCAGTGATAATCACACCACCCTTTGCTGACTCCTTTTTCGGACTCAGCCCGCCTGCACCCAGGTGAAATAAACAGCCATGTTGCTCACACAAAGCATGTTTGGTGGTCTCTTCACACAGACATGTGAGACAGGAGTTCGAGACCAGCCTGGCCAATCTGGTGAAACTCTGTCTCTACTAAAAATACAAAAATTAGCTGGGCATGGTGGCGGGCACCTGTAATCCCACCTACTTGGGAAGCTGAGGCACAAAAATTGCTTGAACCCAGGAGGCAGAGTTTGCAGTGAGCCAAGATCACACTGTCAGGCCTCTGAGCCCAAGCCAAGCCACTGCATCCCCTGTGACTTGCACGTATACATCCAGATGGCCTGAAGTAACTGAAGATCCACACAAGAAGTAAAAATAGCCTTAACTGATGACATTCCACCATTGTGATTAGTTTCTGCCCCACCCTAACTCTTCAATGTACTTTGTAATCTCCCCCACCCTTAAGAAGGTACTTTGTAATCTCCCCAACCCTTAAGAAGGTTCTTTGTAATTCTCCCCACCCTTGAGAATGTACTTTGTGAGATCCACCCCTGCCCGCAAAACATGGCTCTTCACCCCCTATCCCAAAACCTGTAAGAACTAATGATAATCCACCACCCTTTGCTGACTCTCTTTTCGGACTCAGCCCGCCTGCACCCAGGTGAAATAAACAGCCATGTTGCTCACACAAAGCCTGTTTGGTGGTCTCTTCACACCGACGCGCATGAAACACACGACTGCACTTCAGGCTGGGCGACAGAGCTAGATTCCATCTCAAAAAAAATAAAATAAAAAGGAGTCACCACCCCCGAGAGGCCTCTGGACCACCCCATCTGAGCAGGCCACTCTTCCTTCTCTATCTTACCATCTTGTTTCTGTCCCAGTAGTTAGGGCTACCTCTAGTAATCCTATTTGTCCCTTTACTGTTTAGTGCGTCTCGCTTGACTAGAAGCTCCATGAAAGCAGAGACCCTACCTGCCTCCTTCGCCACTAGACCCCCAGGGCCCGGTATGTGGTGATCGCTCAGGGCCCATTTTCTTCCTTTCCTCCTCCTCCAAGGGTGGGGAAAGAGCATCAGAAGGTCTAGGTGGCCCCAGGCCCAAACAATGCTCCTTTAAAAGGAAACCAGATTGTTACAAAGGTCAGAGGCTGAAAAGTTATTTCCGCCTTTTATCCCTCTAAATTCTTCACTTCCTGAAAAAACAAACAAAAAAAAGCCACTGAGGGCCCTTGGACTAAATCCAGGCCTGAGTTGCTGGGCAGAGGTCAGTCTTGTCCAGACATGGGAAAAAAATAACTCGAGTCAGACAGGTGGGTCACCAGAGAACGAATCCAGCCTGCAAATGGCCTGTGCAATCTTCAGCTCTGTCCAGACCTGCCTCCCTCTGGGGATGCCTTTAAAGGTGATGAATGACCTGGATGAATGGGCTTAGAAGATAAGAGGGAAAAACAAATATCACAGGTCAAATCGTTATTTGTCTTCAAGTTTAACACCGTCTACTGGACTGAAAGATGTCCAAAGAATAGTTGTTCAACTATGTAAATTCCTTTTTTTTTTTTTTTTTTTTGAGACAGAGTCTCGCTCTGTTGCCCAGGCTGGAGTGCAATGGTATGATCTTGGCTCACTGCAAGCAACCTCTGCTCCTGGGCTCAAACCATTCTCCTGCCTCAGCTTCCCAAGTAGCTGGGACTACAGGCATGTGCCACCACGCTCAGCTAATTTTAGTATTGTTAGTAGAGACAGGGTTTCACCATGTTGACCAGGCTGGTCTCGAACTCCTGACCTCAGGTGATCCACCTGCCTCGGCATCCCAGAGTGCTGGGATTACAGGCGTGAGCCACCGTGCCCGGCCAACTACATAAATTCCTAACAACGTATCTCCAGAAAGTATAGGCACAACAGCACATGCAGTCATTCCTGTAATTAAGTGCTCTGGGAGGCCAAGGCAAGAAGATCCCTTGAGCCCAGGAGTTTGAGACCAGCCTGGACAACATAGCAAGACTGTGTCTCTACAAAATATACAAAAATTGGGCTGGGGATGGTGGCTCACGCCTGTAGGCCCAGCACTTTGGGAGACCAAGGCAGGAAGATCGATTGAACTCAGGAGCTCGGGACCAGCCTGGACAACATAACGAGACCCAGTCTCTACTAAAACTCAAGAAAATTAGCCAGACGTGGTTGCATGTGCCTGTAGTCCCAGCACTTTGGGAGGCCAAGGTGGGTGGATCACCTGAGGTCAGGAGGTCGAGACCAGCCTGGCCAACATGGTGAAGTCTAGTCCCTACTAAAAATACAAAAATTAGCCAGGCACGGTGGCACACACCTGTAGTCCCAGCTACTTGGGAGGCTGAGGCAGGAGAATGGATTGAACCCAGGAGGCAGAGGTTGCAGTGAGCCGAGATGGCACCATTGCACTCCAGCCTGGGCAACAGAACAAGACTCCATCAAAAAAAAAAAAAAAAAAAAAAGAAAGAAAGAAGAAAATTAGCCAGGTGTGGTTGCATGCACCTGTAGTCCCAGCACTTTGGGAGGCCAAGGCAGGAGGATCAATCAAGGCTAGGAGATTGAGACTGCAGAAGGAAACCCTGTCTCTAAAAACAAGGTCCAGCTAAAATCAGGGTCCAGCTCCACCACAAGCGCAGCTCCAGGGGCTGTTGAGTTTTGCCTCTACCATTCCAAGTAGTCTCTGCTACAGACCAAGTCCCACCATCTGGCAGTCATGTCAGTCCAACCACAGTCATATCAAGGCGCTTCCAGTCATTGAGTGCCCCTTGAGGAGGCTGGAGGAGAGGCCAATGACATTTGCACTTGAGACTCCAGAGTCTAGATTTATAACCACTATGTTACGGCTGCCAGTGTGGCTGCAAGGACACTTCTTTCATTCATTCATTTACAATAGATGTAGCATCTGCTGTGTGCCAGATGCCATTCTAGGTTCTAGGGAAACAAGGCAAAGCCCCTGTTTTCCAAGGCATCCACATTCTAGGAAAGACTGCTACCAGCCTGGCGTGGTGGCTCATGCCTGTAATCCCAGTACTTTGGGAAGCCGAGGTGGGCAGATCACTTGATGTCAGGAGTTCAAGACTAGCCTGACCAACATGGGGAAACCCCGTCTCTACTAAAAATACAAAATTAGCCAGGTGCGGTGGCGCATGCCTGTAATCCCAGCTACTCGGGAGGCTGAGGAGGAGAATCGCTTGAACCCAGGAGGCGGAGGCTGTGGTGAACCGAGATCGCACCACTGCACTCCAGCCTAGGCAACAAGAGCGAAACACCGTCTCAAAAAAAAAAAAAAAAAAAAAAAAAAAGGAAACCGCATCTCTACTAACAATACAAAAATTAGCTGGGCAAGGAGCTAGGTGATTATAGTACCAGCTACTCAAGAGGCTGATGCAGGAGAATCACTAAATCGCATCTCTACTAAAAATACAAAAATTAGCTGGGCAAGGAGCCGGGTGACTATAGTACCAGCTACTCAAGAGGCTGATGCAGGAGAATCACTTGAATCCGGGAGGCAGAGTTTGCAGTGAGTTGAGATTGCACCACTGCATTCCAACCTCGGCAACAGTGCGAGACCCTGTCTCAAAAGAAAAAAATAATATAAAGTGACCAGGTGTGGTGACTCACACCTGTAATCCCACCACTTTGGGTGGAAGCAGGAGGATCACTGGAGCCCAGGAGTTTGAAACCAGCCTAGGCAACATAGTGAGACCCTGTCTCTATATTAAACACACACACATGCACACACACACACACACACACACACACAAAGGCAGCCAGACTATGCACAAGGAACTGCCCTGGGAATCCCTTTGCATTCCCACAACAATCCCATTTCACAGATGAAGAAACCAAGGCACAGAAATATTAAGTAACGTGTCCAGGTGTGGTGGCTCATGCCTATAATCCCAGTACTTTGGGAGGCTGAGGCAGGCAGATCACGAGGTCAGGAGTTCGAGACCATCCTGGCCAACATGGTGAAACCCTGTCTCTACTAAAAATACAAAAATTAGCTGGGTGTGGTGGCAGGTGCCTGTAATTCCAGCTACTCAGGAAGCTGAGGCAGGAGAATTGCTTGAACCCGGGAGGCGGAGGTTGCAGTGAGCCGAGATCACACCACTGCACTCCAGCCTGGGTGACAGAGCAAAACTCCGTCTGAAAAAAAAAAAAAAAGAAGAAGAAGAAATACTAAGTAACTTGTCTGAGGCCACTTAGTTACCAAGACGTGGGAGCTGGGACTTGAACCCAGGCAGTCTGCAGTCTGACTGGATTCATGCCTGCAGCCTCTGCACTCCTGCTACTTACTGTGTGAGAAGCGCCTGTTCTGTGGAAGGTTGTGGGCTGAGATCTTTCCATTAGTTCCACTCATTTACCCCCAAGGCTGTTCTTAAAGACAGGCATGACAGTTATGCCCATTTTACAGATGCGGCCCTGAGGCTCACAAGGGCACGCCACTCGCCCATTTCCACAAAGCTATAGCTCGTTAGCGGAGGGCAGAATTCGGCCGCCTCTCCCCTAGCTCGAAGGCTGTGATTGACACAGAGGTTTTTTTGTTGTTGTTGCTGTTGTTTGTTCTTTTTTCTTTTTTTTTTTTTTTTTTTTTTTTTTGAGACGGAGTCTCGCTCTGTCGCCCAGGCTGGAGTGCAGTGGCGCGATCTCGGCTCACTGCAAGCTCCGCCTCCCAGGTTCACGCCATTCTCCTGCCTCAGCCTCCCGAGTAGCTGGGACTACAGGCGCCCGCCACCACGCCCGGCTAATTTTTTGTATTTTTAGTAGAGACGGGGTTTCACCGTGTTAGCCAGGATGGTCTCGATCTCCTGACCTCGTGATCCGCCCGCCTCGGCCTCCCAAAGTGCTGGGATTACAGGCGTGAGCCACCGCGCCCGGCCCTTTTTTTTTTTTTGAGACAGGGTCTTGCTCTGTCATCCCGGCTGGAGTGCAGTGGTGCGATCTCAGCTCACTGCAAACTCTGCCTCCAAGATGCAAATGATTCTCGTGCCTCAGCCTCCCAAGTAGCTGGAATTACAGGTGTGCACTACCACGCCCAGCTGTTTTTTGTAGAGATGGGGTTAGTAGAGATTTGTTTAATAGAGATGGGGTTTCACCATGGTCTCTACTAAACCCTGTCTCTACTAAAAATACAAAAATTACCCAGACGTGGTGGCACATGCCTGTAGTCCCAGCTACTCAAGAGGCTGAGGCAGGAGAATCACTTGAACCTGGGAGGTGGAGGTTGCAGTGACCCAAAATCATGCACTCTAGCCTGGGGTCTCGCTTTTGCCCAGGTTAGAGTGCAGTGGCACAATCACAGTGGCTCACTGCAGCCTCAAACTCCTGGGCTGAAGGGAATCCTCCCACCTCAGCCTCCCAAGTAGTTAGGACTATAGGCATGTGCCATCCTGGCGAGTTAATTTTTTGTGTGTTTTTATTCTCTCGAGACAGAGTCTTGCTCTGTTGCTCAGGCTGGACTGCAATGGCGTGATCTTGGCTCACCGCAACCTCCACCTCCGGGGTTCAAGCAATTCTCCTACCTCAGCCTCCCGAGTAGCTGGGATTACAGGTGCGTGCCACCATGCCTGGCTAATTTTGTATGTTTAGTAGAGACAGGGTTTCGCCGTGTTGGTCAGGCTGCTCTCGAACTCCTGACCTCGTGATCCACCTGCCTCGGCCTCTCAAAGTGTTGGGATTACAGGCATGAGCCACTGAGCCTGGCCTGGTGAGCTAATTTTTAAATTTGTTATAGAGACAAGAGAGACAAGAGTCTCTCTTATGTTGCCCAGGCTGGTCTCGACCCCCTGGCCTCAAGTGATCCTCCCACCTCAGCCTCCCAAAGTGCTGGGATTACAGATGGGTGTCACCGCACCTGGCCTCTGAGGAGGATTTCATTATAAACCTGCCCTGAAGGGAGGGAATCCAATTTTACGAGAGGGTGTAGCCTGGTGAGGCCTGGATGACCTCCGGAGGCAGGGGCTTGTGCCTGGGCTGAGGCCTAAGGGACAATGGGCAGACATGAAGTTGCCCCAGGCAGAGGGTACAGTGTGGGCAAAGTCAGGAAGTGGCAGGGCTTGGATCACTCCAGGAAGAGAGAGGAGTCATGTGTCACAGGAGCTCGAGACCCAGAGAGTGAGGCAGGGAGGCAGGGACCAAGCTTGGGCACAGCCAGGAAGGCAGGACAGGGCATGGTGGGGCCAATGGAATCATTACCCAAGACGGAGATTTTCAGGGAAACAGCTTAGATAAGGCCAGGCGTACAGTAGCTCCCACCTGTAATCCCAGCATTTGGGGAGGCTGAGGTAGGACTGCTGAGCCTGGGAGCTCGAGACCAGCCTAGGCAACATAGTGAGACCCCATATCCATAAAAAATTTAAAAAAGGATTTTGTGTTCCTGTAGTAGCAGACTTGGGAGGTTGAGGTGGCAGTATCACTTGAGCCCGGGAGTTCAAGGCTAAAGTGAGCTGATTGAGCCATTGCACTCCAGCCTGAGCAACAGAGAGATACGCTGTCTCAAAGGAAATACAAATTAAAAAACCAGCCGGGCATGCTGGCGTGTGCCTGTAGTCTCAGCTACTTGGGACACTGAAGTGGGAGGATCGCTTGAGCCCAGGAGTTCAAGGCTGCCGTGAGCTATGATTGTGCCTCTGCAGTCCAGCCTGGGCGACAGAGAAAGACCCTGTCTCTTAAAAAAAAAAAAAATCTTAGATAAGAGGATGCTGTGCCTCCCTGGGGGTCTTCAGTCACCCATAGTCCTGGCAAGAGAGGAGGGCCAGGAGAGAGCTTCACCCACCTGCTGTCCTGCCCATATGACATCCGCAGGTGCTGCCATGGCCACGACTGATGTTACACTCGAGCTGAGGAGGCCGGCTGCAGCCCCAAGACAGAGCGCTACTCCTGGCAGTGCGCCAATCAGAGCGTCCTGTGCGGTGAGTCCCCAGCACCACCATGCCACCCACCCCGAGTATCCCCTGGGCATCCTGGCATAGCCAGATGACTTCCGTGCCCCTGTTGCAATAACCACTGCTTCCAAGTCTCTATAGACCACCCCTTGGGTATATCTAATGTAAGTGATATTTATTTTATTTTTTGAGTCAGTCTCGCTCTGTCACCCAGGCTAGAGTGTGCTGATGTGATCTCGGCTCACTACAACCTCTGCCTCCTGGGTTCAAGCGATTCTCGTGCCTCAGCCTCCCAAGTGGCTGGGACTACAGGCATGCACCATGACGCCCAGCTAATTTTTGTATTTTTTTCAGTAGAGGTGGGGTTTCCCCAAGTTGGCTGGGCTGGTCTCAAACTCCCCACCTCAAGTGCTTTGCCCGCCTCGGGCTCCCAAAGTGCTGGGATTACAGGCATGAGCCGTGGTGTGTGGCCCTAATGTGAGTGATCTTTAACACTGAGCACTTGAAAAAGAAAACCCTGAAGAAACCTAATTCTTTGATGTCTGGACGACAAGGAAGAAGATAGAAATGGCATCAGATAATAAACAGTGTAAATGTTTATCAGAAAGAGGCTGGTGGTCGGGACAAGTAGGAGGATCGCTTGAGTCCAGGAGTGCATCTCTACAAAAAAGTTAAAGGATTTTTTAACATTGGCCAGGCGTGGTGGCACACATCATCTGTGATCCCAGCTACTTGGGAGGCTGGGGCAGGAGGATTGCTTGAAGCCCAGGAGGTTGAGGCTGCAGTGAGCTGTGATCGAGCCACTGCACTCCAGCCTGGGTGACACAGCAAAATCCAGTCTCAAAAAAAATAATAATAATATTTTACATAACCAACCACTTCTAAAGATTAAAAAAAAACCCCTATGATTAAAAACCTCAGGTCCCTCAGGCAATCATACCAGATATCGAAACAAAGCAATAACATAAGGACTGCAGTATTTATTTTATTTTTATATTATTTATTTATTCTTTGTTAGTTTTTGGAGTGTGGGTTTTGTTTTGTTTTTTGAATTTTTTATTTTGTTCTACTCGGTTTTATTCTTATTGCTCAGGCTTGAGTGCACTGGCCTCTTCTCAGCTCAACCTCCGCCTCTTGGGTTCGGGTAATGATGGTTCCACGTCAGCGGCCCTCCGCCTCTTGGGTTTGCGTGACGGTTCCACGTCACCGACCCTCCGCCTCTTGGGTTCGGGTGATGATGGTTCCACGTCAGCGGCCCTCCGCCTCTTGGGTTTGCGTGACGGTTCCACATCACCGACCCTCCGCCTCTTGGGTTCGGGTGATGATGGTTCCACGTCAGCGGCCCTCCGCCTCTTGGGTTTGCGTGACGGTTCCACGTCACCGACCCTCCGCCTCTTGGGTTCGGGAGGTGGTTCCATCTCAGCCGCCCTCTGCCTCTTGGGTTTGCGTGGTTTTTCTGCCTCAGCCTCCTGAGTAGCTAAGGGAGGTGTCTTGAGATTATCATCGGCTGAGGGTGGAAGCGGCCCCCGCAGACGCTCGGCAGGTGTCTTGATATTATCATCTGCTGAGGGTGGAGCTGAGGGTGGAAGGGGAGTGAGCTGACGCTCGGAAGGTGTCTTGAGATTATCATCCGCTGAGGGTGGAAGCGGCCCCCGCAGACGCTCGGCAGGTGTCTTGATATTATCATCTGCTGAGGGTGGAGCTGAGGGTGGAAGGGGAGTGAGCTGACTCTCGGAAGGTGTCTTGAGATTATCATCCGCTGAGGGTGGAAGCGGCCCCCGCAGACGCTCGGCAGGTGTCTTGATATTATCATCTGCTGAGGGTGGAGCTGAGGGTGGAAGGGGAGTGAGCTGACGCTCGGAAGGTGTCTTGAGATTATCATCCGCTGAGGGTGGAAGCGGCCCCCGCAGACGCTCGGCAGGTGTCTTGATATTATCATCTGCTGAGGGTGGAGCTGAGGGTGGAAGGGGAGTGAGCTGACGCTCGGAAGGTGTCTTGAGATTATCATCCGCTGAGGGTGGAAGCGGCCCCCGCAGACGCTCGGCAGGTGTCTTGATATTATCATCTGCTGAGGGTGGAGCTGAGGGTGGAAGGGGAGTGAGCTGACGCTCGGAAGGTGTCTTGAGATTATCATCCGCTGAGGGTGGAAGCGGCCCCCGCAGACGCTCGGCAGGTGTCTTGATATTATCATCTGCTGAGGGTGGAGCTGAGGGTGGAAGGGGAGTGAGCTGACGCTCGGAAGGTGTCTTGAGATTATCATCCGCTGAGGGTGGAAGCGGCCCCCGCAGAAGCTCCCCGCAGACGCTCGGCAGGTGTCTTGATATTATCATCTGCTGAGGGTGGAGCTGAGGGTGGAAGGGGAGTGAGCTGACGCTCGGAAGGTGTCTTGAGATTATCATCCGCTGAGGGTGGAAGCGGCCCCCGCAGACGCTCGGCAGGTGTCTTGATATTATCATCTGCTGAGGGTGGAGCTGAGGGTGGAAGGGGAGTGAGCTGACGCTCGGAAGGTGTCTTGAGATTATCATCTGCTGAGGGTGGAAGCGGCCCCCGCAGACGCTCGGCAGGTGTCTTGATATTATCATCTGCTGAGGGTGGAGCTGAGGGTGGAAGGGGAGTGAGCTGACGCTCGGAAGGTGTCTTGAGATTATCATCCGCTCAGGGTGGAAGCGGCCCCCGCAGACGCTCGGCAGGTGTCTTGATATTATCATCTGCTGAGGGTGGAGCTGAGGGTGGAAGGGGAGTGAGCTGACGCTCGGAAGGTGTCTTGAGATTATCATCGGCTGATGGTGGAAGCGGAATCCGCAGACGCTCAGCAGGTATCTTGATATTATCATCTGCTGAGGGTGGAGCTGAGGGTGGAAGGGGAGTGAGCTGACGCTCGGAAGGTGTCTTGAGATCATCCGCTGAGGGTGGAAGGCAGGTGTCTTGATATTATCATCTGCTGAGGGTGGAGCTGAGGGTGGAAGGGGAGTGAGCTGACGCTCGGAAGGTGTCTTGAGATTATCATCCGCTGAGGGTGGAAGCGGCCCCCGCAGACGCTCGGCAGGTGTCTTGATATTATCATCTGCTGAGGGTGGAGCTGAGGGTGGAAGGGGAGTGAGCTGACGCTCGGAAGGTGTCTTGAGATTATCATCCGCTGAGGGTGGAAGCGGCCCCCGCAGACGCTCGGCAGGTGTCTTGATATTATCATCTGCTGAGGGTGGAAGGGCAGTGAGCTGACGCTCGGAAGGTGTCTTGAGATTATCATCCGCTGAGGGTGGAAGCGGCCCCCGCAGACGCTCGGCAGGTGTCTTGATATTATCATCTGCTGAGGGTGGAGCTGAGGGTGGAAGGGGAGTGAGCTGACGCTCGGAAGGTGTCTTGAGATTATCATCCGCTGAGGGTGGAAGCGGCCCCCGCAGACGCTCGGCAGGTGTCTTGATATTATCATCTGCTGAGGGTGGAGCTGAGGGTGGAAGGGGAGTGAGCTGACGCTCGGAAGGTGTCTTGAGATTATCATCCGCTGAGGGTGGAAGCGGCCCCCGCAGACGCTCGGCAGGTGTCTTGATATTATCATCTGCTGAGGGTGGAGCTGAGGGTGGAAGGGGAGTGAGCTGACGCTCGGAAGGTGTCTTGAGATTATCATCCGCTGAGGGTGGAAGCGGCCCCCGCAGACGCTCGGCAGGTGTCTTGATATTATCATCTGCTGAGGGTGGAGCTGAGGGTGGAAGGGGAGTGAGCTGACGCTCGGAAGGTGTCTTGAGATTATCATCCGCTGAGGGTGGAAGGGGATGGAGCAGACACTCGGCACGTGTCTTGAGATTATCATCCGCTGAGGGTGGAGCTGAGGGTAGAGCTGAGGGTGGAAGGGGAGTGAGTAGACACTCGGGAGGTGTCTTGAGATTATCATCCGCTGAGGGTGGAAGGGGAGTGAGCAGACACTCAGGAGGTGTCTTGAGATTATCATCCGCTGAGGGTGGAAGGGGAGTGAGCACACACTCGGGAGGTGTCTTGAGATTATCATCCGCTGAGGGTGGAAGGGGAGTGAGCACACACTCGGGAGGTGTCTTGAGATTATCATCCGCTGAGGGTGGAAGGGGAGTGAGCAGACACTCGGGAGGTGTCTTGAGGCTCAGGGAGTTATCAGTTATAGAATGTTGTTGAGTTGGAGGAGGTGGCTGGTGGCCCATCCTGTTTTTTAAAGTTTCAGCTGTGAGGTAGGGCCAGTAGGGCAATCCTGAAGAATGACGATGCTCCGCTGCCGCCATTCTGACCTGTAGGGCCAAAGGAGGGAATGTTTTCACACATATTCATTTGATGGACAAAATTACCGCCACCAACACAGTCTGCACCTTCTGTTGCTGGTGATAGATTTTTGCACCTTTCCATCCTCCAGGTTTCAAAATAGCAGTATCAGTGTCATAATATCACCCTTCCACTGAGTACTGCCGACAGCTGGAGGGTAAAGGAAAGTCATTGGGACACACTGTTGTCTCCACATGCCACTGTGTCTGTCTGCAAATGTAGGCAGGCTGGGGTCCTGCCCCAGGGAAGACAGAGTCATAACAGAGTAATAAAGAAGCATGTTTGAGACACAGGAGTGTCTATGTCTATCCTCATTCCTCCCTCACAGCCATCACCAGAGCATGTTTCTTGCACCAGGTCAACAGACAGTAAGAGACAGTAAGAGAGGCATGAAAAGCCCACTGTCCACACATGTTGCAGCTTCTTTTTGGAGAATGTTTTCCAGGCCTTTTATGTTCTGTCTCTGATTCTCAGAACTCTGCAAGGTCAGTGTGACCACCCTGCTCCAAATCTAAGAAAACAGAGGTTTCCAGAGGAAGGAGAAATTGTGCCCAGGGTCACACAGCTTGCAAGAGGCAGAGTGGAAGTTGATTCCAGCTCTGCCTGCAGGACCCTCTCATTTCCCCTCTGTTTCCCTTCTTGACAAAGGATCTTCTTCACTCTGGAGGTGCCACCCATGAGAACAAAGAGCTCTGGAGAGATGTGGATTCCTGAAGAGCTGCAGGGGAACTGGGAGAGGGTTTTCTGACAGAACAATCTCACCTCAAGAAGTCACTTAGGCATGGCTGTAATATTTCTTTTCACTCCCAGGTAATACCAAATTGTAAGTGCACTAGGACATAAAGAATACTTTTGTCCATGGAAAAATGAGGTGGGAATTCTAAACAAAGCAAGTTTTAAAACTGTGTTTCACTTCAAGTGTACAAGTCCCATCACGTGTAATCATAGGACTCGGCAGCTTTTGAAGGTACAGAGGCCACACAAGAACCAGCTTAGCTGAGCATCATTTAAGGCCTTCATTTGGAATTGTCCCTGTGGGTAATAAGTTACATTCACTCTTCACTAGTTTACAGTCAGGGCCCATCTGCTATTACAAATACGGAACCTCTGACACTTAGAATATTAGATCAGGGGCCCCACTGGGTGGGGATGAAGGTGTTTTTGCGCAACACGGTTACCAACAGGGATGGGACTGTGATGCTTGTAGGCAGCCTTTCTCTCTGCCATCTCCCTCTGCAGGGCTTGAGCACAGAGCTGTAGGGAGAAAAATGTATCCATGTCCTGACCTGGCAGACTATGTCCAAAAGCAAGGAAAACAAGCAAACTTACCCAGTTGCAAAGAGCCTTTCTTGCAGAAGGGGGGATCTGAAAAAGCCAACACATGAGAAATTGAATGTTGAGAGAGTCTAAGGGCCGTGGCATCATCTGCATCAGCACTGAACTATCCTGCAACTGCAGGGAGGAAGCTCCTTACTTTGCATTTGTGGTAGTCCTCTGCTCGCCGCCGCAACTCTTGCGCACGTTGAAACATTTTCCTATGGATTACAATCACTTTCATCAGATAAAGCACCACTTTCAGGATGATTTTAAATAATCTGCCATGTTTCTGTTATCCTCACAACTGTACCCTTACACAATCTATCTCTACCTAGAAAACGTATTTCAGATGGCTAGAAGAGTACAGTCTGAGCCGGTCACGGTGGCTGACGCCTGTAATCCCAGCACTCTGGGAGGGCGGGGCGGATGGATCACGAGGTCAGGAGATTGAGACCATTGTGGCTAATATGGTGAAACCCCTTCTCTACTAAAAATACAAAAAATTAGCCAGGCGTGGTGGCAGGCACCTGTAATCCCAGCTACTCGGGAGGCTGAGGCAGGGGAATCACTTGAACCTGGGAGGCGGAGGTTGCAGTGAGCCAAGATCACGTCATTGCACTCCAGCCTGGGTGACACAGCGAGACTCCATCTCAGAAAAACAAAAACAAAAACAAAAAAACTGTACAGTCTGATCCAAACTGTTGCTGTATTGATTCCTCCTCTTGCTTACTGCCTGCTGACTTCTGAGATGATAGTTTCCTTCCCCATTCTCAGTACATCCCTAATTCATCCTTCATTGAGCATCTTTTATCATAAAGCTGTATTCTCTTTGTATTAATATCCTTACCGTGTTTCACAGGGCAGAAACAGCTGGGCTTATAAACAGGCATAGTCCTTTTGAAGGATGTGGTTGATCCTACAACAACACACTTTCCTAAGGATGACAACAACTCACCCCACCCCTAGAATGGCTGGTATGAACCGAGTTTCCACACAGTCTAGCTGGCAATGGGGTCAGGAGACGTTTTGCTACTTCACATCTTTTGGTCACTGGTAAATATTAAGGTACTTTGTTTTCTGTTTTGTGAACTCTCTCTCGCTCTCTCTCACGATATGTCTTCTGACCGTTTGTTTCTATTTCTGCATTTACTGGGTCTAAATACTGTACAAAGGTTAAAAACAACACTCCAATGGGCGTTTCCCAAGAGGGTGGGGTACAGTTTCTGAACTCACTTGTAGGTGTGTATTTCTTTCATATCCAATTTCCCATTTTCCTCTGCCTCTGATACCTGCCTCTCCTTTTCTGCATGCTCACATTCTTTCACGCTTAGTTTCCTCAGATTAGAAGGGAGAGAAATGCACACACATGATCCACCAGCCCGTGTGGGATTCCCTCTGCCCTTCTGGCATCTGAAGGCTGTGATTCAAAGATCCCCCCTGCAACCTTCCCACAAATGAACCAACTGATTCTCACAACCGAAGGGAGAATTGACACCTCCCATTGAGGGACAAAAAAAAGTCACACTCTGGCCTGCTGGCAAGTCACCTGTCATTTCCAGCTCATCTTCATAGTTCCATAGTTAGTCCTATTCTTTAGTAAATATAAAGACTATTAAAAGCTTCTATGAGGTGCACTATGTGTGTCTCTGGGGTCAGTCTTGTGCTTGACACAGCGAAAGCTCATTTTAGTTCAGTGTGAAAAACCAGACCTCACCAATTCATCACAACTAACTCCATCGGAAGCAGAGGATTGCTCCTCATCTGACTCCTCCTGTGTGAGACCTGATTCTCAGTCAGAGGCTGATGCCGGAACTGAGACCATCAGCCATAGAGAGATCCTTCCAGAATAACCCCGCAGTTCACTACTGCACTTTGCCATGATTCAGGACTGGAACTCTTGTCATCGACTTTAAAGATCCTGGTTGAGAGAAAAGGCAATCTGAATGCTGGGCGCATCTATTGAATTAGAAATGATCGGAATGGCTCCTAAGTCAGGGTGTTATGTCCTGAAAATAGGTGACAACGGCAAACCATCCACCCTGGTGTTGACTGACTTTAACAAGGTTCAGTTCACAGAGATTGAGGGCAGAAAAAGGAAACGGCCTCAAAAGGGTAAATTTGCTGTGTTGCCCTCACACCACTTGATTCATGGTCCTGATCCTAAGGATCTCACCTGATACTTGGCTTTATAGGAAGGATGTGTAAAATTCCCAGAACGCTAGGAAACAGGGGCGAAAACACTTCAAAGAGAAAGTTAATGAACTTGTTTCTGACCACAAGGCATCCTTCAGCACATGCTGTCTGGAGTGGCCTCAAACAAGGAGTGGGTGGTGTGGTGCTGAGAATGCAATGGGAGCAGGGTCCTGTCCCCACGCTAAAGAAGCTCACAGCTTAATGCAAATGAGAAGCCAGTGAGGACATCACTACTCCTGCTGTGCACTTGGGAACTAGAAACACAAAACCTGACTCTGGAGGGAAGCTAAGGAAGCATTCTACTCTTGAGTTGACATAAGTGCATCTGAAGCTTCTGATCTCCGATGAGAACAATGGGGGACACCAAACAGAATATAAAACCCATGATTGAATACATCAAATTGCTAACATGGCAGTAAACAGACATGAGGTGAAGATGGAGAAGAAGGAAACCCAGGACGAAAGTCAGCCTCGCATTTGGAACCCATTTCCCTGCGTTTCATTGCTGAATTCCAGAAGGAACTACTGAGATGCAAAGAAGCACAGCAGCTTTTGCACACATGCGTGGGATTAGATGGAAAACAAGTGGATTGAGGGTCTGCCAATGAAAGCGACCCATACTGAAGTCCACTGGCTCTGGTTGAGACCCAGAAGAGTCATGCATCAGAATAAAGGTGGACAGGAAATACCCTGGCCTTTGTAGGGACTGAGCCTGCACCGACGACTTCAATTGCAGCCTGTATGGAGGACCCCTGACCATCCCCCAGAAGTAGACTCCCATCTCTTCTGCAGCAAGATAACATGCTACTAGGCCTCAATTCATTGCTAAACATTTTTTAACAAGTATCTCACATTTAACAAAAAAAGATCAGTCATATGGCAGCAAAATACAATGTCATATGACCAAAACATGAAAGACTGTGAAAATGAATCTGGAGGTGACCCAAGCATTGAATTCAACAATCCAGGCTGGGTGCGGTGGCTCACACTGGGAGGCTGAGGTAGGCAGATCACCTGAGGTCAGGAGTTCAAGACTAGCCTGGCCAACATGGTGAACCCCTGTCTCTACTAAAAATACAAAAATTGGGCCGGGCACGGTGGCTCACGCCTGTAATCCCAGCACATTGGGAGGCCGAGGTGTGCGGATCATGTCAGGAGTTCTAGACCAGCTTGGCCAATATGGTGAAACCCCGCCTCTACTAAAAATACAAAAATTATCCGGGCATGGTGGCATATGCCTGTAGTCCCAGCTACTCAAGAGGCTGAGGGATAAGAATCGCTTGAACCTGGGAGGTGGAGGCTGCAGTGAGCCAAGATCATGCCACTGCACTCTAGCCTGGGTGACAGAGTGAGACTCTGTCTCAAAAAAAAAAAAAAAAAAAATTGGTCAAATGTGGTGGCACACACCTGTAATCCAAGCTACTCGGGAAGCTGAGGCAGAATTGCTTCAAACTGGGAGGCAGAGGTTGCAGTGAGCCAAGATTGCACCATAGCACTCCAGCCTGGGCGACAGAGCGAGACTCTATCGCAAAATTAAAAAAAAAAAAAAAAAAAAAAAGGCTGGCTGTGGTGGCTCACGCCTCTAATCCCAGCACTTTGGGAGGCTGAGGCAGGTGGATTACCTGAGGTCAGAAGTTCGAGACCAGCCTGGACAACATGGTGAAACCCCATCTCTAGTAAAAATACAAAAATTAGCTGGGCGTGGTGGTGGGCACCTGTAATCCCAGCTACTTGGGAGGCTGAGGCAGGAGAATTGCTTGAACCCAAAAGGCAGTGAGCTGAGATTGTGCCATTGCACTACAGCCTGGGCAACAACAGCAAAGCTCCATCTCAGGAAAAAAAAAAAAAAAAAAAAAAAAAAAAAGAGAAAGGAAAACCAATGCCAGTACTAGCAACTCCTCTTCCTCCGAAAAAATGAAAACAAGAATGTAGGAAGGGAAAGGAATTATACAGCTTAAACTAATGAAGCAGAAAGGACAAACTCAATTTTGAACCCACTGAATTTGCCACAAATATTGTAGAAAATATTCTCAAGGACTTTACAGTTGTCTACTTTGATTGGCACATGGTTCATACAACAGTATTTGTGTCAAGGCACATCTTACTGTTTTCTGGCGGTCTTCCTCTTTCCATTGATTTTGTCATGATGGTTGATTTTCGTTGTCACCTTCCTCTTACGGATTTTAGCTCTAACTTTTGTTTCCACATGTCTCCGTAGAGTAATGACGTCTTTCAGGACAATTTTATTTCCTCGAAAGGAAGAAACTCTTTTCTTTGTGTGCATACAAATGGACCTCAGCCCTTGGTGAGAGTGAGGAGAGGAGAAGGTGAGAAACCTGAGGGCAAGAAGCTGTTCTTTCCCTTTCCAGGGCAAACTCATTTCCACACTATGCGGATTCCAACAGAGCCATACCTTCCTGTCTACGGCGGTTGGACCTCCAGGCTCTCTGCTGTACATCCGTGGATCCATCATGTCCATTTCGAGACCAGAAGATAGTCTTCAGGAGAGACACCTAGGAAATAATAATATAAGAATGACGGCTGGGCACGGTGGCTCATGCGTATAATCCCAGTACTTCGGGAGGCCGAGGCAGGTGGATCACGGGGTCAGGAGTTCAAGACCAGCCTGGCCAAGATGGTGAAACCCCGTCTCTACTAAAAATACAAAAATTAGCCGGGCATGGCAGCGGGCGCCTGTAATCCAAGCTACTCGGGAGGCTGAGGCAGAGAACCGTTTGAAGCTGGGAGGCGGAGGTTGCAGTGAGCCGAGATCACACCACTGCACTCCAGCCTGAGCGACAGAATGAGACTCTGTCACATACACACACACACACACAAGAATGACATGAGGCTGGCACGGTGGCTCACTCCTGTAATCCCAGCACTTTGGGAGGCCGAGGCAGGCGGATCACCTGAGGTCGGGAGTTTGAGACCAGCCTCACCAACATGGAGAAACGCTGTCTCTGCTAAAAATACAAAATTAGCCAGGCATGGTGGTGCATGCCTGTAATCCCAGCTAGTCGGGAGGCTGAGGCAGGAGAATCACTTGAACCCAGCAGGAAAAGCTTGTGGTGAGCTGAGATTGTGCCATTGCACTCCAACCTGGGCAACAAAATTGAAACTCTGTCTCAAAAAAAAAAAAAAAAAAAAAAAAAAAAAAAAAAAATAGGCCAGATGCGGTAGCTCACGCCTGTAATCCCAGCACTTTGGGAGGCCGAGGCGGGTGAATCACAAGGTCAAGAGATGGAGACCATCCTGGGCAACATGGTGAAACCCCGTCTCTACTAAAAATACAAAAATTAGCTGAGCATGGTGATGCACGCCTGTAGTCCCAGCTACTCGGGAGGCTGAGGCAGGAGAACTGCTTGAACCCAGGAGGCAGAGGTTGCAGTGAGCCAAGATCCCACCACTGCACTCCAGCCTGGTGACAGAGTGAGACTTCGTCTCAAAAAAAAAAAAAAAAAAAAATGACATGAATATACTTCACACAACTGAACTGTACACTTCAACACGGTTAGATGGTAATTATCATCTTATAAGTATTTTACCACAGGTTAACATGTTTCACAACTTGAAAAGGAAGTAATTACCTTCAGCTCTCTGAGTTCTAGAATTTGTAACATTTCATCCCCTGCTCCTTCCTGATCTGCACTGGAGCATCTTCCTTCTGTCCCTGCTCTACTCAGAGTTCACTTTCCCTTCCCTCACATCAGCTTCATTGAGGCTGGTTTGAACTTAACGCAAAACATTCTCACTAATGACTGAATTCCCACCAAGATTTCCATATTATCACAGTATGCTTTTAATCTTCTAAGATATTAAATATTTCTTCTCATCATAGCTAAAATGCAATGCAAATCCCATCTCAGATGTGGGTCAGATACCTATGAATCTCCTGAGGTGGTCATTGAAATGACTTTTTTCTTGAGACAGAGTGTCACTCTCAACCGTGCTGAAGTGCAGTGGCGCTACCTTGGCTCACGGCAACCTCCACCTCCCAGATTCAAGCGATTCTTGTGCCTCAGCCTCCCAAGTAGCTGGGATTACAGGTGCCTGCTACCATGCCTGGCTAATTTTTGTCTTTTTAGTAGAGATGGGGTTTCACCATGTTGGCCCATCTGGTCTTGAACTCCTGACCTCAAATGATCCATCTGCTTCAGCCTCCCAAAGTGCTGGGATTACAGGCATGAGCCACCACACCTGGCCTGAAATAATATCTTTCAAATTCTTTGTAGAATTTGTTTTTTCCTGATTTCTGCACATAGGATAAAAAAAAAATCATGTACTAGGATTTCGAGAGAAGCAATGGGTAATCTAAAAAGATGAAAAGAGCAACCACGTCAATCCCACAGCTACTGCTAGATTTCATAGGAAAGGTAGCTGGCCCAGTTTGGAGCTAGGGGAAATGTCAAACACATGAAGAAATGAGAAGCCAAGAAATGCCATCACGCATGAATGCTTCATGGCACCCATGATGTCCCTGCTAAGGAGGTAATGGTATAGATGACTAGATGACAAGGACAAAGATGAGAGGTGCGAAGTTGTCCAAGTCCAACAGCTCAACTGAACTTTCCTAAGTGGAATTGTTAAAAAGTGGTAAATTTAAAAACTTCCCCTGGCTCACGTGGTGGCTCACGCTTGTAATCCCAGCACTTTGGGAGGCTGAGGTGGGTGGATCATTTGAGGTCGGGTTTTGAGACTAGCCTGGCCAACATGGTAAAACCCCGACTCTACTAAAAATACAAAAATTAGCTGGGCATGGTGGTGGGCACCTGTAATCCCAGCTACTTGAGAGGCTGAGGCAGGGGAATCACTTGAAGCCAGGAGGTGGAGGTTGCAGTGAGCCGAGGTCACACCATTATACTCCAGCCTGGGCAACAGAAGGAGACTCGTCTTCGGGGTGAGAAAAGAAAAAAAAAAAAGAAAAAAGCTTCCTCCAATTTATACCGAAAATTCTCTGTTCAGGACTAAGTGGCATAGAGAATGTTAAATGTGCCTAGATATCTTCATAACTCATATATTTTCTGTTTTCTACATATCTTGAAAGGCAGTGCCAAATGACGTGTAATTATCTAGGTGGTAAAACTGAAACATACTTCCTCTTCCCTTGAATATAAAAAAGCATTGTGGTATTAGTACTTTTATCTTGGATCATTGTTCAGAAGGAGGTTCAGCCCCCAGACAACCACATTTTTACTGTCATGAATGGCAAGACAAAATGTAGAGCTCAACTTACCCAAAGGAAAAAAGGCTCAAAAGACAAATTATGGCACAACTTAGCAGCCAAATTCTTACCAAGTACAGACTTTTGACATACTGATCTCTCTCCAGTTCCAAGTCGGAACATGCACTTTGAATGATGTCATTCAAAATTACCCTGCCCAGACACACTTTTCATTGATTCTCTTGGAGGGCAGTTCTAAGAGTCTCTGGGGCTTTCTCTGCATCATGAGACGCAGTGCAGTTCTGCCCTTCACCTTCCGGCAGTTTGTCACCTCGTCCCTATGACCTCACAGGAACTTTGTCTCAGGCCAATTGTTTGTTCCTTGGCCTCTTTCATTTCCCCTAAAAATCATTTGCTGCCCCTCTAAATGGCCTACATCTCCATCTATCTCCCTCTCCCCTCAGAAGAGGGTGCTCTTTAAGCATCAGCCATCCGGCCCTTCTAGCAGTCTCATTTTTCAGCTGGTTCCCATGTTTATGCCTGTTCTATGTTTTTCTTTTCCTGTTAAGCTGTCTGTTGTCAGCTCATTTCTGCAGTGAATCTTCAGAGAGGAGATTGGAAGCTTTCCTTCCACCCATACGATAGAACTATAAAGCAGAAGAGTTTAGAAAGAATTTCCTATTTAAGTGACGAAACCTCATACTCCATTTGTGATAAATAGCACAAAGGTTAAAAAAACTTATTTTTGACCAAAAGCTCTGTTGACATTCTATTAAACAAACACCGACCTATTTAATTTTCATAATGCAAATGGCAGATGTTTTCATAATTCTTATACTAATAAATCATTTCCCTGATTTTTTGGGTAAAACCACATATTCATAATGAAGTCCAGAAATGTGAATTGTTTTATATAATTTATTCTTATTTGTGATTACAAGTATACCTCTACAGAAAGTTAGTATACTCACCCAAAGGTAAACTATCCAGAGGGTAATGACAACTTTATAACTTGTCGGAAATGCAATAATGACATGTAACCAAGGACTTCCACCAAAGTCAGTCCCACGATGATGATGGTCAGCCAGAGTATTGATAACCTGGAATAATAATAGTTGAAATAATGAAAAGGTCAATGACACTGACAATATTTCACTCAGAAAGAATCATCCTTAGAAACCGTCAACCTCCTCCAAAAGGTAACCACATCCCTCAGATATCACCGTGGGATTCCACTGCTACAAAAAAGAACAGAAGTTAGAAGTCACATGTTTTTCAGATGGCTGGTAGTGTTTTCAGGCATTGCAAATGTGGGGTGTTGTCTTTCTTGGTATAAAGCAGGGATATCCAATCTTTTGACTTCCCTGCCTATATTAAAAGAAGCAAAGTTGTCTTGAGCCACACATAACATACACTAACACTAACAATAGCTGATGATCTAAAAAAAACCTCTTTTTTTTTTTTGAGACAGAGTTCCGCTCCACTCAGTCGCCCAGGCTGGAGTGCAGTGGTGCAATCTCGGCTCACTGCAACCTCCAGCTCCTGGGCTCAAGCCATTCTCCTGCCTCAGCCTCCCGAGTAGCTGAGATTACAGGTCTCTGCCACCATGCCCGACTCATTTTTGTATTTTTAGTAGAGATGAGGTTTCACCATGTTGGCCAGTCTGGCCTTGAACTCCTGACAGGCGATCTGCCTGCCTCGGCCTCCCAAAGTGCTGGGATTACAGGTGTGAGCCACCGTGCCCAGCCATTTTTTTGTTTTTGTTTTTGTTTGTTGTTTTTGAGATGGGGTCTCACTCTGTCACCCAGGCTGGAGTGCAGTGGTGTGCTCCCGGCTCACTGCAACCTCTGCCTCTCAGGTTCAAGTGATTCTCCTGCCTCAGCCTCCTGAGTAGCTGGGAGTACAGGTGCCTGACAGTGCACTCAGCAAATTTTTGTATTTTTTGTGGAGATGGGGTTTTGCCATGTTGGTCAGGGTGGTCTCGAACTCCTGACCTCAGGTAATCTGCCCGCCTCAGCCTCCCAAAGTGCTGGGATTACACGCATGAGCCACTGTACCTGGCCAAAATCTCCTAATGTTTTAAGAAAGTTTACAAATTTGTGTTGAACTGCATTCAAAACTGTCCTGGGCCACATGCAGCCCGTCACTCATGGGTAAGACAAGCTAAGTATAAAGTAATTATCTTATCTTTTCTTTTCTTTTTGTTTTGAGACAAAGTTTTGCTCTGTCACCCAGGCTAGATTGCAGTGGCATGATCTCAACTCACTGCAACCTCCGCCTCCCGGGTTCAAGCGATTCTCCTGCCTCAGCTACTGAGTAACTGGGATTACAGGCGCCTGCCACCACGCTCGGCTAATTTTTGTATTTTTAGTAGAAACAGGGTTTCACCATCTTGGCCAGGCTGGTCTCCAACTCCTGACCTCATGATCCACCTGCCTTGGCCTCCCAAAGTGCTGGGAATACAGGTGTGAGCCACTGCACCTGGCCAGTAGTTATCTTTTCTTTAAAGTTATTTACTTGTTTTTTAAATTGATGTATAACATTGGATGCATTTATTATATATCACATGGTAAAAGAATCCCTCTAAATAATACTTCTCTCTTGGATTATATGAATCTTTGTCATTTAAATCTCAGCATAAGTAAAAAAAAAAAAAAATACAATGAAGAGATTACTTCATTCACAAATAAGTATCAAATTTTAGTGCTTAAAAATTAACAAGGTGGGCTGGGCGTGGTGGCTCACGCCTGCAATCCCAGCACTTTGGGAAGCCGAGGTGGGTGGACCACGAGATCAGGAGATTGAGACCATCCTAGCTAACACGGTGAAACCCGTCTCTACTAAAAATACAAAAAATTAGCAGGGCATGGTGGCACATGCCTATAGTTCCAGCTACTTGGGAGGCTGAGGCAGAAGAATCACTTGAACCCGGGAGGCAGAGGTTGCAGTGAGCCGAGATCGCACCACTGCACTTCAGCCTGGGTGACAGAGCGAGACTCTGTCTCAAAAAAAAAAAAAAAAAAAAAAAAAAAAAAAAAAAAAAAAAAATTATCAAGGTGGAGATCATGAAAATGGCATGAATAGTGTGGGATTTCTCTAAGATTGTTGATATTAATTCCATTAGACTCTTATGTGAGTGAAGACGAAGACTTCCCCTGAGTAAGTTCAGACAGCTTGTGATAACATTTCTACGTCGATTCCTCAGGATTTAACTATATATTCTTGAAAACATCTCAATTTTAAATGTTTCTTTCAAGATGGTGAATTAAACAGAGATAGCCCTTCAACAGGTTGAACTCAGCATATGCTGAGTCTGAAATGGAAATGATGAAGTTAGAGAACCATACAACAATGGTAATGATTTCAGAAACATGGTGTTGAGCAGAACAAAGCAGACACAAAAGAGTACCTATGGCATGGCATGCATCTGTATACGCGAAATTCCAGAATAAGCAAGCTAACCTATGATAAGAAAGAGACTGGCTGGGAAGACTGAGAGTTCACTTTCTGGGGTGACATAATAGTGTAGATCTTGGCTGGGCATGGTGGTTCACGCCTGTAATCCCAACGCTTTGGGAGGCCGAGGCGGGCGGATCACCTGAGGTCGGGAGTTCAAAACCAGCCTGACCAACATGGAGAAACCCTATCTCTACTAAAAATACAAAATTAGCTGGGAGTGGTGCCACATGTCTGTAATCCCAGCCACTCGGGAGGCTGAGGCAGGAGAATCGCTCGAACCTGGGAAGCAGAGGTTGCGGTGAGCTGATATTGCCCCATTGCACTCCAGCCTGGGCAACAAGGGAGAAACTGTCTCAAAATAAATAAATAAATAAATAAAATAATGTAGATCTTGAAAGGGGGTTGGTTTATGCTGGTGTATGTACTTTCTAAAGTTAGTAAACTTACACTTAAGGTTATATATTTTGGCCAGGCGCGGTGGCTCACGCCTGTAATCCCAGCACTGGGAGGCTGAGGCAGGCAGATCACGAGGTCAAGAGATGGAGACTATCCTGGCGAACATGGTGAAACCCCGTCTCTACTAAAAATACAAAAAATTAGCCGGGCGTAGTGGCGGGCGCCTGTAGTCCCAGCTACTTGGGAGGCTGAGGCAGGAGAATGGCGTGAACCCGGGAGGCGGAGCTTGCAGTGAGCCGAGGTCCCGCCACTGCACTCCAGCCTGGGCGACAGAGCGAGACTCCGTCTCAAAAAAAAAAAAAAAAAAAAAAAAAAAAATTAGCCAGGCGTGGTGGTCTACTAAAAATACAAAAATTAGCCAGGCGTTGTAATCTGAGCTACTCAGGAGGCTGAGGCAGGACAATTGCTTGAACCCCAGAAGCGGAGGTTGCAGTGAGCCGAGATCTTGCCACTGCACTCCAGCCTGGGCGACAGAGTGAGACTCTGTCTATAAAAAAAAAAAAAAAAAAAAAAAAAAGTCATCAAACCAGATGACACAAATCAAATGACATTTCACTTTGTTTTGGTCCATTTTCTTTGTTAAAAACAAGAGTGCAGCGGGGCCATCTCGGCTCACTGCAACGTCCAGCTCCTGGGCCCAAGCGATCCTCCCACCTCAGCCTCTCCAGTAACTGGGATAACAGGTACGCACCACCAGGCCCGACTAATCTTTATTGGAATTTTTTGTAGAGATGGGGTTTCGCTATGATGCCCTGGCTAGTCTTCAACTCCTGGACTCAAGTGATCTGCCCACCTCGGCCCCCTAAAGTGCTGGGATTACAGGCCTGAGCTGTGTAATTTCATGCCACGTGATACAGCCCAGTAAAAAGGAAGAAACCCCACGGGTCCAGCGTCTACTCACAGAGATGCACTGATGGCTGATAAATTCCAGTAGGAGCCCAAAGAGGAGCCAAAAGAGCATCCACCGCACCCGCATGTCCTGGTCCTTTCAGGGCGCCCTGAGGCGGCCAGGACAGAGGTGGAGGTGGCTTAGGGCAGGGGGGAGGGAAGGGGACGGGGACCGGGGCCGGATCTGAGTTGGGGAGGGGGAGGGGAGGGGGAGGGGAGGGGGAGGGGAAGGGGAGGGGAAGGGGGGAAGTAAGGGAAGGGAAAGGAGGAGAAGGGGGCTGTTGGGCACCTGGAGGAGGTGGAGGAGGAGGAGGAGAAGAAGAAAGGGGTCTGGGAAAGGATCCGGTTCAAATTAAGTTCTCAAGCGCTGGTGGAAGGTTTAGCTACAGGTCACGGAGAAGATCAGGGAAGCAACAGGACACGCGGGGCAAGGGAGCGTGAGGCTTAGGAGCAATCAGAGGGAGACAAAAAGGTTCTGCTATCCACCAAACCTTCTTCGGTCTGGGCCCTCCCTTACCAACCCTGGGGCTTTATACTCCCTCTCCACCAATCCCTGATGACCCCGGTGGTGCCTCACAATGGACAGTGCCTCACAATGGACAATGCCAAGTAGCGCCCGCATCATTCCAATGACCCCTCCCCCATCTCAGTCTCCCACACTCCTCCCAAAGACAGGTCCTCTCTGGAACCTTCACAAACCTGATTTCTGGTCCTCCCCAACCAGCTCCCTGTCCCTGCTTCTGGGCGCTCCTTCCTTCCTGAGCTCCCAGGGTTCCTCAAGGTCACTTATGGCGACAAAACATAAAAAACAAATGATGGCAGGATGGCAGGAAGAACCTCATACCCAAGCAGAGTGCCAGGTTTTACAGCCTCCGCTCAGCCATTCATATCCTAAGCAACAAAACATCAGCAGGGTGCGGAAGGTCCCGATAGTAAACCATCTCCATCACATCCATGTAGCCATCCGTCCATCAACCTGTATCTCAGGAACAAATGTAGATACATTCATTTTAAGCATGCCTGGTACATTTACAAAAATTAACCTGACTTATTTTGTTCCAGCAAATCTCAATATATTTGAGAGCAATCAAATCACACAGCATGTTTCTGATCATATAACTGTGCTAGAAGTCAATGATTAAAAGCTAATTCAAAATTATTATTTGCTTGGAAATTCAAAGTGCCCTTATAAGACATAAACATAAGAAAGAATCCAAAATGAAACAAGATTGCCTTTCAACTCAATGATGAGATCATAACATGGCAATAAAATGTCTCCCTCTGGCCTGGGAATTCCTCTTTGTGGCACAAGGTTGTGTGATCTCAAATCACCGCTAACCCACCTAGACATTTTAACATCCGAAACCGAGTGATGACGTCCTTATCTATATCATCTTACTGCCTGTGTGTGTGGACTTTAAATTCTGAACCCAAATGAGGGGGAGAAAACCAAGTTGACTTTCATGACTGAGCTCTCAGGGACGTCCAAGGAATCTGTGCATTTCAAGAAACAAAGTTCATCAGCTTCTCTCCTAAGGTATTTGCCCACAATACCCAGAGGGCTTGGCAGCATCATGTGTGATGGGTGGGGAGCTCCAAGCAGGTGGGCAGGACCCAGGGGCCTGGTGACCAGGACAGACCCCCACTGTCCATCACCTTTCCTGGCCCTGTCCTCTGCTAAACTTCCCACAGGCCTTCTGCCCGATCACACAGAGTATGCCCAAACTCTCTCAGGCCTCTGGCAGCTGAAAACCACTGCTTTAAATCCCTTTACCATTTACTATGACATAAGGTTATTGTAAACAGGAAATATTCTATTGATGCTACAAATGGAAAGCCAATGCCTTTACCATAAATAGAAAAACAACCCTAAGAAGCAAGCAAAACAAAAACAAAACAGGGGCTGGGTGTGGTGGCTCACGCCTGTAATCCCAGCACTTTGGGAGGCCGAGGTGGGCGGATCACAAGGTCAGGAGTTCCAGACCAGCCTGGCCAATATGGTGAAACCCTGTCTCTAATAAAATACAAAAATTAGCCGGGTGTGGTGGTGGGCGCCTGTAGTCCCACCTACTTGGGAGGCTGAGGCAGGAGAATAGTTTGAACCCGGGAGGCAGAGTCTGCAGTGAGCCGAGATTGCACCACTGCACTCCAGCCTAGGCGACAGAGCGAGACTCTGTCTCAAAAACAGCAACAACTACAAACAAAAAACAGGGTTAACAAAAGTATGGAATTCAATTCTTTTTATATGCTGCAGCCATGTTCCTGCCCTAGATTTGGCTGGGCATGGTGGCTCACGCCTGTAATCCCAGCACTTTGGGAGGCTGAGGCAGGCGGATCACGAGGTTAGGAGTTCGAGACCAGCCTGACCAACATGGTGAAACCCCGTCTCTACTAAAAATACAAAAATTAGCCAGGCATGGTGGCACACGCCTGTAATCCCAGCTACTCAGGAGGCTGAGGCAGGACAATCCCTTGGACCCGGGAGGCGGAGGTTGCAGTGAGCCGAGATCGTACCATTGCACTCCAGCCTGGGTGACAGAATGGAATGAGACTCTGTCTCAAAAAAAAAAAAAAAAAAAAGCAGCCCTAGATTTCGGTTGTGGTGGTTGTAAAAGGAGAGACCAAGTAAGTGGGGGTTGAAGTCAGATTAGAGCAAAAGTGAATGGCAGAGAGTACTATAATGTCCATGAAGGGCTGCTAGAGTCACCGTGATCATAGCCCAAGCAGAGATAGGGAAAGGAAGATGTGAGCAGAGTTTGGGGTCTCGAACAATGGAGGTTATTCGTGCAGCCCAGGAAAGGCTCCCCAAAGCCAGGATCAACCTCCCTTGGAGGCGGTCCCTCATGGAGGCATGGTCAGGCACCTTAGATTTGAGACCAGCTATGTTGCTGCTGACCAGCTGTGTGACCCTGGGCTGGTTTCCTTCCACACAATGGGAGTGCCAATGGCTGCATGCATGCAAAGACCGTCTGAGGATAGGAGGAAGCAATCTGTTGAGCACCCGTGTACCTGAGTGTCATCACCTCCCAAGGGCATCCTTCGTTCCAGAGCTGGCACCTTGGAAGGCCCTTGGTCACTGAAGGCAGTGATGATGGTAACAGCAGTAAATCATCATTTACGGCTGATGAGGGAAGGCCAGGGGTAGGGCTCCTAGGTCCTGGATAAGAATGAGGGTCTGGGCACTCCTGGGGACAGCTGAGTGGTAGGACTCCTGGGTCCCCAGGGGGCAGGTCCATCTTCAGTGGCATTGGGCCTAGGCTGGGATGCTGAGTTATCCACTGGAGCATCAGCAGTACAGGCAGGCACAGAGGCAGTGGATCCATCGGAGGTGGCAGGTGTAGGATCGTCTGGTGAGCAAGTAGAGTCACCAAATCTGGCTGACCACTACCCCCACTACCCCCACTATCCCCACAGACGATGCCCTGTCCCTTGCCTCATGCTCCGGCAGGGTACAGGCTCGCACCTGGGGCCTCAAGGAGCATCTCTCTAAGACCTCTGTGTCCTGGTCATTGAATGGGCACTTGAGTCACCCAGGGCCATTGGAACAAAGAGGAAGAATCAGGCCCCACGATGTTTTGGGAGAGTGTTTAGCACAGGAAAATGCGCAGAATACACGCACGACACGGGGGCACTGTCAGTGTGGGAGCAATGGTTTACAACCTCCAGCCCTAATCTGAGCACTCTCACCTGTGCAATCTGAAAGGAACAGGAGACTTGCAGGAAAGACAGTGCCTGGATTTAACTTAAAGGAACTAAAAATGTTGGAATTTTTACTCTTGATATCCTTCCAAATCAACTCTCTCAATGTTCCCATCCTCAAAACTATCATATGGGGTAACTGAGGCAGTCAGAGATTTACTGACTCAATGTCACTCAATTGATTCTGAGTTCACTGCTGATTACATCCGACCAAACTGCTTTTTCTGAAGTCTACTCCGTTTAATCATGCTGGTGATGATTTTGTGCGGCTCTGGGACAAACTCCACCTGGCTGAAGATAAAGCAAATCTGCGGTGACTTAGTCCTCCTGTCATTTCCCATCAGTTCCCCACTCTCCTCCTCTGCCCCTCCACAGTCTCCCATGCAGGCTGACACCATATGACGGCCTTAATGGAGTCCACCGAGTATTTCAGGTTCTCTCCTGGGCCACTTGAAAGTGGATGTACCCATGGGATTTGCTTTGACCCAGGAGATGTGCGTGGAAGTGAAGCGTGTCACCTCGAGGCAAAAGAGTTGGGAGCCATTGAGACGGGCCACTCTCTCCTTCATCTCTTAGAGCAGCTGACAGCTCCCATATGGAGGCTGCTCCTTTATTCTCGTGGCAGGATGAGGGCATGTGGGGCACAGGGCACAGGAGAGCCATGGAGGATGTGCAGCATGGGCAGGAAAAGAGCCTTCAGTGGTGTACATTTCCATAGTTTGGGGCTGTTTCTTACCTACAGTGATACCTAGCCCATCCTAGCAGGCATGCACCATCTACTCCACACTCTGTGATGCAGACTAGCCTGCCGTCAGAACACGAACTGGTGGTCAGACACAGGTAGGTTTCAGTTCCAGCTCTGCCTCTTATTGACTGCAACCTCAGGCTTAACTTTCAGTCTCTGAGCCTCAGTTTCAACTCTGTAAAATGAGGTGGCTATACCATCTCAGGTTGCAGAGAGAATTAAATGAAATATAAGTGCATGTAGAGCATTGAACCCAGGGCCTGGCACACACAGTGAGTACACAATGTTAGCCAGGTAGCTTCATAATGCATACTGATTGTCAATATTCAGACAATGCAGTAAAGTGTTACCAAAAATAAAAGTAAACTTATTTGCATATGTATTCTTTCAATCTTTATTTTTAAACAGGGTAAAACTATGCATATTCTTTCATAGCCAGTGTTTTTCTCTTCATAGTATATTGTTAAAATAATTTTACTTGGACCGGGTGCAGCGGCTCACACCTATAGTCCCAGCACTTTGGGAGGCCGCGGTGGGCAGATCACGAGGTCAGGAGTTGACACGAGCCTGGCCAATATGGTGAAACCCCATCTCTACTAAGAATACAAAAATTAGCTGGGCATGGTGGCACACACCTGTAGTCCCAGCTACTCAGAGGCTGAGGCAGAGGAATTGCTTGAACCCGGGAGACAGAGGTTGCAGTGAGCCAAGATTGTGCCATTGCACTCCAGCCTGGGGGACAGAGTGAAACTCTGTCTCAAAAAATATGTGTGTGTGTGTGTGTGTGTGTGTGTGTGTGTGTGTGTGTGTATCTATATAAATCTCAAAAATAAAAGATCATTTTTGAGATTATCATTTTAAAAGACAAGATAATGTTCAACTTAATGACTAATTTAATTATTACTATTGGACTTTTTGTAGACTGCACAGAGCATTCAAAACAAATGAAGGAGAATAAAAAATATGTATTACATGTTATAAAATAAATGTGATGTGGTTAACTCTTTTATTCAAAGTTATAGAACATACATATGTACTATAGAATGTATTATTATGAGTCATGTTAAAAAGTAGTTTAGAAGCTGTTGATTTGAATTTCCTTTTCAAATTTTGCAGGATAATTTTTTTTTTTTTTTTTTGACAGAGTCTCGCTCTGTCGCACAGTCTGGAGTGCAATGGCGTGATCTCGGCCCACTAAAACCCCCACCTCCTGAATCTAAGCAATTCTCCTGTCTCAGCCTCCTGAGTAGCTGGGACTACAGGCTCACACCACCATGCCCGGCTAATTTTTGTATTTTTAGTAGGGACGAGGTTTTGCCATATTGGTCAGGCTGGTCTCAAAGTCCTGGCCTCCGGTGATCCACCAGCCTCAGCCTCCCAAAATGCTGGGATTAGAGGCATGAGTCACCATGCCCAGCCTAAACTTGGCAAGATAATAAATCACCTTTTTAAGTGTCGTTGGGCACTTGTCTGGTTGTTTTTCTTTAGGTTACCATGCCAGCAATGATTCCTTTTGAGTTTCTGACAGAAGATAGTGGTTTTCATCCAAATAAGTCAACTACTCTACCCCATCCCTAAGCCACTTGTATGGAAAGAAAAAGAGGAAGAAGCCAGTACTGTGACTGCGTAAGCTTCCCCCAGCATCACCGGCTATGAGATGTGTGGCAGCTGAGACCCGGGAACTGCTCAAGGGCACCAGGCCCCATCTGTCTGCACTCACTCACCTTCCTCAGGTACTCGCATGGGCATGTCACTGACTTTACATGCTGCTGCAGCTCCTTGGTGAGCTGGCCCTGGTCATGGGACAGGAACTGTGGGGTCAGGACAATAGAGAGCTTCACCATTTGCAGAATGAGAACAGGGGCTCATGATGAGTGCCAACCTATTAGATAATTTAAAAAAAAAAGTGTTGAATGAGTGGAAAAACAAGGTGATGTTTGAGTCTATAGTGGTCAAGGGCTTCAGAAAAGGACAGAACCAAGTTCAAATTCCTGTACTTTGAATTTCTACTTCATGCCATGCAAAATTACTTTACCCCTTTTAACCTCAGTTTTCTTCTGTGTGAAACAGGAACAATAGTTTCATTCGTCATTCAGTTTCTCTCAAGATTTCACGAGATCATACCTATAAAACATCCAAGTCATTTAAATGTATCATCATTTCTGTCATAATTAGTGGGATCCATTTCACTATTATTGGATATACAGTTCTGTGCCTGAAACCTACAAAAAAACAAAATGTTAAGTCTAAAAAGCATTAGTGATTTCTCATTTTTATATTACTAATTATAACCCTATTTAATCACACAAGGCCTTGTCCGCGGCAGGTGCTCAATAAACACTTGTCGAATCAATGCATGTGGGCTCCGGAGCCACACTGTTTAGATTCTATTCTGCCTCCACCACTTATCAGCTGTGTGATCTGGGTAAGATAATTCACCTCTTTATGTCTGCACTTCCCTCTCCATAAACTATATATAATGAGAATCCTTAGCTCATTCGGTTGTGGTGAGGGGTGAATGATTTGGCACACAGGAGGGGCTTGTTAAACATTAGCTGTGATGATCTCCTTCCAAATCTTCATTTTCAGAGCCACAGATGAGGCCATAGTGCAACCAGGTGACCTTAGAGTGTAAGTACACATGATCGCCAGCTATGCTCTATCTCCACCATAGGTCCAAGACTGGGTAGTTCTGGCCTGGAGGTTTCTGCTGCATCTGCCTTCTCAGTGTTCACCTAAGGACTTTTGTATTTTCCTCCTCACATCCCCACAGATGGGGTTCAGGCTGCCGGACACAGCTGGGTGATGCCAGGGCAGTGGTCACCTGTGCCAGCCCCGTGAGGTAGCTGGAGGATCATTGTTCCTTCCTTCTCGGGCTCTGGGCAGATGCCAGGGCTGGGGTGACCCATGCCCTCAAGTTTCTTGCTTTGGTGGGCCACATTTTCCCTTGGCAAAGAGGGTAAAGGTCACAGGATGCCGGAGAGCTGTGACTTCTCTGTGCCCTGGGCCCAAACTATGAAGACCTGACACACTATGCTAAAAGTCCAACGCTGGGTGCTCCCCAGAGCTTCTTGCCTCACCGCTTCTGCTGAGGGAGGAATGAATACTATGTCCTCCCAGAGCTTTGGGAGCTTGTAGCAAGCAGCCTCCCCAGCGCAAAATCTCTTGGAAACCTCTAACTGTGTCTGAAACATTAGTGCAAATGTTGCATCCTATTTCCCATATGTCCGCATGTTTTAGAAAAAAACCCTCAATTTCCTAAATATGCAAGAAAAATCGGTATTGTAGGACAATGTGACTTTTTAAAAAATGTTATTTAAAAATCTTCCCCACCTCCTTTTCTGCCCTCCAAGACTGCCAAATACTTGTTGAACATATATTATTAAATGCCTACTACATGCCAGCCATGATTCATGGTCTTGGGGACACAGCAGAGAACGAACTGACAGGACTCCTCTCTTATGTAACTCACATTCTTATATGATAATGATAAGGGTTAACATTAATTAAGCTGTCACTGCATGTTAGTCACGGTGCAGTCATTCCCACACATTATTACACTTAAACCTGCTAGCAAGCTTGCAAGGTAGTTAGTTGTTTTTCCTTTAAAAACTGAGTCTCGGAATGATGAAGCACTCTGTCCAATGTCACACAGCTAGTAAGTGTGGAGACCTTGCATCCAATCAATGCCCGTCTCATTCTAAAGGCCATGTTATGTGTTCTCCAGCCCATGGAGAATAATTTTAACACAGTCAATGAAATTTCTACACAACAATGTTCTTGTCTCAAGTCCAAGAATGCCTCCTACACCTCCTATAATACTGGCTTTCTGGTGAGTAAAGATGCCATTCTCATGTGTAATCAGGTGGCAAATGGAGATATGACCAAAGTAACCACCTGCCTACACTCATAACCCTGTACACACTCTTCCTGTGTCGATTCAATTCAAGTACCCCTTTTGATCACTTAGCAAATCTGACCTTTAAAAGGGTTAGGGTTTTTATATCCATGTAAGTTTCTGTATTGCTTTGGAAGTCTCTGGTTAAATTAATACTCTTTTAATAGTGACCTGTGATTCTGTTTTGATCAAGTGTTTTCAAACTTGACATCTTTGATGGGTTTCTCCAGTGTCAAAATCCTAAATCAAGTCTTTTTGGCTTAAAACTAACTTTGGGATTTTTTTCAGCTGCATCCCTTGGGGAGTCTAAAGAATGTATCTCTCATCTTGTAGAGGTATTAAGTGATTCGATTTATTTGGTAGATTAAATGGGCAGGCATTGTCAAATGTGGCGATACTGCATGGGAGGGCACTGTCAAGTGAGGTGACATTAGATCTCATCTCAGTTATATTTATGGGTATGTTGTTGATATGCGTGTTCCAAAAATTGCATACATTTATACAAATTTAATATGATTTGTAATTTTGATAGTTATGCTAAATATTTGCTAAAGTTATATTTGTATAAACATGTCACGAATGGCTGGGCACCGTCACTCATGCCTGTAATCCCAGCACTTTGGGAGACAAAGGCACGTGGATCACCTGAGGTCGGGAGTTCCAGACCAGCCTAATAGAGTGAAACCCTGTCTCCACTAAAAATACAAAAATTAGCCATGCCTGGTGGCACATGCCTGTAATCTCAGCTACTCGGGAGGCTGAGACAGGAGAACTGCTTGAACCCAGGATGCGGAGGTTGTAGTGAGCCGAGATCATGCCACTGCACTCCCGCCTGGGTGACAAAGGTAGAATCTATCCAAAAAAAAAAAAAAAGTTATTATTTCTGAAGATTGTATGAAATTTATAAAAGTCTGCTGGCCCTGATATGATGCTGTCAGTCATGATTCTGATTACTGTCTTAAAATGCTGCACATAAGTAATTAAATTTCCTTGTGAACTGGGAAGTTTCATCAGACTTTTATCATAACTATTGTTTCCATCATCCACAGTTACTGTTTTGAATTCTTCTCTAAAAATATTTGTAATTGGCAATAGTCCAAATTTTCTTTTGTTTTCTTTCCTGTTTTTGAGACACAGTCTGGCTCTGTCGCCTAAGCTGGAGTGCAGTGGTGGGATCTCGGCTCACTGCAAACTCTGCCTCCCGGGTTCACGCCATTCTCCTGCCTCAGCCACCCAAGTAGCTGGGACTACAAGTGCTGCCACCACATCCAGCTAATTTTTTGTATTTTTAGTAGAGACAGGGTTTCACTGTGTTAGCCAGGATGGTCTCAATCTCCTGACCTCGTGATCTCCGCGCCTCGGCCTCCCAAAGTGCTGGGATTACAGGTGTGAGCCACCGTGCCCAGCCTAATTTTTGCATTTTTAGTAGAGAGGAGGTTTCACCATGTTGGCCAGGGTGGTCTCGATCTCCTGACCTTGTAATCCGCCTGCCTCAGCCTCCCAAAGTGCTGGGATTACAGGCGTGAGCCACTGCAACTGACTTTTTTTCTTTTTTTTTTTTTTTTTTTTTGAGACAGAGACTCACTCTGTCACCCAGGCTGGAGTGCAGTGGCATGATTTTGGCTCACTGCAACCTCCACCTCCTGAGTTCAAACAATTATCCTGCCTCATCCTTCGGAGTACCTGGGATTACAGGTGCGTGCCACCGTGCCCGGCTCATTTTTGTATTCTTAGTAGAGACGGCATTTCACCATGTTGGCCAGGCTGGTCTCAAACTCCTGGCCTCAACTGATCCACTCTCATTGGCCTTCCAAGGTGCTGGGATTATAGGCGTGAGCCACCACAACTGGCTCAGTAAATACATTTTTTATTATCAAAAAAGAGTAGTGTATGGTTGGCGTATTCTGTGTAGAATGTATTTTATTGATGTCTCCTATTTTTATAATTTCTGAGTTAAGTACTTTTTAATTAATGCTTTTTAGTTTTGGGCAGATTCAGTTGACTAAAGCACCTCATTTCCCAGATACATGAAATAAAATATTTGGCTTCTTTTCCAATTTCACACTGATGTTATTTTGTGAAAATCAGTGCTTTAAGATAAATCGTTATACGTTAAGATAAACATGAGAAACTTGATCTAATATTTAATAGTTATTCAGTTCTACACTTTATTAACTTCTACACCAGCAGATTTAGACATTATGTAACCATCTCAAGAAGTTTCACTTGGATGTAATGCTTCACGCTTGTAATCCCAGCACTTTAGGAGGCTGAGGTGGGAGGACTGCTTAAGGCAAGGAGTCTGAGACCAGCCTGGGCAATACAGCAAGATCCCATCTCTATTTTAAAGAAAAGTTTCACTTTGGGAGGCCAAGGCGGGTAGATCACAAGGTCAAGAGATCGAGACCATCCTGGCTAACATAGTAAAACCCCATCTCTACTAAAAATATAAAAAATTAGCCGGGCGTGGCGGTGGGCACCTGTAGTCCCAGCTACTCGGGAGGCTGAGGCAGAAGAATGGCGTGAACCCGGGAGGCAGAGCTTGCAGTGAGCTGAGATTGCGCCACTGCACTCCAGCCTGGGCGACAGAGCGACACTCCATCTCAAAAAAAAAAAAAAAAAAAAGTTTCGGCAAATTCCATCTAAGAATTCCACCAGAGTTCTGTTGTCTCCAATGTCATCTTCCACAGATTTCAAGTTGTGAAGCCCTGAACTGTTAATTTATCTTGAGAATGTATATTTAAGCTTAATTTAAGACTATATACCTAAAAATTGAGCATGTAATTTCTATAATTTGTTTATGTAAGTTTCTGTAAGTCATAAGTATGTGGTTTCCAAGTGTATAATTTATCTGAATGTAATAGGCATTAATATATTTTACATTACTGGGACCATAGTACAGAAATTTCTAAATGGTTTGTAAAATAACTTGTTATTTGTGTTGTTGTAAAAGCAGTTAATACAATGGAAAAACTCGTAATAAGAAGATACAGTTTAACATCAAAAAGTTTACCCAAGGTAATTATGAGTACTACCTGGCAAAACTTCACGGAAGCTGTGGTATCACTTTTATGATGGAAGAATGGTGTTTGCATTTTGTGTAAAAGTACTTGCGGCTGGGCGTGGTGGCTCATGTCCCAGTGCTTTGGGAGGCGAAGGCAGGTGGATCATCTGAGCCCAGGAGTTTGAGACCAGCCTAGGCAACGTGGCAAGAGCCTGTCTCTCCAAAACCTACAAAATTTAGCCAAGCTTGGTGGTGTGAGCCTGTAGTCCCAGCTACTTGGGAGACTCACGCTGGAGGATCTCTCGAGCCCAGGAGGCAGAAGATGAATAAATAAATGGAAGCAACTGAATGGGATGAGGTCTCTCTTGAAGGAGAGAGCAAAAGAGATTTAAATAGTAACAATTATAATAAGGCTGGGCGCTGTGGCTCACGCTTGTAATCCCAGAACTTTGGGAGGCCAAGGCAGGCGGATCGGTTGAGGTCAGGAGTTCAAGACCAGCATGGCCAACACGGTGAAACCCTGTCTCTATTAAAAATACAAAATTAGCCGGACATGGTAGTGCGTGCCTGTGGTCTCGGCTACTCAGGTGGCTGAGACAGGAGAATCGCTTGAACCTGGTAGGCACAGGTTGTAGTGAGCCGATAAATATAAAAAGTATTAGAGTACTAACAGAGGAAAGTTTCCACTGATCACCTTTTAGCTTTAAATAATGCAGAAGCATTTGCCCAGTTTACTTGTAATTAAAAATCATGCATCATTCACAATTTATATCTTTTTTGTTTGTACAAAAATGAACACAAGTTATTCTCTTTTATCTGTATTGTGATTGGTTTGGTGAGAGGGAATTAGGCCACTTGAGAGTTTGTGTGTGTTTACAATTTTCTGGCCAGGCACGGTGGCTCATGCCTGTAATCCCAGCACTTTGGGAGGCCAAGGCGGGCGGATCACTTGAGCTCAGGAGTTCGAGACCAAATTGGGCAACATGGTGAAACCCTATCTCTACGAAAAATACAAAAATTAGCTGAGTGCCGTGGCTTGCGCCTGTCCTCCCAGCTACTTGGGGGGCTGAGGCAGTAGGATCGCTCAAGCCCAGGAGGTGGAGGTTGCAGTGAGCCAAGATCACGTCACTGCACTCCAGGAAGGGCAACAGAGCAAGACTCCTTCTAAAAAAAAAAAAAAAGAAAGAAAGAAAAGAAAATTAACTTTGGTATTTCAGGTTGTATTTAAATGGAGACTTAACATGAACTATGTTCATAACACTTGACCAAATTAAGTGTAGATCGTCTCTTTAATAAAGAGATCATCTGGAACTGCAATTTCTAACTCATACATCACTGCTACAAACCTTATTTGTTTACTGTTTCTCTTCCAAGGACCATCAGTCATCCTTTAAAATTCATTTCAAGCTCTGAAAAGATATTTTTTGTTACATGGGCAATTTACTTTTAGTACAGTAAAATGTTATGTGAATTTCTACAGTATGTTTGCCAAAATGAATTATATCTAGAATACGCTTAACAACATATTCTGGAGGCAGCTTTCATTTGAAATTAGGTTCACCTTCTGAGAGTATGAAAAAGTTAATGGGTTTTTGTGCCTGAAGATTTTGATGTTGCATTTGGCTACATTTAATCCACTTTCACCCATAAGTTTTAGCATCTAAAAAAATTAAATCACTGCTAATGCAATTAAAATGCATTATGAAATGCATTTCTGTCCAGGCTGGAGTGCAGTGGCACAATCTCGGCTCACTGCAAGCTCCGCCTCCCTGGTTCACACCATTCTCCTGCCTCAGCCTCCCTAGTAGCTGGGACTACATGTGCCCGCCACCACGCCCGGCTAATTTTTTTTTTTTTTTTTTTTAATGAGGCGGAGTCTCGCTCTGTTGACCAGGCTGGAGTGCAATGGCATGATCCTGGCTCACTGCAACCTCTGCTTCCTGGGTTCAAGTGATTCGCCTGCCTTGCTGGGATGACAGACGTGCACCACAATGTCCGGCTAATTTTGTATTTTTAGTAGAGACATGGCTTCACCATACTGGCCAGGCTGGTCTTGAACTTCTGACCTCAGGTGATCCCACCTTGGCCTCCCAAAGTGCTGGGATTACAGGCATGAGCCACTGTGCCCAGCTTAAGATCTCTGTTTTAATGTTAATGCTGGTCAGTTGTGTCTGGATTCCAGAGGGAGGAAGGTAGAATGAGGCATGTTGACACCTCCCCTTCCCATCATGGCCTAAGCTGGTCTTTTCAGTTTACTTTGGAATGTCCTTGCTCAACAGGAAGGGTCCATTCAGTCGGATTGGGTGGCTTAGAATTTTATTTTTGGTTTACATCTCAACTATCACAGCAGCCGGGCGCGGTGGCTTCACAGCTGTAATCCCAGCACATTGGGAGGCTGAGGCAGGGGTATCACCTGAGGTCTGGAGTTCTAGACCAGCCTGACCAACATGGAGAAACCCCCCGTCTCTACTAAAAATACAAAATTACCCGGGCGTGGTGGTACATGCCTGTAATCCCAGCTACTCGGGAGGCTGAGGCAGGAGAATCGCTTGAACCTGGGAGGCGGAGGTTGTGGTGAGCTGAGATCGTGCCACTGCACTCCAGCCTGGGCAACAAGAGCGAAACTCTGTCTTAAATAAATAAATAAATAAATAAACAAACAAACAAACAAACAAACTATCACAGCATAAAGTAGGAATATTTCGTTACTGTCTAGTTAAACTGGTTAATGCAGAAAGGAAGTCTGGTAATTCCAGTTTTAAAGTAAAATTTTGGACATTGTAGGATTGATTATTTGGCATAGTTGTGATGTTTGTTCCTGCGTTATGGTTTTGTTGGCAGGGCAGCCTTTAAGGACCTGTATATTTTCTTCTAGACTCTATATATTCCCTGTGAGTATTAGTTGTATGGTCAAACTGGCAAATTTTACCATAGGTATAAATAATAGAGAATGTGGAAGAATAGTGAATAGTGTCAGAGATAGTTAAAAGTCCATACAATAGTAGAGAAGGTAGTAAGTAATAGTGGCTTGGACTAAATATTTGTTGAATAAATGTTTTAAAAAACAGGCTACCTACAATTTGTGTTGAAGATATGAATGAATGAAGTTTCCACACCTTTATGTGGAGACCTGATAAGTAAGCAACAATAAGGAAGGGTCCCCAGGTTGGGGAGAGCCCCAAGTTGAGAACAATAATGAACAATTATTGTATGAACAATTGTTAGAGACAGCTAATCACAAACAACCTGCGGGCACAATGACCTCATTCCACACGTAGCACCCTTCAGCAGGACCCTATAAAACTTTCCTCCAGCCCTTGCCTCTTTGCAGGTAGCCCCTTCTCTGCTGAGCTGCCCACTGCAACATATTTTCACAATTTCTCTAATAAATCTGCCCTTCTTTACCCACAACTATCTTGGTAAATGGCTTTACCACCTGCAAAACTGACCCTAGGTTGTTGCTACCCGATATGGTTTGGCTGCGTCCCCACCCAAATTTCATCTTGAATTGTAGTTCCCATAATCCCCATGTGTCGTGGGAGGGACCCGGTAGGAGGTAATCGAATCATGGGGGCAGGTTTTTCCCATACTGTTCTCGTGATAGTGAATACATCTCACTAAATCTGATGGTTTTATAAAGGGCAGTTTCCCTGCACGTGCTCTCTTGCCTGCTGCCATGGAAGACATACCTTTTTGCTCCTTCTTTGCCTTCCACCATGATTCTGAGGCCTCTCCAGCCTTGTGGAACTGTGAGTACATTAAACCTCTTTTTCTTTATAAATTACCCAGTTTCCAGTATTTCTTCATAGCAGTATGAAAAGTAACTAATACACTACCCGAGACATCTTAGGAGATTTGTAATAGCTGTAATGCCAGGTCCACCATATTTTTAGCATAAAGCAAATGTTTACGCGTGATATGACTGCACGGGCTTTCTTTCAGCTGGAGCCATAGCAACTCAAGTAGTAACCCTATCTTAGTCTGATTAAAAGTAAATATTAGTCTGGGCATGGTGGGACATGCCTGTAATCCCAGTACTTTGGGAGGCTGAGACAGAAGGATTGCTTGAGCCCAGGAGTTTGAGACCAGCCTGGGCAACATGGAAAAACACCATCTCTACAAAAAATACAAAAATTAGCTGAGCTGGTGGCACACACCTGTAGTCCCAGCACCTTGGGAGGGTGAGGCAGGAGGATCTCTTGAACCCGGGAGGTGGAAGCCGCAGTGGGCAATGATCATGTCAGAGGTGTGTGAACCAGAGCAACTCCATCTTAAATAGGAGCCGGGAAAAATGAGGCTGAAACTACTGGGCTGCATTCCCTGATGGTTAAGGCATTCTAAGTCACAGGATGACATAGAAGGTCAGCACAAAATACCAGTCATAAAGACCTTGCTGATAAAACAGGTTGCAGTGAAGGAGCTGGCCAAAACCCACCAAAACCAAAATAGAGACAAGACTGACCTCCCATCATCCTCCCTGCTACACTCCTACCAGCACCATGACAGTTTACAAATGCCACGGCAACATCAAGAAGTTACCCTATATGGTCTAAAAAGAGGAGGCATGAAAAATCCACTCCTTGTTTAGCATATCATCAACAAATAACCATAAAAATGGGCAACCAGCAGCCCTCACGGCTGCTCCGTCTATGGGGTAGCCATTCTTTTATTCCTTTACTTTCTCTCTTTTTTTTTTGAGATGGAGTCTCCCTCTGTCACCCAGGCTGGAGTGCAGTGGCGCGATCTCGGCTTACTGCAAGCTTCGCCTCCCGGGTTCATCCCATTCTCCTGCCTCAGCCTCCAGAGTAGGTGGGACTACAGGCACCCGCCACCACACTTGGCTAATTTTTTTGTATTTTTAGTAGAGATGAGGTTTCACCGTGTTAACCAGGATGGTCTTGATCTCCTAACCTCGTGATCCACCTGTCTCGGCCTCCCAAAGTGCTGCGATTACAGGAGTGAGCCACCGTGCCCCTCCTCCTTTACTTTCTTAATAAACTTGCTTTCACTTCACACTGTGGCATCACCCTGAATTCTTTCTTGCACAAGATCCAAGAACCCTCTCTTGGGGTCTAGATTGGGACCCCTTTCCTGTAACTATCATGCTACTGCACTCCAGCCTGGGCAACAGAGCAAGGCCCTGTCTCAAAAAAAAAAAAGAAAAAAAAAAAAAAGGAACATGACTTAATACATTCATTTTGGAGGGTAAGTCTCTCAAAATAGGCCTTTCACTGGGGGAAAATGGTAAAAATACTCCCTGGTAATTCAAGAATTGGAGACTCCTGAGATGCTGCTCATATTAGCTGAGCACTTATCAATACTTCACTTTTTTCCATATATACTCAAGGAACAAGTGCTATTTAAAGTGTTTCACTCCACTGTGCTAGGTGCAAGACTATAAAGAGGTGTGAGGATCAACACTTTTATGAAAACCAGTGTCATTCTGGATATAGTTTCAGATGCTAGTGCAAAGGAAGCTCTTGGTATACGGAAAAAGTATTCAACAATAAATTAGGCATGGTTGCTTCCATTTTCTGCCTCACATACTTTTTTTTTCGTGGTTGAAGTGATATAATGTCTATGATATTTTAGATTGGCAGTTGCAAACTAGTGGTCCTCAGCGTGCTTTTTATGACACCTACAAGGTCTGAAGACTTTGATTTCATATTAAAAATCTGGGTTTCAGGCTGGGTGTGGTGTTGCATGCCTGTAATCCCAGCACTTTGGGAGGCTGAGGCAGGAGAATCGCCTGAACCAGGGAGGTGGAGGTTGCAGTGAGCCAAGATCGCGCCACTGCACTCAAGCTTAGGCAATAGAGCAAGACTCCATCTCAAAAAATGAATAAATAAATAAAATCTGGGTTTCAGGCCAGGTGTGGTGGTGCACTCCTGCAATCCCAGCACTTTGGGAGGCTGAGATGGGCAGACAGCTTGACCTCAGGAATTCCAGACTAGCCTGGGCAACGTGGCGAAACCCCATGTCTACAAATAATACAAAAAAATTAGCTGGGTGTAGTGGAGTGTGCCTGTAATCCCAGCAACGTGGGAGGCTGAAGTGAGAGGATTGCTTGAGCCTGGGAGGTTGATGTTACAGTGAGCTGAGATCGCCCTCCTACACTCCAACCTGGGCAACAGAGCCAGACCTTGTCTTAAAAAAAAAAAAAAAAAAAAAAAAAAAAAAAAATTCTGGGTTTCTGGCATCTCAAAAAAAAAAAAAAAAAAAAAAAGGAAAGGTCAGGGCACATGGCTGCTACAGTCCTCTATTAAGCAATGTGCCACAGCAGGGGTGCCTGACCCCTGGGCCATGGACATGTACTGGTCTGTGGCCTGTTAGGAACTGGGCCACAGAGCAGGAGGTGAATGGTGGGTAACAATTGAAGCTTCGTCTGTATTTCTGGCTGCTCCCCATTGCTTGCATTGCTGCCTGAGCTCTGCCTCCTGTCAGATCAGCAGCATCATTAGATTCTTACAGGAGCATGAACCCTGTTGTGAATTGCACACACGAGGGATCCAGGTTGCATATTCCTTATGAGAATCTAATTCCTGATGATTTGTGGTGGAACAGTTTCATCCCAAGACCATTACCATCCTGCGCCCCATCCCTTGCCGCCTGTGGAAAAATTGTCTTCCACAAAGCCGGTCCCTGGTGCCAAAAATGTTGGGGACTGCTGTGCTTTAGAATCTGCCATGAATCTGCAGCCTCTATTATATAGCTCCCTATAGACTTTGCTTCCTACCGTCTTACGTTCTGCCTTATAGGCATTTGACTTTGCAACCCTTGTTTTTGTTAGTATGCTACGCTGGTGACATTGACCAAATTGACCACACATTAATTATAAGCTTAGTTGGTGATGACCTCAACGGAATAACGTGACATAAGTATTGTGACAATACTTCTTGCATGTATCTGCAGGTGGAATTGTAAACCTGGTGGTCCGAGATGGTCTAATTCCATCTTCCTATGTATCTCCTTATATTAATAGTGGTAACATTTGTGGTGGTGATTCAGCATTTCAATGCCTCTTCTCATGGCAACAACAAACGTTTTCCTTCTGAATCAACATTAACCTAGATGTTACTGCGGATCAAAATTAGACTCTACATTTTCAACCACAGAAATACCGGGCAGTAAAAATTTTTCTTAATATTGATTGCCTACATAGGTTGTGTAATTAGCATATGTTTACAGTTCTATGATTTCTGCGTGGCTGCTACAGAGCTGGAGGGGGTAAAGCAACAGTATTTTCTCAGTTGTGCGAGCAGCATTACATTATAATAAATAGGTAATATTAAACTGGGCTGATGAGAGTTGCAAAAGACTACTTTAATGTTCATATGGAACCAAAAAAGAGCCCGCATTGCCAAGACAATCCTAAGCCCAATGAACAAAGCTGGAGGCATCATGCTACCTGACTTCAAACTATACTACAAGGCTACAGTAACCAAAACAGCCTGGTACTGGTACCAAAACAGACATATAGACCAATGGAACAGAACAGAGCCCTCAGAAATAATACCACACATCTACAACCATCTGATCTTTGACAAACCTGACAAAAACAAGAAATGCGGAAAGGATTCCCTACTTAATAAATAGTGCTGGGAAAACTGGCTAGCCCTATGTAGAAAGCTGAAACTGGATCCCTTCCTTACACCTTATACAAAAATTAATTCAAGATGGATTAAAGACTTAAATGTTAGACCTAAAGCCGTAAAAACCCTAGAAGAAAACCTAGGCAATACCATTCAGGACATAGGGATGGGCAAGGACTTCATGTCTAAAACACCAAAAGCAATGGCAACAGAAGCCAAAACTGACAAATGGGATCTAATTAAACTAAAGAGCTTCTGCACAGCAAAAGAAACTAGGATCAGTGTGAACAGGCAACCTAGAGAATGGGAGAAAATTTTTGCCATCTACTTATCTGACAAAAGGCTAATATCCAGAATCTACAAAGAACACCAACAAATTTACAAGAAAAAAAACAAACCCCATCAAAAAGTGGGCAAAGCATATGAACAGACACTTCTCAAAAGAAGACATTTATGCAGCCAACAGACACATGAAAAAATGCTCATCATCACTGGCCATCAGAGAAATGCAAATCAAAACCGCAATGAGATATCATCTCACACCAGTTAGAATGGCGATCATTAAAAAGTCAGGAAACAACAGGTGCTGGAGAGGATGTGGAGAAATAGAAACACTTTTACACTGTTGGTGGGACTGTAAACTGGTTCAACCATTGTGGAAGACAGTGTGGCGATTCCTCAGGGATCTAGAACTAGAAATACCATTTGACCCAGCCATCCCATTACTGGATACATACCCAAAGGATTATAAATCATGCTGCTATAAAGACACATGCACACGTATGTTTATCGCGGCAATATTCACGATAGTGAAGACTTGGAACCAACACAAATGTCCATCAATGATAGACTGGATTAAGAAAATGTGGCACAGATACACCATGGAGTACTATGCAGCCATAAAAAAGGATGAGTTCATGTCCTTTGTAGAGACATGGATGAAGCTGGAAACGATCACTCTCAGCAAACTATCACAAGGACAAAAAACCAAACACCGCATGTTCTCACTCACAGATGGGAATTGAACAATGAGAACACTTGGACACAGGAAGGGGAACATCACACACTGGGGCCTCTTGTGTGGTGGGGGAGGGGGAAGGGATAGCAGTAGGAGATACACCTAATGTAAATGACGAGTTAATGGGTGCAGTACACCAACATGGCACATGTATACATATGTAACAAACCTGCACATTGTGTACATGTACCCTATAACTTAAAGTATAATTTAAAAAAATAAGTAAATAAATAAATAAAAAAAGAAACAATTGCTGGCTTTGCAATTCTCTTTCCTCCAAAATCGCCAAGGCCTCAATTTACTCATTGCTGAAAAAGGACGACTCTGTATATTTTTAAATGAAGAGTGTTGTTTTTACCTAAATCAATCTGGCCTGGTATATGACAACATAAAAAAACTCAAGGATAGAGTCCAAAAACTTGCCAACCAAGCAAATAATTATGCTGAACCCCCTTGGGCACTCTCTTAATTGGATGTCCTGGGTCCTCCCAATTCTTAGTCCTTTAATACCTGTTTTTCTCCTTCTCTTATTCGGACCGTGTGTCTTCTGTTTAGTTTCTCAATTCATACAAAACCATATTCAGGCCATCACCAATAATTCTATATGACAAATGCTCCTTCTAACAACCCCACAGTATCAGCCCTTACCCCAAAATCTTTCTTCAGTTGAATCTCTCCCACTGTAGGTTCCCATGCCGCCCCTAATCCCACTCGAAGCAGCCCTGAGAAACATCGCCCATTATCTCTCCATATCACCCCCAAAAATTTTCGCCACCCCAACACTTTACCACTATTTTGTTTTATTTTTCTTATTAACATAAGAAGACAGGAATGTCAGGCCTCTGAGTCCAAGCTAAGCCATCATATCCCAGTGACCTGCACGTATACATCCAGATGGCCTGAAGCAACTGAAGATCCACAGAAGTGAAAACAGCCTTAACTGAAGACATTCCACCATTGTCATTTGTTTCTGCCCCACCCTAACTGATCAATGTACTTTGTAATCTGCCCCACTCTTAAGAAGGTTCTTTATCATCTCCCCCACCCTTAAGAAGTTTCTTTGTAATTCTCCTCACCTTTGACAATGTACTTTATGAGATCCACCTCCTGCCCCCAAAACACTGCTCTTAACTCCACCGCCTATTCCCAAATCTATAAGAACCAGTGATAATCACACCACCCTTTGTTGACTCCTTTTTCGGACTCAGCCCGCCTGCACCCAGGTGAAATAAACAGCCATGTTGCTCACACAAAGCATGTTTGGTGGTCTCTTCACACAGACACGTGAGACAGGAGTTCGAGACCAGCCTGGCCAATCTGGTGAAACTCTATGTCTCTACTAAAAATACAAAAATTAGCTGGGCATGGTGGCGGGCACCTGTAATCCCAGCTACTCGGGAAGCTGAGGCACAAAAATTGCTTGAACCCAGGAGGCAGAGTTTGCAGTGAGCCAAGATCACACTGTCAGGCCTCTGAGCCCAAGCCAAGCCATTGCATCCCCTGTGACTTGCACGTATACATCCAGATGGCCTGAAGTAACTGAAGATCCACACAAGAAGTAAAAATAGCCTTAACTGATGACATTCCACCATTGTGATTTGTTTCTGCCCCACCCTAACTCTTCAATGTACTTTGTAATCTCCCCCACCCTTAAGAAGGTACTTTGTAATCTCCCCAACCCTTAAGAAGGTTCTTTGTAATTCTCCCCACCCTTGAGAATGTACTTTGTGAGATCCACCCCTGCCTGCAAAACATGGCTCTTCACCCCCTATCCCAAAACCTGTAAGAACTAATGATAATCCACCACCCTTTGCTGACTCTCTTTTCGGACTCAGCCCGCCTGCACCCAGGTGAAATAAACAGCCATGTTGCTCACACAAAGCCTGTTTGGTGGTCTCTTCACACGGACGCGCATGAAACACACGACTGCACTTCAGGCTGGGCGACAGAGCTAGATTCCATCTCAAAAAAAATAAAATAAAAAGGAGTCACCTCCCCCGAGAGGCCTCTGGACCACCCCATCTGAGCAGGCCACTCTTCCTTCTCTATCTTACCATCTTGTTTCTGTCCCAGTAGTTAGGGCTACCTCCAGTAATCCTATTTGTCCCTTTACTGTTTAGTGCGTCTCGCTTGACTAGAAGCTCCATGAAAGCAAGAGACCCTACCTGCCTCCTTCGCCACTAGACCCCCAGGGCCTGGTATGTGGTGATCGCTCAGGGCCCATTTTCTTCCTTTCCTCCTCCTCCAAGGGTGGGGAAAGAGCATCAGAAGGTCTAGGTGGCCCCAGGCCCAAACAATGCTCCTTTAAAAGGAAACTAGATTGTTACAAAGGTCAGAGGCTGAAAAGTTATTTCCGCCTTTTATCCCTCTAAATTCTTCACTTCCTGAAAAAACAAACAAACAAAAAAGCCACTGAGGGCCCTTGGACTAAATCCAGGCCTGAGTTGCTGGGCAGAGGTCAGTCTTGTCCAGACATGGGAAAAAAATAACTCGAGTCAGACAGGTGGGTCACCACAGAACTAATCCAGCCTGCAAATGGCCTGTGCAATCTTCAGCTCTGTCCAGACCTGCCTCCCTCTGGGGATGCCTTTAAAGGTGATGAATGATCTGGATGAATGGGCTTAGAAGATAAGAGGGAAAAACAAATATCACAGGTCAAATCGTTATTTGTCTTCAAGTTTAACACCGTCTACTGGACTAAAAGATGTCCAAAGAATAGTTGTTCAACTATGTAAATTCCTTTTTTTTTTTTTTTTGAGACAGAGTCTCGCTCTGTTGCCCAGGCTGCAGTGCAATGGTATGATCTTGGCTCACTGCAAGCAACCTCTGATTTTAGTATTATTAGTAGAGACAGGGTTTCACCATGTTGACCAGGCTGGTCTCAAACTCCTGACCTCAGGTGATCCACCTGCCTCGGCATCCCAGAGTGCTGGGATTACAGGCGTGAGCCACCGTGCCCGGCCAACTACATAAATTCCTAACAACGTATCTCCAGAAAGTATAGGCACAACAGCACATGCAGTCATTCCTGTAATTAAGTGCTCCGGGAGGCCAAGGCAAGAAGATCCCTTGAGCCCAGGAGTTTGAGACCAGCCTGGACAACATAGCAAGACTGTGTCTCTACAAAATATACAAAAATTGGGCTGGGGATGGTGGCTCACGTCTGTAGGCCCAGCACTTTGGGAGACCAAGGCAGGAAGATCGATTGAACTCAGGAGCTCGGGACCAGCCTGGACAACATAACGAGACCCAGTCTCTACTAAAACTCAAGAAAATTAGCCAGACGTGGTTGCATGTGCCTGTAGTCCCAGCACTTTGGGAGGCCAAGGTGGGTGGATCACCTGAGGTCAGGAGGTCGAGACCAGCCTGGCCAACATGGTGAAGTCTCATCCCTACTAAAAATACAAAAATTAGCCAGGCACAGTGGCACACACCTGTAGTCCCAGCTACTTGGGAGGCTGAGGCAGGAGAATGGATTGAACCCGGGAGGCAGAGGTTGCAGTGAGCCGAGATGGCACCATTGCACTCCAGCCTGGGCAACAGAACAAGACTCCATCAAAAAAAAAAAAAAAAAAAGAAAGAAGAGAAGAAAATTAGCCAGGTGTGGTTGCATGCACCTGTAGTCCCAGCACTTTGGGAGGCCAAGGCAGGAGGATCAATCAAGGCTAGGAGATTGAGACTGCAGAAGGAAACCCTGTCTCTAAAAACAAGGTCCAGCTAAAATCAGGGTCCAGCTCCACCACAAGCGCAGCTCCAGGGGCTGTTGAGTTTTGCCTCTACCATTCCAAGTAGTCTCTGCTCCAGACCAAGTCCCACCATCTGGCAGTCATGTCAGTCCAACCACAGTCATATCAGGGCGCTTCCAGTCATTGAGTGCTCCTTGAGGAGGCTGGAGGAGAGGCCAATGACATTTGCACTTGAGACTCCAGAGTCTAGATTTATAACCACTATGTTACGGCTGCCAGTGTGGCTGCAAGGACACTTCTTTCATTCATTCATTTACAATAGATGTAGCATCTGCTGTGTGCCAGATGCCATTCTAGGTTCTAGGGAAACAAGGCAGAGCCCCTGTTTTCCAAGGCATCCACATTCTAGGAAAGACTGCTACCAGCCTGGCGTGGTGGCTCATGCCTGTAATCCCAGTACTTTGGGAGGCCGAGGTGGGCGGATCACTTGATGTCAGGAGTTCAAGACCAGCCAACATAGTGAAACCCCGTTTCTACTAAAAGTACAAAAATCAGCTGGGCATGGTGGCACGTGCCTGTAGTCCCAGCTACTCAGGAAGCTAAGGCAGGAGAATCGCTTGAACCTGGGAGGCAGAGGTTCTGGTGAGCCGAGATCATGCTACTGCACTCCAGCCTGGGCAACAGAGTGAGACTCCATCAAAAAATAATAATGATAATAAAATAAAGACTGCTACTAAACAATAAAATAACCAAACCAGATAGATGACTTCAGGTGGTGGTAAGAGCTTTGAAAGAATAAGCAAGGTAACTAACTGGTCAGAGGAAGGGAGATGGGTGCATTCCCTCAGATAGACCGCCCCAGAGGTCTGCCTCTCTGACATGACATTTGAGCAGAGACCCAACAGGAAAAGGAAGAGGCTGCTCTATGGCCGGGTACGGTGGCTCACACCTGTAATCCCAGCACTTTGGGAGGCCCAGGCGGGCGGATCACGAGGTCAGGAGATCGAGACCATCCTGGCTAAGACGGTGAAACCGTCTCTACTAAAAATACAAAAAAATTAGCCGGGCGTGGTGGCGGATGCCTGTAGTCCCAGCTACTCGGAAGGCTGAGGCAGGAGAATGGCATGAACCTGGGAGACGGAGCTTGCAGTGAGCCGAGATCGCGCCACTGCACTTCAGCCTGGGCGACAGAGTGAGACTCCATCTCAAAGAACAAAAAAAAAAAGAACCAAGAGGTGTCCAGGCGAAGAGAACAGCAGATGCAAAGGCCCTGTGGCAGAAACAATCTTGGTATGCTGGAGGAATAGGAAGGCAGCCAGTGCAGCTGGAGCAGGATAGGTTAAGGGAGGATCAAGGTGATGAGGGCCTGGAAAGAGGGGCTGGGGTCGAATCACCAGATCCTGTTGGTTGCAATGGAAGAGCCTGGAGTTTATTCTCAGAGCAGTGAGAAGCCACTGGAAAGTTGTTTTTTTGTTTTTCTGTTTTTGAGACAGAGTCTAGCTCTGTCACCCAGGCAGACTGCAGTGGTGCAATCTTGGCTCACTGTAACCTCTGCCTCCCAGGTTCAAGCGATTCTCCTGCCTCAGGCTCCCCAGTAGCTGGGATTACAGGCACATGCCACCACACCCATCTAATTTTTCTTTTTCTTTTTTTTTTTTTTTTTGAGACAGAGTCTCTGTCACCCAGGCTGGAGTGCAGTGGCGCAATCTCAGCTCACTGCAACCTCCACCTCCCTGGTTCAAGCGATTCTCCTGCCTCAGCCTCCCGAGTAGCTGGGACTACAGGTGCATGCCACCATACCTGGGTTAATTTTTTGTGTTTTTAGTAGAGACAAGATTTCACCACGTTAGCCAGGATGGTCTCGATTTCCTGACCTCGTGATCTGCCCACCACGGCCTCCCAAAGTGCTGGGATTACAGGCGTGAGCCACCGTGCCTGGCCAGCCACCGGAAAGTTTTATGTAAGCAGGGGAGTGATCTGTTTTATCATTTAGAAGGATACACACCTCTTCTTCTTTTTTTAGAGACAGGGTCTAGTTCTGTCACCCAGGCTGGAGCCCAGTGGCACAATCATAGCTTACTGTAACCTCAAACTCCTGGGCTCAAGTGATCCTCCTGCCTCAGCATCCCAAAGTGCTGGATTACAGGCATGAGTCACCATGCCTGGTCACACTTCTCATTCTTTAAACCAGACCTCATTTGTCCATCTCCCCCATCCCCCGCCCCACCCCACGGACTGTCCTATAATGCCCATACAACAGGTCACTGTTTAGAAAGTGCTACAAAGTTACAAACACAGTCCCTTCTGAGCCTCCCACCAATGTTGGTGGGTACAAGGTCAAAAAAAAAAATCTCATCTATCTAAGGGGCATAGGAGACTTTTTAGTTAGAGGGCCCAATTATAGTCCTCCTGAAAAGATGCCAAAAGTCCCCTTCAACACTTAGCAAAGATTCAAGAAAGATGAATCTCACATTCTTTGTATGGGAAATGAGGAACTTGACATCTTCAATATAATGGATTCCACTAAAATAAGATGACGATCAATAGGAACCAACTAAAAAAATACTTGACTAGCTGTTATTGAAAGGCTGAAATTCAGCTGACATAAGCAGTATTAATATTGAGCTAGAAAATAATTCGCATTGAATTCAGCCCAACTTTTGTTTTCTGATTTGGGTCTCTTCTAAATTTTTTTTTTCTTCTGGACATTGAGAACAATCCAATTTGAAGGCCTCAATGCCCAAATCTACACTCTTGTTTTATTCTATATCCTTGGTTTCTTCTTTTTTTTTGAGATGGAGTCTCATTCTGTCGCCCAGGCTGGAGTGCAGTGGCGTGATCTTGGCTCAATGCAAGATCCGCCTCCCGGGTTCATGCCATTCTCCTGCTGCAGCCTCCCGAGTAATTGGGACTACAGATGCCCGCCCCCACGCCCGGCTAATTTTTTTGTATTTTTAGTAGAGACGGGGTTTCTCCGTGTTATCCAGGATGGTCTCGATCTCCTGACCTCGTGATCCACCTGCCTCAGCATCTCAAAGTGCTGGGATTACAGGCGTTAGCCACCGTGCCCGGCCCACACCTAGGTGATTTTTAAAGTTCTTCTAGTAGAGACAGGGTCTCACTATGTCGGGTCGCCGTGTTTGATGTCAGTTTTCCCTGCCAGAATCTACAATCTCCTTGATCACCATTATATCCCAACGAAGAGCTCAGTACCTGGTACAAAGCACATTTGATCAATACTTGCTGAATAAAGAAATAAAAATGAAGAGGCACTCCAGCCTGGGCAACAGAGTGAGATGGTCTCAAAAAAACAAAAACAAAAACAAAAAACGACTGGAAAGGAGATGAGGGTACTTGTGAAGCCATATTATATGACACGCTCTGTGCTAGGACTTTTATATACCTTGTCTCATCTCTTCATCTCATATAATCCTTACAAGTACCTCAAAAGTGGGGAAATCCCCATATAACTGAAGACGAAGGCAGTTCAGAAGTTCATTGATTTGCCCTAAGGTTCCTCAATTTGCAAACGTCAGGCCAATGATCCAACCCCAGGTATGTTTGGCAGTGAAGGACCAGTTGAGTCATAGCTGCAAGTAACCACCCTGCAGTGGTCCCTATCTTGGCCGTTAGCTTACATTGACATTTAACACTCAAATTTACTCAGTAACACCAGCTATCATGTTTTCCACTAAAACTCCACAGCATTCTGGCAACTTTTCTATTTTAGAGCAATAAAGTAAATTGTTAGCATCCCTTTGACATATAAATATTTCTACAAATAGTAATTCTCTAGCCATTCATTTGGAGTATTTAAAACTCAACATTCATAGCACATTTTATGTGACAAAGAACTTATGTTCAGAACACAAAAATAAGTCGTACGTCTTCATTAAAAACAGGTGAAGAATTTGAACAAACATTTGCAAACTAAAATACAAATGAAATACACTCAACATCATTAAACAAGAAAATAAAATTATGAGATAATCACTAATAATCACTACATATGCACCACAGTGATTAAAATTTTTTTAAGTTAAGCCACGTGACCCAACAAGGTGCATTCACTCAAGAGAAACGCAAATATATGTCCACTCAAAGACTTGCACATGAATGTTGAGAGCAGGTTTATACTGAATAGCGCAATGTGAAAAAACCCCAAAATCTAGCAAAGGATGAAGGGAGAAATAAACTGTGGTATATACATACAATAGAACACTACTCAATAATAAAAAGGATTATATTCCTGATACATGCAATATGGGTGAACCGTAAAAATATCATGCTGAGCAAGAGAAGCCAAACACAAGAGAACATGTTGTTATGATTTCACGTACATGAAACTTTAGTAAAGACAAGTCTAATCCATAGTGACAGAAAGCAAATCAGTAACTGCTGACAGGGGCAAATGAGGAGATGATCCCAAGGGAACCTTCTGGGGTAAGACGCTGTTCTCTATCTCGATCGTATTGGTGGTCACACAAGTGAAGACATGTTAGAACTCATCAAACCATACACTTAGAATGTGTAATATAAACCTCAATAAAGCAAAATTTAAAAAAAAAAACCACCTTTAATTTTCTCTTACAAAAAAAAAAAAGGAAAACCACTTAACTTTAATTTTCTCCAACAACTGATTCTGGTACACAGTATACCTTAATGCCTGCATCCACGGCCTCACGTCATGCTGTTTACATGAACGTAAAGCTTCGCCGAAGAGTGGAATAAGACAGTCCTGCCAGAGAAAAACCAAAATTACTCAACGTAAAACAGGCTGTTGATATGTTTGCAGATATATAGCAAGTCTTAAGTCCAAGACTGCAATATAGTTTGGCTACTTCAGATTGATTGCAGTAGTTTTATCTATTACACTATACCCTTACATCATTTATCTTCTACTCACAAGAGGCAAGCACACAGTAAGAGAAAGCCTTTTGTTTTGAAGGGAAATCTTCTTCAGAATATTAAGTCTAATTTATCAATATACTTAATAAAGCACATTACAAAAAAAAAAGTCACAGCACATTTACTATAAAGCAGACTGCAGAAAAACATTACAACTAATGCTTTATTATGAAGTTCTCGAAGATCACCATTCATTCAGAAGCCCCCATCTCTGGTCGAACTTTACCCCATTTAGGATGAAGAGGAGAGATCTTTGTTTGCAGCAAATCTAAAATTTACGTGATCTGCCTAAAGGAACTGTCTTTACATACACCACCTCCCACCCCAAAAATAGAAGAAAAAACTGAGCAATTTGCCATCCTTGCGATTATCTCAGGTTCTTCCATCTGCCCCATGTACTTCCCAAATGAAAGACTGCCTGAAAACAGCATGTTAGATTTCTGGATTTACCAGCTTGCCCAACTACAAATCCTATTCCAAAAAACTCAAAAAATAAGGTCTTTGTTCTACAGTAATGACCATTAATAGTCATAAGAGTGTGCTTGTAAAAATATACAGACCTCTGTTGAAAGTCTGTTAGAAACTGTGGTCTCCAAAGCAGACGAGCAATACAGCTGCAAGGTACTTAGAACTGGCAAAGACTGTGAAACTGTTAAAGTAGAAAGTCTCAGAGGTCCAATAGCGATGCGGGATGTTTGCTTCAAGTACTTTACCACATTTCTGAAACAAAATATTTACTGTCAATTAATAAAAATTACAATTCATAACCACTCAAAGAATAAAGCAATTGATAAGATGCTATCAAATTGACATCCAAAGTTAGGGGGCAGTAAGAGGAGCAGCCTGCTCTATAATAAAATGGTATCAGCAAGTCAAGACATTTGCTTTTGGGGATTTTTACATTTTATTTCATTTCAACCTCAGTTTTTGTTGGCAAGCAGCATTCATATATCATATGACTTCTACAACTAAAATGAAGCTATTAGCACTAGTATTTAGTAATCTAGTAACTCTCCTTCCAGCCCTCTTCACCCCATGTATGATTATCACATGATATACACAATGTACATTTACCTCCGTAAGAGTAAACTTACTCAGTTATAGACTGCCACTTCTGATCTTGTTCTATCGGGTTTAAAGCAGTTGCCAAACAAACAGAACTTCTTAACAATGGAACTTCAATGGATTTCTGAGGTTCCCTTGGATCTGGACTTCACATGTTACGAAGCAGTTTTTTCATGTCTACAGAAGTTAAATGAAATGTCATTAAGTTAATGTGCTTTTATTATAAATTTTGATTTATGTTTGGCATTATTAAAAACTAATCACCAATGAACAGCTCCTTTAATATTTCAGGCAGTTAAACACTATAAGCATTACTGAGAGCTATATAAAAATCATACTTCATACAAAATTACTGTACCTCAGACCCCTAAAAAGCAGTTGCCTTCAAAGGCTCAAAAATCAGTAAGTCGAGGTCAGGCGTGGTGGCTCACGCCTGTAATCCCGGCACTTTGGGAGGCCAAGGTGGGTGGATCACGAAGTCAGGAGTTCAAGACCAGCCTGGCCACGATGATGAAACCCCGTCTCTACTAAAAATACAAAAAATTAGCTGGGCACGGTGGCAGACACCTGTAATCCCAGCTACTCAGGAGGCTGAGGCAGGAGAATCGCTTGAACTCAGAGGGCGGCGGAGGTTGCAGTGAGCCGAAATCGCGCCACTGCACTCCAGCCTGGGCAACAGAGTGAGACTCTGTCTCAACAAAAAAGAAAATCGGTAAGTCAATCTACTATTTAAGGGGACAAATCTAGACCTGCATTAGCAAATCTTGCTCAATCCAGAATACTCATTAAACTTTTTAATAACATCTTATCAAGTGTTCCATTTGTGATAAAGAACTTAATGAGCCACATCAAGATGAAAATCAAGAAAAATATTTAGCTGAAACACTACTTTGTCCTTTATCAAACAAAATGGCTAGATAAATCTCAAAGTATTAAGGTGGTCATTTTTTTTATTTGACTTAATTTTAAGTGCTTTTCATTTCCCAAATCAAACATAAATAGGGCAGCCCTAAATTTGTTGCTTCACATGGGATTCTGCCCCCACAAAAATGTAAAATAACTTCCAGATTTTCCAGTAAAATATACTAAGCCAAACATTTTGAGCAACTTGTCCACTAAAATAACTTTAAAACTATTTTCTCAAGTACCTACCTATTTTTTCTTTTGATCCTCCAGCAAGTAGATTGATATTTTCTCCTGGTAACAATTCTAATTGCTCGGTACATTCGACAAATTTTCCAGACTCAAAGCTGCTTAATGATCTGTAATTAAAATATTGGTTAGCTTGTATTCCTATGCAGCCTGTGGAACCATTAAAAAAAACAAACAAACAAAAACAGAACAAATCCTAGGAAGACAGCAAAGTACACAGCACTTTTCTGACAAAATTCCTTCCACGAGGATGCCATTATTTTGGTTTTTATGTTGAAGATGTGACTACCACTTAATTAGTACTCAAATTGGAGTGGCAAACCAGAAAGTCACAGCTACAGACTTTCAGTGGAGCTGACTCGCCCCTGTGTCTCCTTCCTGTTTTCATGTGTTGCAGCCTGTTCTCTTCAGAGCCTGACACACTGACAGTAGACCTCTGCAGGACAACTTTGACACCCAGTTCTCTCCAAGCTGCCAGTGAGCTCCCTGTGCAGCCTCACTCCTCACCTACAGCATGAGCCCTTGCACAGCTCTCCCAGCATCACAATCTTGTATCTCAGTCCTGGCTTCTTTCACTGCTGGCATCCCTCCGTCTCTCCCTTTTTCACCTACTTTTCTTTTTTCAAAGAATTCTTCTCTTTCATCTGCTTATATGAAAAATAATGACACCTCTGAAATTCTTTCCTGTAGTTCTGCAGCATCAATGCCAGGAAGACAGGCCTCATCCTCCCAGCTTCTATGCTGCTCCTTTCAGATCCCTTACCCTGTCCCCATTTTCATGACACGGGCTCTCCAGCCAGGAAGAAGACACTGTTTCTCACTCTCTCTCTTTTCCATCTTTGCCTGTCCCTCTCGCTGTGTAACTTCCCTTATAACTCAGCCTGAGGCCAGTGCTAGAAAGGCACATCACCTGACTTATTCTGTGCCTGATTCTACCTAGATCAGTGCAACCACTGGCTTCTCAGGGGGACCCTTGGGTACTGGGCACTGATGAACTGCTGCCAACACAGTCATCATTTCTGCCATTAAAAGGTCCTAAGTCCTCTCCAGTGGCAGGTTCCCCAAGTCCCCACTATGCTCTATAATGCCCTATGCTTTCAGCTAATGACTCAGTCCTCAGAAAAAACAAACAAATAAACAAAAAAACACAGGCTTTAATTTCCTCTACCCCTACCCCCAATCCACCATACACTGCCGAAATTCTGTCTATACCAACTTTGACTGCTTTCCTTGAGGCAGAGAAAAGGTGAGGGCCAGTTAATCTATCAATGTTCTTTCTCCTGTTTCTTCAACCTCTGCTTTCTAGTGGCTCCTTCCCCTTGGCCAAAAGAACATAATCTCTCCAACATTTAAAATAAACATCTCATATTTCCCTCCAGCAACAGCTTCCTATCCTCGACTTCAAGAAAAACTCACTGACCAAATAACTTACCTCAAGCTTTTCATTTTCAAATGTCTCTACCACTCAATACTATTCAATCTAGCTTCTTCTGTCTCTCTACAAAACTCTTTTTCCTTATAATCCCTAGAGCATCTGACAAGGCTGACTACTCCCATCTGGATGTCCTATATCTAGGGCACTTCCCTTCTCAATGTCCCTGTATTTTTTTGAATGGCTTCCTCTTCTATCCTTTCACAAAAATGCTAAACTAGGATTCTGACCCAGGCCTTCCTTCCTCTTCACTCACTATTCTCCAGAGGCTTCTCTCTGGTTTGGTTGCTTACAAAGGCTCTAGAGTATAGAGACTGAAAAGGAAAGAGGGCCTTTTCTGTGTACTAATCATCTGCAAATCTCTCAAGCTTAGACTGTCTCCTTAGTTCAAAATCCAATTCTTAACAGCTTACCCAACAATCTCATCTGCACATTTCATTAGAAATCTTAAAACATGGCTTGTTCTCTGTGTGCTCCTACTCCAGTTAATAGCATTGTTTCTCTTCCCTCTACCATTGCCCCCATAAATTAATGGTCTCCATGCTTCCATACTTGCCCCGCACCTCCAGTCTCTTCACCACAGCAGAATGAACCAAGTCAGATCACAACACAACTCTGTTCAAATCCCACCTGAAATTTTCAGTCTTACTAGAATAACAGCCAAAGTTCTTTTCTCAGTTCCCAGCTACTTCTCTGCCCTTATATCCTACTGTTTAAGGCGCTCCTAAACACACAGGCCTCCCAGCTATTTCCAGAACACTCCAAGCCCATCATTCTCACATCAGGTCTAGGCCCAAAGGGCATCCTGATGGGCATGTCTTGACCTTGTGTCTTCCCTCCAAAGAAGGTCAGCTTTACCTAACTGCTTTCCTTATGGCACAGAAAAGGTGAGTGAGGTCCAATTAGTCCTTCTATCAATAATCTTTATCTAATCTTTGCTTTAAAAGGTTGGAATTTGTGTCTGTTTTATGTGCTGCCTGGGTCACAGCACATGCTCAGTGAAGCAATTACACATTAACCCATTTAGCAGTAGAAGGCAAGGGTATCAGACAAAGTCTAATGACCTTTATCTTCCCAGCCAAGTGTCTGCAACAGAGTGAGTGCTCAGTTTTGAATTACAGAATTAATAAAAGCACAGAGGAATGAGAAGAAAGTTTAATTTACAGATGTTCACAAACTCTGTCCTCATTAGAATAAATGTTTTTGATATATTCAGACCTCATTTCGAAACAAAGCCATCAAATGTGATTCTTTCTAAAGCAGTACAAATTTTTCTTTATATTCACTCTGGCATAATCTTCAAACTGTATTAAGGTTTTAGAACGACAGGTTCTGAAAATTAATACCAAATGACTATCTCAGCAGTGTTTTCCCATTATACAAATACCTTCCCTCATCTCTGATGTCAGTTTCCTGTTGTCATTTTCATAATGGCAGTAAGTTAGAAATATAACCATTTTGAGTATTACTGCATATGACCAATTTTAATATTTTTTTTGCCATAGGAAAAACATCATAGTTATTGGAAATTTGTTTTATAACTGGAAACAGAAAGCCTTACTTTATATAGTTGAAGTCAGCTTTCAGGTTGAGGGAAGTGCTACTGGTACTCTTTTTCAAGTCATGGATAGCGTTCTGCCATTCCTGCACAGCAGCCCAATCGGCAGTTGAGATGTAGCACTCACATGCTTTGTTTCCTAAATAATTTATAACCTCAGGGGAAGAGTCAGTCGGTTTGGACAGCACACTTTTTCTGGATTCACCTGAAAGTATTTTATAAAATAAGAAGAGAGAGATTCAGATCAATTAGAAATATTTCAAAGAGCACAGAAACCTAAAAACATGATAAGATCATCAGTACGAAATATATTACTATAACTTTTGCTTTATTTAAAAATGCTGAACGCTCACCATTCAGACAATGTTTCAGGCTGGCACTCTTACACCCAGCACTGGCTAAGGTGAGCACCGATTTGTCAAAGCTGGAGATGCAGCAATCAACACCTGTCATGGCACACAGGTGTTCCTGGTACTCCACAGAGGCCTTTTCAAACCTGAAAAGCAAATTGAAGCAGTCTTATTTCTTTATTTATCTAACTACTTACTTTTTTTTTTGAGATGAAGTTTTGCTCTTCTTGCCCAGGCTGGAGTGCAATGGCACTGTCTCAGCTCAGTGCAACCTCTGCCTCCCGTGTACAAGCGATTCTCCTGCCTCAGCCTCCTGAGTAGCTGGGATTACAGGCACTCGCCACCATGCCCGGCTAATTTTCTTGTATTTTTAGTAGAGACGGGGTTTCACCATGTTGGCCAGGCTGGTCTTGAACTCCTGACCTCAGGTGATCCGCCTGCCTCGGCCTCCCAAAGTGCTGGGAATACAGATGTAAGCCACCGAACCCAGCCTACCTAACATGGCAAATTTTGTTTTTTTAAATATTGAGTGGGAAAAACAGATCATAAAACCATGTGCCTATGTACGCTGATGTTTTGGTGAAGAATGGAGAAAACGACATGAAAGAAAAAAGAATTACAAAGCGTATGGATATGGAAATATGGGACTACAAAAGGACACACAACAGAAGTTACTACAAAGATATGGAAGTATGAGCAGTTCTTTTATTTTCCTAAGTTCGCAAGATTTCATTAAACTAACATAAATGGACACAGAATATTATGGTACAAGCTCCTCTACCCGGAGGAAGCAATGAGTCTGAATGTAGAGTTCACAGGACTAACGAGCAAATACTCTGACAATAAAGGGTAATTTGTATCAGACTCTGAGGGGGAAGGAGCTCAACTAGGGATCAAGTTCAAAAGCATTTATAAAACAACTGACAGGTCTTGTTTTACAGTGTGATTTGCCACTAATTCTTAAATAAGAAAGGCACTCCAGTATTGCTGCTAACTGAAGAACAAACTGAAGATGCCTCCTGGTGAAGGGATTTATAGCAAGCTTCAATGCTGAAAGCAAACAAAGCTGTTTTAAGATTTGGCTACAATGTCAGTGAGTAATACAAAGAACTTAAACATAAAGTAATTCTATCACCCATTTCCTTCCCTCCAACCTACCTCCCTTCAGCCTGTTGAGCCACTGAGTTAATCCACAGAAGATGTTTTCCAACAATAGATGATGACCAGACAGCAATTCCCTGTATAGCTTCAGGACAATGAAGTTCACATAGTGCTTCTACCACCATCATAATGCTTACTTCCAATTCATTCCCCTGAAAACGCATTCAGAAAAGTTAGTCACCCAATACCATTAAAACATAAATCCCTATAAAATTTACAACTGATCACAGTCTGTGCCTGCTTAAAGCCAAATGTATTTAACAATTATTGTCACAATTTTCACATTATTTAGCTCAGAATTCTTTAAAATGTTACATATAAAATAGCCACAAAGGGTGACTAACAGAACCTTAGCAGCACATGGATGTTTATACCCCCACCCCAAAGTTACCCAAAAACATTTAACCTGTGACCTCTGTAGGAATAACACATGGAGTAAAAAGAAAGCAAAAATGAAATATAAATAAACAGGAATTAAGGAATGATTAACTTCATGTGTTTGAATACTGCTTGACATTACCTGAATTGCTAAACATTTTGTTATTTTTGGATTCCAGTTATTTATTGTGAGCCCACTTTCAATCCAGGAATTACTCAAGCATTTGTCATACGTTATAAAAACAATTTCTCCTGGCCAGGTGCAGTGGCTCATGCCTGTAATCCCAGCACTTTGGAAGGCCGAGGTGGGCGGATCACTTGTGGTCAGGAGTTCGAGACCAGCCTGGCCAACATGGTGAAACCCTGTCTCTACTAAAAATACAAAACTTAGCCGGGTATGGTGGTGGGTGCCTGTAATCCCAGGGACTGAGGCAAGAAGAGGCTTGAACCCGAGAGGCGGAGCTTACAGTGAGCCGAGATCGCACAACTGCACTCCAGCCTGGGCGACAGAGTGAAACTGTGTCTCAAAAAAATAAATAAATAAATAAAAATTTTCCCCCATAAACAAATTTTCAGAATTACCTTTAAAGTTCTAAACTTTGCACGGAAGAAATAGAGTTTTAACGTGTTCTAACATGAATATTGTTTTAACATGAACAAAAACATGAACATTATTTTGACTTCTAACACTGTTTTAACACGAATAAAATAGGTAACTCTGGCAGTTGTTGCTTTTACAAAATACAGGATCAAAACCTTTGAAAATGAATCCAAGCTTTAACTTATTTTATCCATAGATTAAATCATACCAAAGGAATTAAACCATGTTTTTCTTATTAACAGACTTAAAATGAATTTCAAACACACCACTTTACCTGAGATAGGCTGGTTGTTTTCATCTCTGTAAGCAAGTCAAAGCCATGTCTCACTGTCACTGCAGGCTGGCCTGCCAACAATCCTACCCTCATGATGGAGAGTCGAATCCGCGTTAGCCAGTCCTGACAAGTTTGGCGATTGGTATACAAAAAAGTTCTAATGACCTTTACGATAAGAGAAAGAAAAGCTCAGGACTGGTTCAATTTGTAGGTAAGGATGTCTCACCTATATATAAACCAAATACACAAGTCTATTGTGATTTCAGCTCTGCACATACTGCCAGCTGTGACCATTAAACTGCTATAAAACAACACTATCTCCCGGAAACCAACCTTGGGAGGTGAAGTTAAGGCATTAGCACATCCCTCGTATGCATTATACATTAATTTCTCCAGATTTTCCAGATACTGCAGAAGAAGAACAAGTCTAAGTTGGTTGTTACCATGGCCTTCATCACTGTCTGCAGTTGTCCACTGACTAACATCCTGATCAGGGTTTAATGTGTGACCTGCGAGACTTCGAATGATACCTGAAAGCAAAGACAACATTCTGAATTTTTAAAAATCTTAAAAGTTCCTAGAATAAGTGTGAGTTTTTTATGACCAATTCACATTTATCAAGTATCCTCTGTCTACCCATCATTTAAAAATAAAAAATCCCAACATGAAAGATCTTTCATTTTAGGGGAAAAAAATATATATTTTTTCCACACAACTCCCATAAGTTTTGGAAAAAAAACAAACATATTTCCAATGCAATTATTCAATGAAAGCTTATTCTAACAAACAAACCTGAAAATTATTGACTTTTTTCAAAAAAAATCATATACCCTCAAATCTTTAACAAAGATTTAAAAATCCATTATTTCTCAATAAGGCTTTGAAAGTATTCACATCATAAAGCTTGAGCGAGTTACCTTCAATTGTCTGGAAGGTGTCTTGAGCTCTGCCCAGTGGGGTTCTCAGCTTAGAAAGAACAGTGAATTGTGCAGCTTCCCATATGGCCCACTGCCAAAGGATAGCATCTGTCTTCAGGAGATTGCGTGGAATTGTTGACTGGTCACGCTTATCCAGTCTCTGGCAGCTATAGAACAGTCTTTCCAACCAATTGTCCTTCCTGGGAAAAGTAGTTTCATATTTAAAAGACAATGACAACTTCATTTTAATAATGAAAAAAAAATGCAAGGGGAATGGGAATAAGGAACTGTAATTTTCCCTACTCCAAAAAAAGGCAAAACCTATGAAATTGAGAAGCATTATGTCCCCCCCTCTCATTTTGAGGTCTTGTATAGTTAACAGGATGAGGTACAGTGTGGAAGGATGATTAGGGTAAACGGCTCATGCCAGTCAGGAATGAAACTCATTCAATGCAACTAAGCATCTCTAGAATATCTCCACCCCCACCCCACTCCCCAAAGTGTTAATGACATCACATCAGTTAACTGTTAACCACATTTCATTACTCAATTTCAAAGCCCATTTTTGTTTCTACAGATGCTATCTTCAAAGCAATTTTCCTATTGATGAAAACTGAAATAACCCATATGAGAAGAATGTTACTTGATACTCTGCCACCCCCAAACATATTTTCTCTTCAAAACTGCATGTAAAGTCAAGGGAATCTTAAAATTTTCTTTCCCAGATAAAATAGTCAAAGAAATGTCTTACCCTGTTCTATGAGAGTTCCCATACAAAATAAAACTAATAACATCAGAGAAATCTTGGGGGTGGAATGTATTACTTGGTGCTTTACTCATGTGACTTCTTAATGCTAAAGAAATTTCTTGAATTTCTGTGTGATTGTTATCGCTGTAGACAGAAAATAAAGTTGTTGTTATGCAAAATATTTTAGCTTAAAAGGTTAGCACATACTGTAAGTGGATTATTTACTTATTAACTCACTGGAGGTAAAAATATAGTAAAATTGAGACTTTCAAATGGATACAGAGATGTGATTACAACTTTAGATCCTTTTTTTATTCACCTCAGATGGGTCATGTGCCGACATCATAAGAGGATTTGAGGGAGGCATATCAAACATGTGAACATAAAAACCCAATCATTATGCTTATCTATTACAAAAGGATCAAGTTTAGGCTCTTAAAAGCTCCCAAATCAACTTGATCAAAAACAATAAAAGATTACTGTTTAGTTTTTCAAATATCTGAGCTACTAAGAAACATATTTTGGCACTACATGAGTTATTCTATACTAATTATTGTGAGCCTATAAAGCTCATTAAAAATTTTTAATTTTCTTGCAGACCTGCAAAATTTGGTTATTTGACATCACTTCAATCACTGACAAGCAGGGCCATAAAAGATGTGTCATTAATGCTCTAATAGGTGATCTGTCTTCTCCTAAAGTAGACAACCAGTAGAGGCTGTAAATATCACAGAACGTCTTTGCTTCAAAACAACTGTTATACCTTAGGAAAACACCTAAAGGAATTGATTTCAACAGTTTTCCAAATGCTTGTCGAATACAAGTTCCACGGTGCACTAGTTGGACACGGCAAACATCAACACATCTATGAAAGAACGAAATAGACAAAGCAGGTGTGTTAACAGTTCCAGGTTATTAGGGTTAATGTCAAAAGACATGATCTTAATTTCATACCTCTGTAAAAGATCATCTGGCAAGGAAGAGGATAGAGCATGTAGACTGCTGCATGCCTGCAGACAGATATTCACATCTTCAACGAGAGCTATTAAACATTAAAAGACAGTTACTTTCAGCTGGCCAAAAGAAATTATATCCCAGTTTGTCATAATTATCTGAATCCATTCATTCATTCAACAAAGAGTGAGTGCCTACTATAGACTAGGCACTGTTCTTGTCCAGAATCCTCATTGACTGTCACATTTGGAAAAATGACACATTCAACAAAACCCACGTAATGTAACTGATGGGTCATCACACAAAACTTTTTCTGAGAGAAAATGTAAAAGTATATGTAAACTATAAACATTCACGTTAGCTTAAAAATGTGACAATCACTTCAAAACATTTTTCTAATACTAAGAATGAAAAAAAATCAAGACTGTGTATCTGTCATTAAAATGAGGATTACACATCTTCAGGTCAGGAAAAGAGCTCGATTCATGACCATCTCCCATTACCAAAGACCCTTTTAAGGACTGATAAACAAAATAGAAAAAAAAAACCAGAGTCTTACTGTCGGCTAAAAGGCCTTTGCAAAATTTATGGAAAGACGGAAGACAGAATAAAGGTGCATATGTTTCGGACTTCTTCATTACAACAGCTACTTCCAAAGCCCAAGTCATTAACAGTTTCCTGAAACACAAAATATACAGTTGACTGTACATTAAAAAAAAAAAACAACAAAAACAAAAAAAAGTTAAAAGCCTAGTCTTCTTACATTGGTTTTCTCTTGGTTTTTCAAACATCTCAAACAATAAAAAATAAAAATAAAAAATGAAACTATAGAAATTACTGTCAAAATTGTTGTGTGCCTTTTAAGAAAACCTCCCAACGCAGCATGATAATAGCAAAGAGGCCGGGCGTGGTGGCTTACCTGAGGTCAGGAGTTCAAGACCAGCCTGGCCAACAACATGGTGAAACACCATCTCTACTAAAAATACAAAAATTATTGAGGAACTGCCAAACTGTTTTCCACATCAGCTGCACCATTTCACATTCCTATTGCTAACTTATAAAGATTTCAATTTCCCCATATCCTCAACAACACTTGTTATTTTCCATTTTTTAATAATAGTCATCATAGTAAGTGTGAAGTGATAGCTTGGAGTTTTAATTTGTATGTCTCCATTGACTAATGATGTTGACATCTTTTCAAGTGCTTATTGGCCATTTGTTTATCTTCTTTGGAGAAATGTTTATTCAAGCCTTTTGTCCATTGTAAGATGGACAAAAATGGTTGTCTTTTTGTTGTTTGTTTACAACCATTTTGTTTTAAAATGTTTTGTCTTTTTGTTGTTGAATTGTAGAAGTTTTTTATATACTTTGGGTATTAAACCTTAACATATATACAAAAAAAAAAAAAAAAAAAATACAAAAATTAGCCAGGTGTGGTGGCGGGCACCTGTAATCGCAGCTACTTGGGAGGCTGAGGCAGGAGAATTGCTTGAACCTGGGAGGCAGAGGTTACAGTGAGCAAAACTCCGTCTTAAAAAAAAAAAAGCAAAGAATATTAAAAATCTATATATATTCTTCTATGAAACACTGGGCGTGGGGGATTGAGGTTTTTCATGTATTTCTTTTCAGAAAGAATAAGAAAGCCTAGATTAAATAATAAAACCAAATTATAAGGTGTTTGACAATAAAGAAGCTGCTCTACCTCACCTCTATAATCCACATTTTTTTAAATTTTTTGTAATCCACATTTCTTCTTCTCAAATTATAAAGGCAAATTAACAAAGTTAGGAATGGTTAATACTATATAATATCTGTTACCTCGTGTCCTGGTTATCTTTCTTAAGTAACATTCCCAGAAGATTTAATATAATTGAGAAATGTTTCTTTGTGGCCATAGTTACAGTGCCAATCACAGCTCCATCAAACAAAGAAGGAGAGGAAGAACTGAGGCTACTAAAGATAAAGTGATCATGCCTGAAAGACAAAGCATAGATTATCTTTTCATCTTTAATCAAAGAAAGCAAGCAAGTCCAAAGTTAAATCAACATACATCTTCAAAATCTATCCATTAAAAAAATAAAATGTTTTGTGGGGTTCTTTTCTTAAGAAAAATTTGTGAATACAGTACCTGGTACAATGAGGATACAATGTGTAGAGCACAGCATACTGAATGGCAGGGAAGTGAACAGCCAGGTCACTGTGCACAATCATCAGATTCTTACTCAGAAGTGCAAAGACAGTTGGAGATAGCGCCCACATCTGATCATGTACAAAACAAAGTAAGTTTATGGCTTCTCCAAAATAAGCACAAGCATACAGAGTTTATCCTTCAAAACAGGGGTATTTGGACATTTTTAAATTAAAATTACAGATTGGAAGGGATCTAGTACACTACACCTGGGACAAATACTTTTTTGTGAAGTCAGTAAAGCCTTTGCGTGCAATATAGCATCTCTATGCAATGCAGCAACTCCTCGTCTATCGCTACAGTAAGAAAACAGCCACAGGTCAGGTGTTGTGGCTCACACCTGTAATCCTAGCACTTTGGGAGGCTAAGGTGGGCAGATCACTTGAGCCCAGGAGTTTGAAACCAGCCTGGGCAACACAGCGGGACCCCATCTCTACTAAAATTACAAAAAGTAGCTGGGCATGGTGGCGCACACTTGTAATCCCAGCTACTCGGGAGGCTGAGGCAGGAGAATCGCTTGAACCTGGGAGGCAGAGGTTGCAGTGACCCGAGATCATACCAATGCACTCCAGCCTAGATGACAAAGTTAAGACTCTCTCTCTCAAAACAAAACACCAGCCACACACAAAACACAGGAATGAGAGTACCTGTGTTCCAAGAAAACTTTCTTGAGTCGGAGTCTCTCGCTCTGTCGCCCAGGCTGGAGTGCAATGGGGCGATCTCAGCTCACTGCAACCTCTACCTCCGGGGTTCAAGCAATTCTCCCTGCCTCAGTCTCCCAAGTAGCTGAGATTACAGGTGCCCATCACCACGCCCTGCTAACTTTTGTATTTTTTTAGTAGAGATAGGGTTTCACCATGTTGGCCAGGCTGGTCTTGAACTCCTGAGCTTGGGTGATCTGCCTGTCTCAGTCTCCCGAGGGATTACAGGCGTGAACCACTGCGCCCAGCCCAACAAGAACTTTCTTTACAAAAACAGGCACTAGTGTTGTGATGGTTGTACACTTCTGTGAATATAGTAAAAATCAGTGAATTATACACTTAAAATAACAGACAAAAAACAGGTGCTGGGCTGTATTTGGCCCACAGACCATAGTTTGCTGATCTCTGGTCTAAACAGAGCCCTTTGTATGTGCCTTTTGCGGAAGTAGACTGTATTTCCTCAATTTTCCATATACTGCAAATGGCAAGGTGCCCTGTTCAATAAGGAAACAGAGGCACACCCTGCCACCCTACACCTTTTCCATCCATCTTTTTCCTTTACACTGCCAAGACACTCCACTCCACCTGACTGCCCCATCCCCACCCACTTTCTCCTTATTTCTAGAGTACAGGACATAAACATCTTTGAATCTGTAAATAATGTGAATAATTTTCCTCAAAAATCAAGCTTTCATGTTTGAAGAAGAGTTTATTGTGACTTCAAACATAAACTGTAACTGGTAATAAGCGAAGCAGCTATGGAATTATACAAGGCAATCCAATCAAACAACACGGAGCACATTGAAGCGCAAACATCAAATTTTACCTTCTTCCTCCTAAAAACTTTATTCCCTAATTACATCCATTTCTTTCTTTGTTTCTTTCTTTTTTTTTTTTTTCTTTTGAGACAGAGTCTGGCTCTGTAGCCCAGGCTGGAGTGCGGTGGTGTGATCTCAGCTCACTGCAACCTCCACTTCCTGGGTTCAAGCAATTCTCCTACCTCACCCTCCAAAGTAGCTAGGATTACAGGTGTGCACCACCACCCCTGGCTAATTTTTCTATTTTTAGTAGAGGCGAGCTTTCACCATGTTGGCCAGGCTGGTCTCAAACTCCTGACCACAGGTGATCAGCCTGACTTGGCCTCCCAGAGTGCTGGGTTTACAGGTGTCAGCAACCGTGCCCAGCCTACACCTATTATTTTCTATTAAAAATGATGTTTTTCAACTCTGTGTGGTCCAATAGGAAGAAGAAATACACAAACCATAAACAATAAATACAAATCAAGAGCAGGGCCATGTCGAATTACTTAAAAAAAAAAAAACCACACGGGCTGGGCGCGGTGGCTCATGCCTGTAATTCCAGCACTTTGGGAGGCTGAGGCAGGTGGATCACCTGAGGTCAGGAGTTTGAGACCAGCCTGACCAACATGGTGAAACCAAGTCTCTACTAAAAATACAAAAATTAGCCCGTCGTAGTGGCAAGTGTCTGTAATCTTAGCTACTCGGGAGGCTGAGGCAGGAGAATTGCTGGAACCCGGGAGGCAGAGGTGGCAGTGAGCCGAGATTGCACCACTGCACTCCAGCCCAGTTGACAACAGCATGACTCTGTCTCCCCCCCAAAAAAAAAAAAAAAAAAAAAAGTCCCCCCACCACCACCAAAAGGAAGACTACAGGTTCAGTATCCCTTATTCAAAATGCTTGGGACCAGAAGTGTTTCAGACTTTGTATATGTTTGGATTTGAGAATACTTGCATATATATAAAATGAGATATGTGGGGGATGGGACCCAAGTCTAAAGACGAAATTCACTTATGTTTCATAGACACCTTCTATTCATAGCCTGAAGGTCATTTTATGCAATATTTTAAATAATTTTGGGCATACAACAGTTTGGACTCATCACATGAGGTCGGGTGTGGGATTTTCCACTTGGGGCATCATACTGGTGCTCAAAAAGTTTCAAATTTTGGAGCATTTTAGATTTAGGATTTTCAGATTAGGGATGCTCACCAGTAAGTGTTATGAAAATATTCCAAACTCCGGCTGGGCATGGTGGTGCCCACCTGTAATCCCAGCATTTTGGGAGGCCAAGGCAGGTGGATCACCTGAGGTCAGGAGTTCACAACCAGCCTGGCTAACATGGTGAAAACCCATCTCTACTAAATACAAAAAAATTAGCCAGGGGTGGTGGTGCATGCCTGTAATCCGAGCTACCTGGGAGGCTGAAACAGGAGAATCGCTTGTACCCGGGAGGCGGAGGTTGCAGCGAGCCAAGATCGCGCCATTGCACTCCAGCCTGGGCAACAAGAGTAAAAACACTATCTCCAAAAAAAAAAAAAAAGTATTCCAAAATCCAAAATCGAAAACACTTCCAGTCCCAAGTATTTCAGATAAGGAATATTCAACCTGTATGAATGTTCCTAGGGAAAAACAGACAGCCAAAATATAAGACCATGTATAAGAACTAACTTCAGTACACAGAAAGAAAAAAGTACCAGGGGAAGAAGAAAGAGACCGCATTTTAAAACAACTATACAAATTTGAGCTGTAAGAAACACTGACATTTTCTGTAAGCATGCTAGAGCAAATAGGAGAAATTCATAAGACATTTTCTAGAAAATAAAACTAATATAAAAAAACTTATCAAGATTTGTCAAGGAAAAAGAAGAAAAGTTAAATATAATGGCAAGAAAACATTCCTACCAATTTTATTTATCCAGGCATGTCTTAAATATGGCTGTTTGTTACATACAGTGATTCTGCAGACATGTTGACATAACAGTGAAATACATAAATATGTAATGTGGATAAAACAAAGTCATTACAATTAAAGACTCACCCCTATTAGTGAGTTTTTGGCATTTCCAATTGTAGTCAAATTTAACTACAAATTTTGTAGTCAATTGAGGTCAAATTTAACTACAAATTTTGCATTGTCTACATTGAACACATGATTCTTAAAAGCCTCATGTTTTATTTCAGAACAGGACTCAGGAAGCTGCAGACTGTGCAGGAGGTTGTTTAGGGCACAAGTCATTTCTCCCAATATTAACTTATAGGCAGTCTCCAAAACAGGAATATTCTTCAAGCTGAGCACTGCTTGATAAACAGCACGGGCTACAGCAACAACCTGAAAAACAAAAAATTCAAGGAAGTGATAAATGGAAAATAAATCTTCTAAAATTATATGGAAAATAAATCACTATCTGTATTAGTGCTGATGATACAAATAAATTTAAGATCGATCAATTCACTGTCTGTAGCATTTAATATTTTAATTTTTTAAAAACCAATCAGAAAACTGACACAGATCAGTATGCTATTTCAAATCTATTAAGTTTTATCACAAATAAAGAGTACTATAAATGAAAACTGTCAATAGGAAATTTCCAAAATGGCCGTTTTTGTTTTTTTTTTTTAATAATCAACATCAAAAGACATATGCAAACAGCAGTTTAAGACTGGGTTTCTTAAATCTACCAGGAAAGTCTGTGGTGGATTTGACTAGGGGGTGGTTGAAAAGCCAGTCATTTTTGTTTACCAAATATACAGTACTTCTTAATTTATAACTTTATAAATGTGTCAACTTGTTTTACCCTTATGAAAATTTAATAAATTTAATAACAGCAAAAGATGCATAGTCTGAAAAGAGTATCTGGCACACCATTCATGAAAGTATTCAGTATGATTATCAAGAAATATAAATTTAAAAGAACAAATACAATCACTATATTCTAAATCAAACATTTCACATTTCACTCAATTTCACTTATATAGCCTGGGGTAAGCAACATTAGGTCCAACTCTTCAGTGACTCAAGTTGTCAAAATTCATTATCAGTGTATTACTTACCTCTTTTTCTTTATGATAACGCAAGAATAGTAGTTTAGATGATGGTATAAACAGTTTTTCTACAAATGATGATGGCAGTTTCGTATTTATCTGTTCAACAATCTAAAAGAATAAAATTTTTAAAAAATGAGCTTCTCAAATTACAAAAAGACATGGAGAAACCTTAAAGGCACACTGGTAAGTGAAAGAAGCCAACTGAAAAGGCTACATACTATATGACTCCAACTACATGGCATTCTGGAAAAGGCAAAACGATGGAGACAGTAAAAAGATCAGGGGTTGCCATGGGCTTAAGATGGGGGGAGGGAGGAGTGGGGAGAGGGAACGAGGAAGGAGTGGGTAGAACATAAAAGATTTTTAGGGAAGTGAAACTATCCTGTATGATACTGGTAATAGGGGAAACATGTCATTACACATGTTAAAGTCCATAGAATACATAACACAAAGTAAACTATAAAATTAGTTAATAATAATATATCAATATTCACTCCTTTGTAATAAATGTACCACACTAACACAATATGTTAATGAGGGGGAAACTGTTGGGATGAAGAAGGTATATGGGAACTCACTGTTTTCTGCTCAATTTTCTGTATATCTAAAAAATGAAGTCTTTTAATTTAGAAAAATATATCTAAGCTATATTTTAAGGCCTTAATACTGTGACATTAAAGTGTTTAGACACCTAAATAGGACACACGTATTTTACAGTTATCATGGGCATTTTTTCACATTAGCAAAGAGAGGTGTAATTCTGGCAGAAATGCTCAGCAGAATGTCATCTAGAATTTGCTTTAAAATAATCCAGTTGGAGATGAAAGGATAGCAAAGAGGCCTAGATGAAACCAGATGGGCCATTTGTTTCTAATTATAGAAGCTGAGTGTTAAATATGTACAAATTTATTATACTATGCTCCCTATTTTTATGTGCTTCAGAACGTCCATAATAAAAGTGGGGGGAGGATATTTATGGTTAAGAAATTAAAGGAGGCCGGCCGGGCGCGGTGGCTCACGCCTGTAATCCCAGCACTTTGGGAGGCCAAGGCAGGCAGATCACGAGGTCAGGAGATCGAGACCATCCTGGCTAACATGGTGAAACCCCGTCTCTACTAAAAATACAATTGTGCCACTGCACTCCAGCCTGGGCAAAAGAGCGAGACTCCGTCTCAAAAAAAAAAAAAAAAAAAAAAAAAAAATTAAAGGAGGCCAGGCATGATTGCTCACACCTGTAATCCCAGCACTTTGGGAGGGCAAGGCAGGAGGATTACTTGAGACCAAGAATTTAAGGCCAGCCTAGACAATGTAGCGAGACCCCTTCTCTCCAAAAAATATAAAGGTTAGCCAGGCATGGTGGCATGCATCTGTAGTCCCAGATAGTCGGGAGGCTGAGTGGGAGGATCACTTGAGCCCAGGAGTTTGAGGCTGCAGTGAGCTCTGATTGTACCGCTGCACTCCAGCCAGGGGAATACAGCAAGATCCTGTGACCAAAAAAAAAAGAAAGAAAAGAAAAGAAAAAAAGAAAGAATCTGGTGCGTAGAGCAATGTTTCCTCAGAAAAAACGAGTAAAGCTACACTGAGACTAGCTATCAACCACTAAAAATAGAGGCCTGGCAGAGTGGCTCATGCCTATAATCCCAGTACTTTGGGAGGCCAAGGCAGGTGGATTGCTTGAGCCCAAGAATTCAAGACCAGCCTGGGCAACATGGCAAAACTCCATCTCTACAAAATAATATAAAAAATTAGCCAGGTGTGGTGGTGCACGCCTGTAGTCCTAGCTACCTGGGGGGCTGAGGTGGGAGGATCACCTGAACCCAAGAGGTCAAGGCTACAGTGAGCCAAAATCATGCCACTGCACTTCATCCTGTGCAACGGAGTGAGACCCTGTCTCAAAAAAAAAATTGCATTAAAAATAAAAGTAAATAGACACTAAAATGAAAGCACAGATTATAAGACTGATGAATGTACTCTAAAAAAATTATATAATAAAGCAAAGCCCTTATTTTTTTTCTTTTTTGGAGACAGGTCCTTTTTTGTCACCTTGGCTGAGTGCAGTGGCACAATCAGAGCTCACTTCAACCTCAAGTTCCTGGGCTTAATCGATCCTCCTCCATCAGCCTCCCGAGTAGCTAGGACTGCAGGTGCACACCACTACACCAAGCTAATTTTTGACTTTTTGTACAGATGGGGTCTCACTACATTGCCCAAGCTGTGCCAGAATTCCTGGATGCAAGCAACCCTTCTGCTTTGGCCTCCCAAAGCGCTGGGATTACAAGCATGAGCCACCATACCCAGACAAAGCCCTTAATTTCTTACATATCCATTTAAGGGCCTGAATAAACCAACACATTAAAAAGGAAAAGAATAATTCACATACCAGCGTGAGTAAATTCAAGACTGAGATGATATAATCGGTACCACAAGTCTGGCAATTCTCCAGTTGGTCTAATCCATATGTAATGACCATGTCACAATGTATAGTCATGCTAGGATCCAAGCTGCCGAGCAAAACACCAACACGCTCATTAGCAGCTGTCAACACAGCCTCAGAAAAAAACACCTGGTTTGCAGCCGTCACACATCTCATTACTCTGTACAGAACCTGTAAATGGGGAAAACCAGCAGCTTTTTAAAAAAATTCACGTGCTTCCACAAAGCAAGAAAATACTTTCTATTTAATGCAATTTCAACTGAAAATTAACTGCTTGCCTTGCCAGCAGTCTCTTAATATTCTAGTTCTCAGTAGCTGAATAATAATGATGCCTTTACTACAATATGTAAACATGATCTTGGCTAAAAAATCCTAAAGTGCTACTATGACAGGAAATGGAAGCTGCCATCCTCTATTTCCCACATACCCAACTTCGTTTCTCCCAATGTCACTAAATGGCTGAAGCTCAGAATCTTTATCATGAAATACACCACGACAGTAATGGTATTGACAGCATGGGAATAGCCTGCCCACACATACTACAAGCTAGCTCTTGGGCTTTTGGGAATCAATCTTTCAAAACTGAACATACAAGTCACTTTAAGCTTATTAAAGTTTCTATCTACTGATGGTCTCTTTTGAAAGATAAGCACTCTCATGCTTGCCACATAATATCTTCAAAAATCATATTATTTCCAATACACACACACACAAAATCCCCCACTTAACTATAATGGCCAATAATTGTGTACTAAATTTCTAATAAAATAGGGGAGAAAACAGAGCAAATGTTAAAAAATATTTCTATAATATTTAACAACCAATACATACAGGATTTTATTTAGTCTACCCATAGTTTTCATTAAAAGTATCCTTAGAGGTTGGGCATAGTGACTCACATCTATCATCCTAGCACTTTGAGAGGATTAGCTGGAAGGTTCTCTTGAGTCCAGGAGTTTGAGACCAGCCATGTCAACATAACAACACCTCATCTCTACCAAATTTGTTTCTAAATTAGTTGGGTGTGGTGGCTCACACCAGTAGTCCCACCAACTACTTGAGAGGCTGAGGTGGGAGGATCACTTAAGCCTGGGAGGTCAAGGCTGCAGTGAGCCAAGATCGTGCCACTGCACTCCAGCCTGGGCAACAGAGACCATGTCTCCAAAAAAAAAAGAGTGGGGGGGAGAGGGCGGAGGGGGAAGCATTCTTGGCCATGCATGCACAGTGGCTCATGTCTATAATCCCAACACTTTGGGAGGCTGAGGTGGGAAGACTGCTTGAGGCCAAAAGTTCAAGACCAGCCTGGGAAACACTGAGACCCCATCTCTACAAAAATAAAAAATTAGCAGGAGCTATGCTGGGAGGATCACTTGAGCCCAAGAGATAGAGGCTGCACTGAGTCGTGATGGCACCACCCCACTTTAAAAAGGAAAAAAAAAAAAAAGCTGGGTATGGTGACACCCGCTTGTAGGGCTGAGTGAGGTGGGAAGTTCACCTGGGCCCAAGAGTTCAAGACTACAGTGAGCTATGATTGAACTACTACACTCCAGCCTGGGTGACAGAGTGAGGTTCCAGCTCCAAAAATAAATAAAAAAAATAAAAACCCCACCATTCTACCATTCTCAAAGGCCTAAAAGATCCTCATAAATCAATATACACCTATCCTATAAATTATGTCCCCTTTATTTTATGTCTGAATTAACGGCTTTTTATTTCAACTCTGTACAGTCTTCAAACAACCACCTTTTAGACATTAAAAATGAAGCAAAGATATTAAACCATTTTGAAACCATATTGGTTTAAAATACCGATATGCTGGTTTCATTTATCTTTAAGTTCTGACATTTCTGCTCAAGTACACAACTTACTATATAATCAGTATCCTATTTTATTTAGCAACATGTTCAGCAAAAGTATATGCTCCTAAAAGCAAGTTTTATCCTAACGGTAAAATTTTCATCAGTTAGATTAAATTTTTTATGACGGTATCACACATGCTTCTTTCTCCTTATTCAAAGCAGAGTACAATGCCTGGGGTTCATTTCTTGTGTCTTTTCCACTGAACCCTCACTGGATGTGCTATATACAGTGCAGCTAATGTCTGAGGCTGCTGAAGTGTGGCAATCTAGCTACCTCATTTTTAATTTGTTTATGTTCTTTGATATCAGGCTATCAAAGAATATAAAGATACACAAGTTTTCATATGAGTTCCATCTTATGCTCAGAGAAGATTACTTTCTGAGGCTTCTCCTATAGTGTGCTATTCGTAATATGTTGAAAAACTAAAAGGAAACCCAATAATTTAAAAGTAAAATTATAAGAAATATTATTTAAAAATGAAAGAATGAGATTTAAAAATTCAGAGTGGCCTTTTGTCATGGGAGGGTAGGGGAGTTGGATGAAAGGAGGATGAGCTATAACAGGATTCCCTGCTTTTCTGGTTGTTTAAGAAAGCAGTCAGACAATATATACATATATACATACATACATACATGCTAAACAAATGAAGGATTAATAACAGTTCACCTGGTAAAGAGAAGCATTTACAATGTAAAACAATTTTATTTTTGAATGACACTTCAAATGCCCAAAAGCACTTACATCTGTTACGTATGCCTCAGTAATTGGAGGGCCCGAATTGGGCTGAGGCTTTCCCCAGTGCTCCTCACCACAGTACTAAATACCCGGAGAAGCGCAGCCAGCTTTGGTAATGACACTGATGGAGGAGGGACGTCTTCATCCACTGATTCCCCAGAGGCCACATGGCTGAGGTCCTAGATGTGAATTCACAGCATTCTTAATAAGTAGTACATTGTTTAAAAAAACAAAACAAAACAAAAAAAAACTCTAAAATATTTCAATCAATTCATTTTAGAATAGATTTTTAGGCTTTTAGAAAGAGAACTGTGGCCCATGAGAATATTCATGACTCTGAATATAAAAATGGGTTTTACCTAATTATTTCAAAAAGCCAACATTAAACCCAATAGACAACAAATTAAGGAAATAATCTCTTAAATCAACTCAGAAAGCTGTTGGGGAAAAATAAATTCTAGCACATATGCTCTAGTTATATGTAGGTATAAATGAAGACGGAAGCTTTTGCCACTCCTGAATTAGTTTTTGGCTAAAAATCTCATTCTAGGTATTCTTTGAGCCACTCAGCTCAACAGTAAGTCCTCCAAACCAAGAGCATGCACATGAAGAGCAAAGGGAGATTACAAGACCTGGTCTACAGATGTGTAACTGAAGAAGTACGATATATGAAAAGGACAAGATTCGCAAAAACTAGGATACCAGAACCAATGTATACATCTACCTAAAATTAAGCACCAAAATAACAGAAGAGAATGAGATCTTAAGGATAACAAGGGGAAGCATCTCTACAAACTAGAATGTGTGGCTTATGAGAGGTAGATCAGCTTTAAACGTGGGCTGTGAAAAAAGACATTCTAGGTGTGGGGGCAAAGAAAAAACAACGCAGAAGCAAAACATTTCCTTGCTTTTCTAGGAAAGAGTAAACACATCAGTACAGCTAAAGGTACTGAATTCCTGTTGACTACAAGCAGCAAAGATGAAAAAAACAAGATGAGGCCAAAATCTTTATGGGAGCCTTGACTGGTTGATCTGAATAGGGGAGAAACACAAAGAGATTCAGATAAGAGATGGCACAGAGTTAAGCCATGACAGTGGGGCCAGAAAAGCCAAGTACCAGTAACAGAGGCTTCAGCAGCGCTCTTAAAGCTCCTATGCTATATTCGTACAGCCACAAAAGCTGGCTGAAGCCAAGGCTTGTCCTCCAAAGTACGATTCAAGATCTCCTGTACATATGTAAGAGGAAAATCTTTAGGAGCTTTTGGTGTTTTGTGTTTTTTTATAACACAACATCAATTTGCTTTAAGACTCTGAAGACTGGGAACAAAAAATAAAAATAAATAACAAAGTATGTCTTTAGAAAAATACCAGCTACCGAGAGTATGTAAAGCTTTGCGAAATACGAAGCTTGCAACGTTTCTTTTAGTCTCTCCAGTAATTCTCCTGGTAACTTAAACACATCTGAAATAAATGTTTAAAATACTGACTGGGCACGGGGGCTCATGCCTATAATCCCAGCACTTTGGGAGGCCGACGCGGCTGGATCACCAGTGGTCAGGAGTTTGAGACCAGCCTGGCCAACATGGTGAAACCCCGTCTCTACTAAAAATACAAAAATTAGCTGGGCGTAGTGGCGGGCACCTGTAATTCCAGCTACTCGGGAGGCTGAGGCAGGAGAATCATTTGAACCCAGGAGGTGGAGGTTGCAGTGAGCTGAGATCGTGCCATTGCACTCCAGCCTGAGTGACAGAGCGAGACTCCGTCTCAAAAAGAAAAAATTTTTCAAAATATTGCAATGGGCTTGTAATTTCTGCTTAAATGTCAGGAGGTCTGAGCCATTTTAAAATAAATCTAGCACAATTTAAGATTTTTTCTTAACCAAAATTTTAAGAAACAGCTTTCTATATACTCACCTCAGCATATGCTTCCATGTCTTCTAGAAACTGACCAAGTAGAGGCGTAGAAAATGCAAGATCAGCTACCCAAAATGGCTCCAAACTCTGCAACCACCCTTGGAATCGCGTAAGAAATTGTGAAAGGGTAGGGGGGAGAAAAAACACCAAAAAATCCAAATTAAAAAAAATAAGAGGCTTCTTTTAAAAAGTATCTGGTTTTCAAGCAGCATACCCTAAAACATGTCCTATATCATAAAATTAAGACTGCTAAACATGCTGATCACGATTAACCAATACCTCTTTAATTAATACCTCCTTAATTTCTGCAGAAATTAACAGGTAAATGTTATTTCCTTACTTTTTCAGTAAATTTCATATCTATATTGTCACTACACATGACTTAAGACTAAAATGCCACAATCTACCATTGGCCCGGCTAATCCCAGGGCCACATCTAACCATTAAAGGTGTATACTCATCTCCTCAGTGAAAATGAAACAGACCACTATCACCTGAATATCTTATTTTCAAAAGTTTATTACACCAAGTAAGTTACGAGAAACTATGACACTTGAAACAAGCTGAAATGTGCAAATGAGCCACGCTAGTCATTCACTTAACTCCAAAAAAGTGGGAAACAAAACCACTTCTCATTTATGACAATTCTCCAAATTAACCCTATATTTCCTTTTTAAAAAAAATAACCAGAAAAACAATAAAATGTGACAAATAACTTGGATCTTCCATTGTCCACTTCAGGGTATTGCCACTGCAATATATTCTTACCATATACTTTCCTACCAGTACAAACTACAAATAACTTGGGTAAGTCCTGTCTGTACTTACTCTACCCACCTACTAGTAATTTCCTCTGAAAATATATATTTAGCTAACAAGTCATGTTCATTTACAATAAAACATTTCTCTGAATTAGTTTTCTTGCATTATTAAAGAAATGGTATTGATAGATGGTCACTGGGGGACCACTGCTCCTCCCCGACAGTATTTAAATAACTGGTATAGGCTGCAAGACTTACCAGATACCTGCTGCGTGAGCGAAGGTTTCTGAGTATGATCTCTATGCCATCCAACTAATATACCAACTGTATCCTTGATGGAAACAAAGAGAGAGGGGGCCAATCATTTTAAGATATTACTGCAATCCACCTGTGGACCATTTCACAGCAAAAGATCCTAAAAGGAGCATCTATGTTCTACCTACTTGACATTCTAGAAACTTAGAAAGGGGAGAGGGGCAGGAAAATAAAAGAACTACATTTCTGACAACAATGAAATAGTTTATTTTCTTCAAATATTTTAAGGTACGAACGTCAGAAAGAAAAATGCGGCATTTAACCCTGGAACCTCAAATATCACTGATTATATTCAAAGGAGCAGAGGCACTGTTTTCCATCTGATTCCTCAGTTCCTCACACACACAACCATCCCCCTCACCCCATGATCTGAACAGCGGAATGAGGAACTCACCCTAAAATTAGTGCTGAAAATATGAGGGTAACATCGAGCCACCAAAAGAATGCACTTAACACATTTGCAAAGCAATTCTGGTGTATCCACATTTTCAAGAATTGACTGCAGGCTGGTCATTACAAGCTTAAAAATAAAAGTTACAAACCGTGAACATTCAACAAAATAGGGAGAAAACAAGCAAATTAGGTTCATTATTTACGAAGTGCCTACATAAAAACCTGAGTATGAGACCAAGAAAAATAGATTCTGTAGTTTTAGTTAAAAAAAAAAAGAATTGACTTGTAAATCCCAACTGCTTGGGAGGCTGAGACACAAGAATTGCTTGAACCCAGGAGGCAGAGGTTGCAGTGAGCTGAGATTGCACCGCTGCACTCCAGCCTGGGAAATACAGCCAGACTCCATCTCAAAAAAAAAAAAAAAATTAATAAATAAATAAAATAAATAAACTGAAAATATTTCGCTCCACTAAGCTGTTAAGCTAAAAACAGATACTGTTTTCTCTTCTTCAATGTTTGTTAATATTAGTCCTTTGACATCAGTTAACATTAGTCCTTAATAACATCTGTTTACAATATCCCTAAATGCTCTCTTTAAGATTCTACCTGTGATTAAATTTCAAATACAAAAAAGTAAAATGGATTTGGGAAACTTTTCTATAAAGTACAACAATTACTTTGCAATCCAAAATATAAAGCAAATTTTATATAATTTATGCTTTAGTATATTAGTACTTGCTTCATATTAAAATTAAGGAAGATCAGTATGGCACCACACATGAATAACATGCAGGCTCAGGTTACCATTATACATAAATTTTTAAAATAAATATATGGCAAAAATAAAATAATAAATAACTATTTGTCATTCCATTGAAAGAATATTTATTTTGCAGCTGTTAAAAAACATTTTTCCCTAAAAAAGGAAAAGCTGTGCTTTACATAGCAATCTTATCAAAGAAATGCTAGAATCAGAAAACCATCATTTTAGGCTGGGTGCAGTGGCTCACACCTGTAACCCCAGCACTTTGGGAGGACGAGGCAGGTGGATCACCTGAGGTCAGGAGTTCAAGACCAGCCTGGCCAGCATGATGAAACTCCGTCTCTACTAAAAATATAAAAATTAGCAGAGCACAGTGGCACATGCCTGTAATCCCAGCTACTCAGGAGGCTGAAGCAAGAGAACTGCTTGAACCTGGGAGGCGGAGGTTGCAGTGAGCCGAGATCGTGCCACTGCCCTCCAGCTTGGACAACAGAGCAAGATTACGTCTCAAAAAAAAAAAAAGAGAAAAAGAAAACCATTATTTTGCAATAGCCAATGTTATAATCTACACAGGCACAGACTATCAATGCTAAAAATCATTTAAAAGACATCTTGGGGTAATTACAGAAATTTGAATATAGAACACATATGTAATAAAATTCATTTTCTTAGGTATGATTACAATATTCTTGTTATACAGAAGAAAAACCTTATTCTTGGGAGATGCATACTAAAACATTATGGGGTGAACTGTCATCATGTGTATGGTTTTCAGATGCTCAACAAAAGTGTGTGAGAAAATAAAACTGTGGCAAAATATTAGTAACTGGTAAATCTAGGTGAAGCATATATTATGAAATTATTATCGTATTTACAGGTATTTATTTTACTGGTGCATCTATCTTTCTATGAATGTGAGAATTTTCACAAGAGCTGGGAAAATGTTCATAATTATGCATGCAGAATAAGCCCAAGCTGGTGGCATTCTGTTCAGTTACAGGTAATTTTCTGAATCTTCCCTCAAATTTTTCTCAAACCTCTATAATCAAGGGGAAAATGTTTCATTTTGTTTTGCTTTTTTGAGACAGGGTTGCCTATAATGGAGTGCAGTAGCTTGACCATAGCTCACTGTAGCTTCAACCTCCCAGGCACAAGCGATCCTCCTGCCTCAGCCTCCAAGTAGCTGCGATTACAGGTGCATGCCACCATGCCCAACTTATTTTTTTTCCTTTTTTTTTTTTTGTTTGATAGAAACAGGGTTTCACCATGTTGCTCAGGCTGGTCTCAAACTCCTGGACTCAGGCAATTCACCAGCCTCAGCCTCCCACAGTGCTGGGGTTACAGGAGTGAGCCACCATGCCCAGTTAAAAATACATTTTTTATTTTAAAAAAAAAAAAAAGAATATTCCTTATATTTCCTTTATATTTTTTAAACTACATACCCAAAATAAAGCATATCAAAAACTGTAAAAAAAAAAAAAAAAAAAAAAAAAAACCCTAATATCAGATATTCCAAACACAACAATACCATAATTTAATCACTTAAAATCTTACTCAAAACTAAATCAATGATCTTTTAGGCCAGGTGTGGTGACTCATGACACTAATCACAGTACTTTGGGAGGCCGAGGCAGGAGGATCACTTGAGGTCAGGAGTTGAAGACCAGCATGGCCAACACAATGAAACCCCATCTCTACTAAAAATACAAAAATTAGCCAGGCTAATGGCACACTCCTGCAATACCAGCTACTCGGGAGGCTGAGGCAGGAGAATCACTTGAACCTGGGAGGCAGAGGTTGCAGTGAGCCGAGATTATGCCACTGCACTCCAGGCTGGACAACAGAGCAAGACTCTGCATAAAAAAAAAAAAAAACGAATGATATTTTAATATATTCAGATACACAAATATGAAATACAACTAAGTAGAGCCAGTATTCATTTACACATAATTATCTTATACCATTTGGAATAAGAATTTGGGGCACGTTAGCAAACCAAAAGGCTCAGAAAGAAGTTGTGATATTTAGTTCTTGTCTCCCTCTACAAATGTGAAGCACTCTTCTATCCGGCATTACTAGTGGAGTTCCTATTTTCAACTTTGCAAATTCTGGTCCTAAGCAATCTCAAAAAAAACATTTCTAAAAACCAAAGGGGAAAAAAATCTTTTTTTTTTGAGACAGAGTCTGGCTCTGTCTCCCAGGCAATGGTGCGATCTCGGCTCACTGCAACCTCGGCCTCCCGGGTTCAAGCCATTCTCCTGCCTCAGCCTCCTGAGTAGCTGGGACTACAGGCGCGTGCCACCACGCCCGGCTAATTTTTGTATTGTTAGTAGAGACGGGGTTTCACCATGTTGGCCAGGATGGTTTCGATCTCTTGACCTCATGATCCGCCTGCCTCAGCCTCCCAAAGTGCTGGGATTACAGGCGTGAGCCACCACGCCTGGCGTGTAAGCCAATTTTTTAGAAGAAATCTCTCCCTCTCTCTCCACATATATGCATATATGTATGTAGCACTGATCCTTGAACAGTGTATCCTTTACTCAAACTGAGAAAGAGGAATTTTTAAAACATATTTCCTATCAGTAGATAACCCCTATTCTATGATTCCCTTCTTCAAGCTCCCCTCCAAGGACATGTGTTAAAGGGACAATTTTCTTCCCAAGTATATCATGCATTTTTTCCCCCTTCATTCTTACCTGCATTACAGATGAAAAGGCTTTCTTTTCTCCTACAGTCTCTAGTGCTTTGTAGGTGGCACATAAGTAGAGGAGTTTAACTTCATCTTTTGCAGATGAGCTAAATTTGCTAAAAATCCACTTGAAGATCTTCTCAGCCTCATAGCTCAGAGAAGCACAAAGAAGGCCGAGACAGCAAGCTCCCTCCTGTCTCAACTCCTGAAGCAATTTGCTACTGTGTTTATTTTAATGCAAACAAAAAACACACACAAAAGGCTTAAGTTTTCTATGATGACACGAGTAATACATCTTACAAAAGAATGTCTTAAGTGGTTTTTTAAATTTCTATTCAAACTACATAAAAGGTTGAAATTTTCTCCACTCTAAATACTACATTCTGTCTAGCCTGCATTGCCCTCAAGTATCTGTCTGACATCACTTTCTTTTTACAAAATCAATTATTTACAAACAGTGAGGGAAGGCCCAAAAATGCTAAATTCCATCTCAAACTGTATTAAATAACTCTCAGAAAAGGGCAGCAACAAATAAGTAGATAAAACACTCTATACATAACTACATTCTACATAATATCCAATATGTAATGACTATAAAATAAAAAATGGTAATAGTTAAATACAGAAACTTAAAAGGATAACAGTAATGATTTACATAGAACTTTAATAAGTAACTCTATAAAACAAAACCATCAAAAGGCACTAAGGTTTATGACCAGCTGAGATAAATTTTGGGTACTTGCCAACACTGCAAATCTTTGGGAATCACCATAACAAAAAATGACCACACACCTCTGGAGACTCTAATAGCCAGAGAATATATGGTTTGGATCCACTCTTACCCAAAGAAGGAAATTCCTTTTTACCTCTATTCTCTAAGCAGTTTCAAATTCTCTTGTTTACAAAAACTAATTTTATTCTTCATGCCTGCATCAAGAGTTTATGCCATTCCATAAGTCAAGACTCAGTTATCCAGTGAGACTAGCAAATTAAAAAAATAAAATATTCCAGCCAGGCACGGTGGCTCATGCCTGTAATCCCAACACTTTGGAAGGCTAAGGTGGGTGGATCACCTGAGGTCAGGAGTTCCAGACCAGCCTGGCCAACATGGTGAAACCCTGTCTCTACTAAAAATACAAAAATTAGCTGGCAGTTGTGGTGCACGCCTGTAGTCCCAGCTACTCGGGAGGCTGAGGCAGGAGAATCACTTGAACCCGGGAGGTGGAGGTTGCAGTGAGCTGAGATCGCACCACTGCACTCCAGCCTGGGCGACAGGGTGAGACTCCGGCTCAAAAAATAAATATTCTTTTCAAGTGGATTCCATTTGTATTCAACCGTAATTAACACATAATTAATGCAGATAAAAATGACAAGACCCACTGAAATGTCAATAAATGTTCATAAACAAAGCCAGTGGGTTTGTCTTCTTGTGTATTGTTAAGTAATTTCTAAAAATATATTTTAAAGTCATTTAAACCGAACCATTATTAGTTACTTACCTTTCATTAAGCACATCATGTACAGCAGCCAAGATATCCAATTGTTTAACTAGTACCTTTAAAAGAAAACACATTTATAAAAACTTCAAATTCCTATACTTTTAAGAATAGCATTGTGTACTTTTTTACTTGTCTTCCCTCCAAATTCTAATTCAACAGTACTTTACTTTCTTTATTATTCCCACTCCCCAATGAGCATGTATCAGGAATGTCATGTTTCCTTTCAGCCTATGAAAGAAATTCACCCACTGGAAACATAGAGCTGTGATCATCAACAAAAAAATAAACTCAAAAAGCTTGTTTCATTTACTTTGAAATCCATTTGAAAAATTGACTGACGGATGGAGGGATAGATGGAGAGATATGTGACAAGGCAGTATTTAGGGTAAAATGTTAACGACAAAAATTAGATGATGGGTTTAACAGATTCAATGTCAAATTCTTTCAACTTGCTATATATTTGAAACTACTCATAATAAAATTTGGAAGGAGGAGAAACTTGCTTTGATCCAAGTGTCATCTGCCTCACTAGACCATTTTCATTAATTTTCTCCTGCTCATTGTCAAGTTCTTTTTTTTTTTTTAAGATGGAGTTTCACTCTTTTCGCCCAGGCTGGAGTGCAATGGCGTGATCTCAGCTCACTGCAACCTCCGTCTCCTGGGTTCAAGCGATTCTCCTGCCACAGCCTCCCATGTAGCTGGAATTACGGTCATGTGCCACCACACCCAGCTAATTTTGTATTTTTAGTAGAGATGGGGGCTTCACTATGTTGGGCAGGCTGGTATCGAACTCCTGAACTCAGGTGATCCACCCACCTTGGCCTCCCAAAATGCTGGGATTACATGCATGAGCCACCACACCTGGCCCATATCAAGTTCTTAATTGGTGTAAAGAAAGTGAAGAAAAAAATTTAACCCTTCCTATACTTTGTTACATTTCTGTTGTTGTTTTAAGAGACAAGGACTCCCTCTGTCGCCCAGGTTGACATGCAGAGGTGTGATCATATCTCACTGCAACCCTGAATTCCTGGGCTCAAGTGATTCTTCCACCTCAGCCAGGTGTAGTGGCACATGCCTGAAGTCCCAGCTACTCAGGAGGCCACAGCGGGAGGATAGCTTGAATCCAGGAGTTTGAGACTGCAGTGAGCTATGATTGTGCCACTGCACTCCAGCCTGGGCGACAGAGCAAGATCTTGTCTTTAAGAAGAAAAAGAAATTACATATTAGAGAGCATTAAGTTCTTGATCATCATAATACAGACTTTCCCCATTCTTAAACTACTCAAGGTAGCATTACCTAGTTTATTATGGAAACACAAAAATCCTCATATTTCCAAACATACTATACTTACCAGCTTATTTTCTGGTTGCTGAATAAATTCTTTCAACTGCTTTACAGTAGCCAATCTTCGGTCTCGGTCGTTTTCCCGGGTGATCCTCTGAAGAAGATTTGACAGTCGAGACTCATCACAATAAGACATTGATCTCTCTGTGAATATATAAACATTTTGTTGTCCACTGAGTATAAATAAGCAAAGGAAATTTTAAATTTTAAAATAATTTTAAAATTTTTAAAATTAAAAATTATTTAAATAATAATTAAATTATTATGGGGGCTCATGCCTGTAATCCCAGTACTTTGGAAGGCGGGTAGATCACATGAGTTCAGGAGTTTGAGACCACCCTGGGCAACATGGTGAAACCCTGTCTCCACAGACACACAAAAAATTACATAAACTAGCCAGCCAAGGTGGGGTGCACCTGTAGTCCCAGCTACTCGGGAGGCTGAGGCAGGAGAATCACTGGAGCCCGTGAGGCGGAGGTTGCAGTGAGCCAAGATCACCCCATTGCACTCCAGCCTGGGTGACAGAGCAAGACCCTCTCTCAAAAATAAAATTACATCAAAAGTCACAGTCCACTGGTCAATAAAAGCTCAGGGAATATAGGTCCTATCGCTCTTTTGTTCAACTCTGTATTCCAAATCCCAGCAGAGTGCCTGGCACATAACAGACCCTCAAAAAAATATTTGCTGAAGGAAACAAGAAATGAATAACCCTAGGCCAACTGAACACCTCATTCCAGAGGACTGGCTGGGAGAGAAAAAAGAAAGGCCTTAGTAACAACTTTCTTTGGGTCCATTCCAAACTGTTTTCAACATGCAGGTAAAGAGCCCGGGTGTAGGTAAATTAAACAACTTCCAAGGGGTATGGATAAAGTCTCAATCGAGTAAAAACAGGATATAGGCTTCTACTTATCATCTAGGTATCCCACTGGAGGAAAGCCTCTTATTCACATTATCATCATTTCCCTGGGATGAAGTTTTGGGGAGCCATAATCACACATTTAGTTCAACAAATGTCTAATTATCATCTACCACATGCAAGGCATGCCTCCACTAGAAAGGTAGCAAACCACAACTTTTCTCCCTTTATTTTTTAATCACAAGAACAAGCAAACAATAGTGAATACTATTAGTATATTAACGATGCCTTTAAAAACTAGATTTTTGCTGGGCGAGGTGGCTCTTGCCTGTAATTACCCAGCACTTTGGAAGGCCAAGGCAGGCAGATCACTTGAGCACAGGAGTTCGAGACCAGCCTTGGCAACATGGTACAACCCCATCTCTACGAAAAATACAAAAATTAGCTGGGCACAGTGGCACATGCCTGTAATCCCAGCTACTCAGGAGGCTGAGGTGGGAGGATCGCTTTAGCCTGGGAAGCAAAGGTTGCAGTGAAATCACACTAGCGCATTCCAGCCTGGGTGACAGAGCGAGACTGTCTCAAAAAACAAAACAAAACAAAAAACTCAATTTTTGCAAAACATTTTCAACTGTGCTATTTACCATAATTAGCCAATACATACGTAAACAACAAATCACAAAGGGTCTGACAGTTTCATTTCTAAGGTATGAGAAAAAATTGATAATAAAAGAAACCAGAAGGCTGGGCATGGTGGCTCACACCTGTAATCCCAGCACTTTGGGAGGCCGAGGAGGGCAGATCACGGGGTCAGGAGTTGGAGACCTGCCTGGCCAACATGGTGGAACCTCGTCTCTACTAAAGATACAAAAAATTAGCCGGGGCCGGGCGCGGTGGCTCACGCCTGTAATCCCAGCACTTTGGGAGGCCGAGGCGGGCGGATCACGAGGTCAGGAGATCGAGACCATCCTGGCTAACAAGGTGAAACCCCGTCTCTACTAAAAATACAAAAAATTAGCCGGGCGTAGTGGCGGGCGCCTGTAGTCCCAGCTACTTGGGAGGCTGAGGCAGGAGAATGGCGTGAACCCGGGAGGCGGAGCTTGCAGTGAGCCGAGATCCCGCCACTGCACTCCAGCCTGGGCGACAGAGCGAGACTCCGTCTCAAAAAAAAAAAAAAAAAAAAAAAAAAAATTAGCCGGGCGTGGTGGCACGCTCCTGTAATCCCAGCTACTCGGGAGGCTGAGGCAGGAGAATCACTTTAATCTGGGAGGTGGAGGCTGCAGTGACCTGAGATCGCGCCATTGCACTCCAGCCTGGGTGACAGGGAGATACTCCATCTCATAAATAAATAAATAACTACAAGGGGGAACAACACACACTGGATCCTTTTGGAGGGTGGGGGGTGGGAGGAAGGAGAGGATCAAGAGAAACAACCAATGGGTACCAGGCTTAATACCTGGGTGATAAAATAATCTATACTACAAACCCTCATGACACAAGTTTACCACTGTAACAAATCTGCACTTGTATCCTGAATTTAAGTTAAAAAAAAAAAAGAAACTACAATGACTGAGAGAAGAATAGGATTTTTACAAATCCGTAGCCCATAGAGTATTTCAATAAGGACAGATACCAAATATGTCATCAAGTTACCAGCTGGGAAATTAGGCTCTACTTACAATTCTGTCACTAGCAAACTACATGACCCTGAGCCTTTGAAGAAGAGGAATTCTCTACTGAACTACTTTAGAGTCGCTGTTTAGGTTCTATAATATCATAAGTCTAAGGCTTCAAACACTCTATTTTAACAAACAGCATACATAGCCTTTGAATTCATTCCACTTGTGAAAACATAAAAAGAAATCAGTTTTTTAAAAGTTATATACCAACAATAAAAGCTACAGGCACAAAGATTTTCACCAAGATACACGAAGCACACACACAGTATAAAAAATAAAAAAAAAAAGTCAAAAACTAAACGTCCAAAAAGTAATTACATCTGACAAAGCCCATAACTCAGCTTTACCGATAAGTTTCTCTTTAAGGAAAAAAATTATCATTACCTCTAATCCTCTGAACTTTCTTTTTTGTTGTTGTTGTTTTGAGACGGAGTCTCGCTCTGTCGCCCAGGCTGGAGTGCAGTGGCGCACTCAGCTCACTGCAAGCTCTGCCTCCCGGGTTCACACCATTCTCCTGCCTCAGCCTCCCGAGTAGCTGGGACTACAGGCGCCCGCCACCGCGCCCAGCTAATTTTTTGTATTTTCAGTAGAGACAGGGTTTCACCGTGTTAGCCAGGATGGTCTCGATCTCCTGACCTCGTGATCTGCCCGTCTCGGCCTCCCAAAGTGCTGGGATTACAGGCGTGAGCCGCTGCACCCGGCCAATCCTCTGAACTTCCAAGGCACTCACCTATACAGTGAGGCTATGTCATAAGGCAGAAATGCTATCAGTGTATTTAACTTTAGAAAAGTGCCCACTCAAGGCAGGGCCCGGTGGCTCACGCCTGTAATGAGCACGTGTGATCACTTGAGGTCAGGAGTTCGAGACCAGCCTGGCCAACATGGTGAAACCCTGTCTCCACTAAAAATGCAAAAATCAGCTGGGTATGGTGGTATGCACCTGTAATCCCAGCTACTTGGGAGGCTGAGGCATGAGAATCACTTGAACCTGGGAGGCGGAGGTTGCAGTGAGCAGAGATTGCAGCACTGCGCTCCAGCCTGGGTGACAGAGCAAGACTCTGTCTCAAAAAAATATATTGAAAACAACAACAACAAAAAAACCAGAAAAGTACCCACTCTAGGGGGCGGGGGGAAGGAGAGCATCAGCAAGAATAGCTTAATGGATGCTGGGTTTAATACCTAGATGATGAGATGATCTGTGCAGCAAACTACCATGGCACACGTTTACCTACATAACAAACCTGTACATCCTGCACATGTACCCTGAACTTAAAAGAGAGAAAAAAAAAAAAAAAGACAGAAAAGTACCCCCTCTCTACATATATCTATATCCTCCACAGGCCCAAGAGTTCAAGGACTTGCTGTAGTAGGAGCCTACTATGCACTATACATTCAATATCCACGATAATTGGGTAAACCTTTTCTGTAAGATCTTATCCAGTCTTCTAATCTTGTTTTAAGAGAATTCTCTTTTAAAATGTACTATAGCCTTTCTAGTGGGAAATTAACAATTCACAGGAAAAGAATGTAAACAATTTTTACCTGCACAGTAGACTAATCAACTTATGCCTTTGCAAGGCATTAGTAAGAGGCATCCAGAATAAGAGGAGATACAAGTCTTTGGAAGGTGTATGTGATTGGTCCCCGTTTTCCCAGCCTTACCCTGTGATTTCCTCATGTCTTTGGTGGCTAAAGCACAACTGCCATGCTGAACACTGGTGAACTCAGGGCTGGTCACATTGTTAACCCTCAGCTCTTGCCCCAATGACTTCCGACCATAAGTATTTTCCCCAGATCCCCCATTGACACCGTAGCCACCTACAAACAGCCATGTGTACGTCATTTAAATATGATTGTTCGTTTCATTCAGTCAATTTCCTGATAGCTCAGGATCTTATGACTCAATCTGCAGCTCAACCAGCCTTTGCTTCTCCTACCTTTTTCCTGTACTGTCTGCCTTGAAAATCATTTTCATTTCTTTTAATACACCTTTGAAGTTAAATTAATTTTATTTTGATCCCTTCATTGGAAAATAAGCAAAGAAATGAAAACTAAATTAAATCAAATTTTGCACCTTGTTTTAAAACTTTCTTGAAGTTTAGAGACAGTAGCCAAGAGGAACTTCAACCTTAGCTAAATATTTTTGAAAATAAAAACAAAAATAGTATTGTATCTTTTTTGTAAGAAAACTGCATTGATGAATTATGTATGGAAAAATTTTAAATTTTAAAAATAATAAAGTGGATAAACGTCCTATGAAGTTTTCAGAAATAACACTGCATTTGTTATTCATATTTTAAATATATTAGAAGAAAGTGAGAAAGTTGGGGGTGTAAGAAGGCAGGAAGGTGGGATAGGTAGGTTCAAAAAACATGCTTGTAGCAATAAGAAAATATATATACCCTTTTCGTCATTCTGTATGTCAGCGTGGACTCTGGTATCATCGTGCCTTTGCCGAGACACCACAGCTGAATTTGAAGGTTGCAGTCCGTAAGAGGAAGAACCACCTCTATCTCTGGATGAAGAATATTTTAAATTACCTGGGTCGGCTGATGCACTATCAGTTCTATAAAAAGAGAAAAGTTTAAGATTAGAACTTTAAATAACATAAATAAATCTTTCTTTAAACAAGCCTCTCTTCTCCCAAATTTTACATTTAACCATTACTATTGTATTTAGTGTAATATGCACTATATATTATATGTAAGCACTCAGCCGTCTAATAAGAAGTCTTTCACTGGGAAGAGAGTCTCAATGGATGAAATGCCAACTTTTCACTCTCTTCTACTGTTCTAAAGACCCATTCAGAAATATGAATAACTACTGGGATTAGGGTGACTTTGCTGGTTTTAGCATTGAAAGTCTCCTGTCCCAGGCAAAACAGGACAATTGGTTACTCTGGTCCAGTGTTCTCCTCACATGACTTGATAATAAGAATAATTCTTTCTAAATTCTCCCCCATGGAGACGGTTAATCAGTCAAAACATTTCAGCCTTTCCTGTCATAAAAATAAAAAACACTGGCAGCATGTCAGGGACGGGCAATGTCTTACCAAGTTATTTTCTAAGTACTGATTAGGTACTGTAGTATTGAAGACCCCATTGAAGATGCCTTAATTGTAAAGAGTAGCAATCAAAATTTTAAAAAGTAAAAAAGAAGACATTTTAAGAAAATAAAAGGTATCAGAAATGCAATAAAGTTATATCAGAAAGTTGTAGTTCGTAATCTATTTAAAATTCAGGTACTGTTTAGAATAATACCTGATGCTTATTAGTAAACAAGTAGGGTACAGCCAAGGGTAAAAGTGTGTCCTCATCTAAGTATCTGCTCTATGCTTCAACTGCCTCATAAGTAAAACAGAGCTTAGTTACAAGACTTCTCATGAGTGTTACTCTTTCAGCCATCAATCATAAACTATCAAGAAAGAAGACAACAAAATAATCTGTTATAGCATATGAAAAATCCAAGTAAGTTCTTCCCCTACTGATTTTCTCCTGAGAGGAACAATTTTGAGGAAAAAAAAAAAGAAAAAGAAAAAGAAAATCACTTCTATGATATTTACTAAAAATGCTTTCTCAACCTTTTAGAACCTGAATCTTTTAGAAAAGTTTAGGACACTGGCAAGGCCAGAAACTAACCTATTCCTCTACGCTTTGCCCCTCCCTCTATGGTGTAAAAGTGACAGCAGTGTTTGTATACTGTATATATTTCGTTTAGAGTTTATTAGTCTTTCCTTGCTCCCAAAAATACTAAACATAAAACTTTGCATGAGCTCAATCAGTTGGACACCTTGATCTGCACTTACTGCAATCACTGTTAATACAGAATGCAGACAATAGGTCCAATTAAACTTGGATATCTAACTGGTACAAGTCATTACTTATAAAGGATCTCAATCTGAAACTTCATGAAATTCAAAACCTAGCATACTAAAATGACTAAGGCTCCATAAGGAGTATCTTCTAATATTCAGAGTTCACTTATTCATAAAGCTAAGTACTTCGAACATAAGGGAAAATAAAATCTATGGAATTTCAAGAAAAATGTATGAGAATATTTTCTGAGTATACTAAGTCTATAAGCATTAAAATATTAACTCAATGGACCATAACTTTTTTAAACTAATGAAAAGACATTCCTTATGTACCTAAAAATAGCACACTTAACATGCGTCTATATAAATCATAGCATACCATTACTTTCTGAAAGGAGACTGAAACGTTAAGAGAGCTTATAATCTTTTCTGACAGGGTTTGAACTTTATATGTATGCCACAGTAAGCTCTTATTAGATGAGCGAATAAAATAAGCACTTGACTAATTCAGAAACACAAAGATAACTGAAGTCTGCCAATATTTAAACGTATCTTCACTTCCTGTTTTCATCATGTTTACTTATCTCCTACACTACCTTTACTATTAAGAGTTAAATGTTTGTATCATTTTCTGGTGACACAGTAGTACCATAAGGCAGCAGAGAATACAAGTTAAAAAAAGATCTGGGCTCAAATCCCAGCTCCAGCACTGAAAAGTATGTGTGCCTTTGCACAAATTACTTGATCTCCAAGCCTTGGTTGTCTCTTGCATAAAATGAGGATGATACCTATCTAACATGTAAGGTTGTTGTGAGGCTAAAATAAGATAATGAATTATAAAGAAACACTTAGTTTGCAGGGTATGTTAAAAGTTGTTATGACCATAATACAAAATAAACTCAAAGTTTCCAGTCTAAAAGACAATGTACAAACAGTTCATGAGTATATGAATATAATCAAAACAAGTTTTTACAGTCAATATAGAGCAACTTAAATACTTCACTGAAGAAAGCAGGTAATCTGTTGCTACCAACAATGTGTTTCCAACTAGGAAGCATCTGATTTCAAACTAAACTGTAAAACCAGGAGCAGCTTCCCCGTTGGTTAGAAATAAGGTTTCTAAATCCCCTAAGTTATGAACACTGAGATTTTTTTCCCAAAAAAAATCTGTGTTTTCAGAAATATAACAAAAAAAACTGGAATAGAGCCACCGTCTCAGAAATACCTCAAAACTCCCTAGTTGCCAAATTATTTTAATACAAATTGATCAAAGCATCCCCAACCAGAACTCAGGTTGTAAGCATTCTGAACCTAAAAGCACAAAATGGTTTAGCATTTATAAGAAATTTCTATTTTTATACAATCTTGACTGCTTAGGTTTCAAAAAATGTCAATGTCAGGCTGTTAGCACCAACAAGATCATCCCAGTCCAATAAATAGAGAACTGTTGAAGAACGGAAATGAGCACTTAAAATGAGGCAATCAAAGCCACAAAATAGAAACTGCAGATTTGAACTCCAAGAAGCAGGCATGAATGTTAGGCTAGTTAGTTAGAAGAGCTGAAAGGGATATCATCTGCCAGAATTAGTGTCTCAATTTAGTGAAAAAAGAAAATCTATCTGTTAAGTCTAAGAATCCTAGCAAGGAACCAAAAATACCTCTACAGCCCCTTTAATATTCTAAAAATATCATGGAGAGAAAAAAAAAGAAATGCATAAATTTCCCCAAAACGATCAAACTGAAGTTAAAGCCTGATGTACATGCCACATGAGAGGTAAGTTTCTAAAGCTCATACCTCAAAAATCGCCTTTGTGATGTTGTGCATCAAGTCAATCTGTAAGACAGTAGTTACAATATTAGTGAAGACAGTGGGTTAAAACATTTGTTGTTCAAACATGGAGCAAATATCATTCATGAGTTAGGTGCCTTTAGTTGAACTATGGTCCCATTAGGGTTCATACATTAAAGCAAAAATTGAGGTGGAAAGACACTCTGTGCCTTACAGGATAAAGAGGCTTAATGTGGCAACCAAAAAAATTTTAGTACATAAGAGAATTTAAATGTTAACTATCACATACAAATCACATGCAAATACAGTTACCACTTATTTTAGTTACCTATTCTCAATATACAGAAAAATGCCACAAATCTAGGAGGCCATTCGTTTCAAATGACCGGAATCCTTAGACCTCACACCAACAAGCCACCATGTGCTGGGGATGGTATCGCCTGACTAAATGTAGCCTTGCAGTCCATTCTTGTAAGTATTAGAGAGAAAAAGAGAGAGAGCGTCATCTCTGGAAAGTGTGAAGTCAGGGAATTCCCTACTAGGAAGCATTTCCATAAAGCACCCCAAAATGACTTGATGCAAACACCACACCTAGTGGTGTCACTGGAGTAAGCATCATATTACTTCAAATTGCTTTTACCTAGGTTTATTAAGGGATTTTGCTCTCATGGTGAGATCTAATTTGTAATGGATATAAACCAGGAAATGAGATTTGCACTAAAGCCAATGAAGTAGGAATGTACTTATTCTCTAAAGCAGCAAAGATAGTCTCACTGTCACAGAGCAGTTATAGGATATGTTGCTTTCCATACTAATGGTTAATACCACTTGGAAATGATTTACCCTTCAAAAATAAATTCAAGGTTTTCCCCTGTAATGCCTCTTGCCTGGATTCAAACATGCTTTAATGAGGAATAAGAGAAACGGTGAAACTATGAATAACCCTGGGCCTTGTATCATTACATTAGAAACACTGCTCTAAATATGAGTCTATGGCTAAAATATTAATTTGAGAGGCTCAGGGAATTTATTATACAAATCTCTTCTTGCAGAGAACTTTTAAGTTCAAATTTAATAAAACAAAACAGAACCATTCCATGTCAAAATTGTAAATGAGTATGCATCAGTTTTGCAATACTGAAATATTAAATTAATATAATTTATTGGTAAAACTACCTTAGCTACCTAAGTATTAAGTGTCTATAATAACCAAATCTTAATTATCCATTTATGGGTGATTTGTTTCCTTTTTTGAGACAGGGTCTCACTCTGTCACCCAGGCTGGAGTGCACTGGCATGACCATAGCTCACTGCAGCCTCGACCTCATGGGTGCAGCCTCGACCTCATGGGTTCAGCCTCTCAAACAGCTGGGACCACAGGTGCATGCCACTCCATTTAGCTAATTTTTTATTTTTATGTTTTTTGGAGACAGGTGTCTGATTATGTTGCTCAGGCTGCTCTCAAATTCCTGGACTCAAGCAATCCTCCCACCTCAGCCTCCCAAAATGCTAGGATTAGAAGCATGAGTGACCACATCTGGACTGTCACCAATTTTTAACTGTCTGTCAACTAAACAGCCAATATAGACTGATAAAATATATTTAACTATTGTAAAATTGTAAAGAATTGTATCTTCACCAAGGAGAGGTCTGGCTTTTACCTGTGAATTCTGGAAGGTAATCTCTAAACTCTTGAAATGTCATACCTAATAAGAGGGTCCTGGCCAGGAGCAGTGGCTCACACCTGTAATCCCAGCACTTTGGGAGGCCAAGGCGGGCAGATCGCTTGAGGTCAGGATTCTGAGACCAGCCTGGCCAGCATGGTGAAACCTGTCTCTACTAAAAATACAAAAATTAGCCAGGCATGGTGACGGGCACCTGTAATAATCCCAGCTACTCAGGAGGCTGAGGTTTCAGTGAGCTGAGATCATGCCACTGCACTCCAGCCTGGGCAACAGAGCAAGACTATCTCCAAAAAAAAAGGGCGGGGGGGCGGCGGTGGGGGAAAGTGTCCTTGTTCATCTGGGGGCTTTAGGCCACAGCACAGTCTAATAATGTGGCTTATGGTGGGGGCTTTGAGTCACATGGATCAGCTTGGCCTCCAGTGGGGCTGGAGACTAAGGTTAGCCACATGGGCATGCAACCATGGAACCCCAGTAAAAACGCTGGACATAAAAAATAGAGTGAGCTTCCCTGGTTGGCAATAATCCATGAGTATGGTCGCACACCAGTGCCACCAGGAAGGTGTCATTTTTCACAACTCTACAGGGACAGGACAATTAGAAACTCCAACATTTGGAACTTCCCCGAACTCTGCCCTATGCACCTCTACCCTTGGCTCGTTCTAATCTGAATCCCTAAACTGCAATAAACTCTAACCATGGGTATGAGAGCTTTCAATGAGTTCTAGTGAGTCCTCCTGGCAAATCATCCAACCTAAGAGTGGTCTTGGCCAGGCACAGTGACTCAAGCCTGTAATCCCAGCACTTCGGGAGGCCCAGGCAGGCGGATCACTTCAGCTCAGGAGTTTGAGACCAGCCTGGCAATATGGTGAAACTGTCTCTAAAAAATATAGAAAAACTAGCCAGGCGAGGTGGTGTGTGCCCACAGATCCAGCAACTCAGGTGGCTGAGGTAGGAGGACTGCCTGAACCTGGGAGGGAGGAGTTCAGGGCGCAGTGAGCCGTGATCATGCCACTGCACTCTCACCGGGGTGACAGAGAGAGGCCCTGTCTCAAAAAAAAAAAAGAGTGGTCTTGGGAACCCCCAAACTTGCAACTAGTATTAGAAGCAAGGGTCATCTTATGGACTGGACTCCCTCTTACTCTGCACTCATATTTAAAACCATTAAATATACTGTAGCTCAAAAAAAGTTGCTTGTTTGTTTTGAAAAAGGGTCTCACACTGTCGCCCAGGCTAGAGTGCAGTGGTGCAATCCGAGCTCAAGCAAACCTCCCACATCAGCCTCCCAAGTAGTTGAGACCACAGGCTTACTCCACCACGCCCAGCAACTTTTGTATTTTTTTGTCCCATTCTCTACAACATTCCCAAAATGTTGCCCAAGCTGGTCTCGCACTCCTGAGCTCAAGTGATCCACTCACCTCAGCCTCCCAAAGGGTTGGGATTACAGGCATAAGCCACTGCACCCGGCCATAAATTTTGTTTTTTAATAACATTTCCAGCAAACATGATAAAGATTTGACTTCAGTGTTGCTTATTTTCCTTCCAAGGAACCTCTAATATTCTCTACTTTCAGAACTCCAATCAAATTAGCCAGAAAGAGCAAACGAAGCCAATAAATCCAGGAGGGCAATAGATCTGATTTTAACCCTTGTTTCACATGCACAATTGTCTTCAGAGAAAAGCTGAAGAAAGTACCCCCTCACCTCCATGCCCCAATGCTCCTTTTCTCTGACTTCAAGTGGGCCTCTGATGCTGCCCACATTTCCCTCACCAGGTTTCTTTCCTTTCCAAAACATCTGTAAAACTTTCTGCACCTTCTTCCTTCTCCCACCACTACCAGTGGATGACCTTATAGATTTCTGCTCCATGAGAAACAGAAGCCATTTGACAGCACCCTCAGCAAGAGCTAACATTTTAGCTCCTAACAAGAGCTAGTGGGCAACTGATCCAAGCAGTTTACATATGTTTATCATGTCATTTCGTGTTCAACACAATCCTATTAGTTATAACTTGATAACTAAGGTTTCATAACTGGCCTATGGTTGCACAGCTTGTAAAAGGCAGAGTCAGAACTCAGACCCAGTACTGTCTAATGTTTGAGCTCTTCAACACTCCATCACTGCCTGTCATCTTCCTTCTAATATATCCACAAATTCACCTGCATCTGCACATACAGCTTTTCTTCCCATCATCTTCGCATAATGGAACAAATAAACCTCCTATCCATAGAAATCATCTGTCTATTCCCCCCATTTTCCAAGGTATGTCTTGTCTTTTTTTTTTTGCGATGTAGTCTCGCTCTGTCGCCCAGGCTGAAGTGCAGTGGCGTGATCTCGACTCACTGCCTCCCGGATTCACGCCATTCTCCTGCCTCAGCCTCCCGAGTAGCTGGGACTACAGGCGCCCACCACCACGCCCGGCTAATTTTTTGTATTTTTAGTAGAGACGGGGTTTCACCATGTTAGCCAGGATGGTCTCGATCTCCTGACCTCGTGATCCGCCCACCTTGGCCTCCCCAAAGTGCTGGGATTACAGGCTTGAGCCACTGCACCCGGCCTGTTTCTTTTGTACGTTGCAAAATCTCCCATTTTACTACTGCTTATCACATCATCAACATATGAGCACTCTCAAAAGTCTTACTTTAAAAAAAACAAAAACAAAAACAAAAAATGGCCGGGCACGGTGGCTCATGCCTGTAATCCCAGCACTTTGGGAGGCGAAGGCAGGCAGATCATAAGGTCAGGAGATTGAGACCACCCTGGCCAACACGGTGAAACCCCGTCTCTACTAAAATAGAAAAAATAAAATTACCTGTGCGTGGTGGCACGCACCTGTAGTCCCAGCTACTTGGGAGGCTGAGGCAGGGGAATCATTTGAACCCGGGAGGCAGAGCTTGCAGTGAGCCAAGATCGTGCCACTACACTCCAGCCTGGTGACAGAGCGAGACTCCGTCTCAAAAAAAAAAACTAAAGGCCGGGTGCGGTGGCTCACGCTGGTAATCCCAGCACTTTGGGAGGCCAAGGTGGGTGGATCATGAGGTCAGGAGTTCAAGACCAGCCTGGCCAATGTAGTGAAACCCCGTCTCTACTAAATATACAAATATCAGCCAGGCGTGGTGGCGGGCGCCTGCAATCCCAGCTACTCAGGAGGCTGAGGCAGGAGAATCGCTCGAATCCGGGAGGCAGAGGTTGCAGTGAGCCGAGATTGCACCATTGCGCTTCAGCCTGGGCGGCAGAGAGACTCCATCTCAAAAATAATCATAATAATAATAAAATAAATTTAAAAATTAAGAAAATAAGGCCGGGCACGGTGGCTCACGCCTGTAATCCCAGCACTTTGGGAGGGCGAGGCAGGCAGATCATGAGGTCAGGAGTTTGAGACCAGCCTGGGCAACATAGTGAAACCCCGTCTCTACTAAAAATACAAAAAATTAGCCGGGTGTGGTGGTGGGCGCCTGTATTCCCAGCTAGTTGGGAGGCTGAGGCAGGAGAACTACTTGAACCCCGGAGGCGGAGGTTGCAGTGAGCCGAGGTCACGCCATTGCACTCCAGACCGGGCAACAGTGTGAGACTCTGACTCAAAAAAAACAAAAAACAAAAAAACCCTTTAACTGCCTTTCTCCCTCTATCAATCTAATAGCCTGGACTCTTCACAGACAAACCTGTTGAAAAATTTATCTTCCTTGCCTTCATTTACTTTTTAACCCACTTTAATCTGGGTTCCACCTGCAACACACCACTGAAGCTATTCCTACTAAGGTAGGAACTGCCACTCAAGGCCTTCTTGGCTCTAAAATCCCATGAGCCTTTTTCAGTTCACCCTACAATTTCTCAATACCACTCTAAAGTTTATGAGTTTTTTAGTTAACTTTAATCCAGTGACTCTTTCTACTTTATCCCAATCCAAGTATTCTCCTCCTTCTTCACTTCATTTTTTTTTTTTTTTTTTGAGACAGACTCTGACTTTGTTGCCCAGGCTGGAGTATAGTGGTGCAATACTGGCTCACTGCAACCTCCACCTCCAGGTTCAAGCGATTCTCCTGCCTCAGCCTCCCAAGTAGCTGAGATTACAGGCCCCTGCTACCACACCCGGCTAATTTTTGTATTTTTAGTAGAGACGGGGTTTCACCATGTTGGCCAGGCTGGTCTCGAACTCCTGACCTCAAGGGATCCACCCGCCTCGGCCTCCCAAAGTGTTGGAATTACAGGCGTGAGCCAACGTGCCCGGCCCCTTCTTCACTTCTTTAACCAGCTTAGATTTCATTGTGTATCATTTCAACAACACTCTTGCCTATACCCTTAACTCTTAAGATTCTCATCACACCCATCTGGCAAAACCCCAATCCTGGATAAACCCAACGATCCATCAATAAGCACCACACTCCCAGGTCCTCCAGTGTTTACTTCCCATTCTATACATGCACTATCCAGACATTCCCATTCTCTTCAAATTCCAAAATATCCTATCACCTCCCCTCCCCATACACACATTCTACTTCACCAACAAGAAAAAAGGTACCAGCTGGGCACAGTGGCTCACGCCTGTAATCCCCGCACTTTGGGAGGCCAAGGCGGGTGGATCACTTGATGTCAGGAGTTGGACACCAGCCTGGCCAAAATGGTGAAACCTCATCTCTACTAAAAATACAAAAATTAGCTGGGTGTGGTGGTGCGCACCTGTAATCTCAGCTACATGGGAGACTGAGGCAGGAGAATCGCTTGAACCCAGGAGGTGGAGGTTGCAGTGAGCCAAGACTGCACCACTGCACTCCAGAGCCTGGGCAATAATAAGAGCGAAACTCCGTCTCGGGGTGGGGTGAGGAAGATACCATAAAATACCTGTACCCGATTCTAGACCTTACTGAGGATTCCATCTACTTCCACCTTACTGTAACTTTTCAAATACTTTTCCCACTGAACTAAATCCCCCCCATAAACATGCAACACTTTCTAATGTATTCCATTGAAAAATACAAAAACATATAAAAAGGAAAAACTCCATCAATCCCACACGTCCCTCCATCAAACAATCTGCCTTTACTTGCTGCAGCCAAACTAAAGTTGTCTAGATTCCCCTCTCCCATTTCTTCACTTCTTCTAGCTCCTTAACACACACTGGTCCAATTTCTGCCCCATCACTCTTGGCAAAATCCATTATGACCTCCAGGCTGCTAAATCCAAGATACAGTTCAGGCCTCAATCTGCTCATCCTTTCAGCAGCTTTCACAGGGCTTCTGAGTAGGGTTGAGCAGTTTTGCCCTGCACACAGGTGCCCTGCAGAGGAATGAGGTGGGCTGAATGAAACTCCTTTTTTAAAAATTCTTGGCTGGCATAGTGGCTCACGCCTGTAATCCCAGCACTTTGGGAGGCTGAGGTGGACGGATCACTTGAGGTCAGGAGTTCAAGGTCAGCCTGGCCAATATGGCAAAACCCCATCTGTTAAAAATACAAAAATTAGCTGGCCGTGGTGGCGGGCACCTGTAATCCCAGCTACTCGGGAGGCTGAGGCAGGAGAATCACTTGAACCCAGGAGGCAGAGGTTTCAGTGAGCCGAGACTGCCCCACTGCACTCCAGCCTGGGCAACAAGAGAGAAACTCCATCTCAAAAAAAAAAATTGTTTATGCCAACTAATTGTACACCTAAATGCACCAAGTTCCTGACTTTCTCCTTGCATTTATTTGTTTATTTATTTATTTATTTATTTATTAGGTCTCACTCTATGTTGCCCACGTTGTAGTGCAGTGTGTGATTACAGCTCACTGCAGCCTTGAACTCCTGGGCTCAAGAGATTCCTCTGGTCTTAGCCTCCCCAGTAGCTAGAACTACAGGTATGGAGTGGCTCTCTGCCTTTATTTCTAACCCAAGCTACCTTACAACCTTAAAAAGAGACGCTGCTTCGCCGGGCACAGTGGCTCTCACCTGTAATCCCAGCACTTTGGGAGGCCGAGGCGGGCGGATCACGAGGTCAGGAGATCGAGACCATCCTGGCTAACACGGTGAAACCCTATCTCTACTAAAAATACAAAAAATTAGCCAGGCGTGGTGGCGGGCACCTGCAATCCCAGCTACTCGGGAGGCTGAGGCAGGAGAATGGCGTGAACCCAGGAGGTGGAGCTGGCAGTGAGCCGAGATTGCACCACTGCACTCTAGCCTGGGCGACAGAGTGACACTCCATCCTAAAAAAAAAAAAAAAAATTTATTATATACATACACACACACACACACACACACATACACACACACACACACACACATCTCCCCAGAAGCATCAATATTTACTGAATTAGAGTATTTCATTACCTGTTATAAAAAACAAACAAAAAAACCTTCCATTATACTAATTTATAAAGGAATCAAAACAAAATGGGTTGGCGGGTCCAGGCACGGTGTCTCACTTCTGTAATCCCAGCACTTTGAGAAGCCAAGGTGGGAACTCGAGGTCAGGAGTTCGAGACCAGCCTGGCCAACATGGCGAAACCCTGTCTCTAATACAAAAATTAGACGGGCCTGGTGACATGCGCCTGTAGTCCCAGCTACTCGGGAGGCAGAGGCACATGAATCACTTGAACCCAGGAGGTGGAGGTTGTACTGAGCCAAGATTGTGCCACTGCACTCCACCCTGGGAGACAGAGTGAAACTATGTCTTTAAAAAAAAAGGCGGGGTGCAGTGGCACACACCTGTAATCCCAGCACTTTGGGAGGCCGAGGCAGGTGGATCACCTGAGGTCAGGAGTTCACGACCAGCCTAACATGGTGAAACCCCATCTCTACTAAATATAAAAAAATTAGCCGGGTGTGGTGGCACATGCCTGTAATCTGATCTACTTGGGAGGCTGAGACAGGAAAACAGCTTGTACCTGGGAGGCGGAGGATGCAGTGAGCCGAGATTGCACCATTGCGCTCCAGCCTGGACAACAAGAGCAAAACTCTGTCTCAAAAAAAAAAAAAAAAAAAAAAAAAAAAAAGTTGGGGTGAGGGGAAGGTTCAACTTAAAGATACAATTACTAAGTGTTTCATAAGGAATGACTTATTTCATAATGGAGTAGGAGTTTGACACCAGCATGGGCAACATGGGGAGGCCCCATCTCTACAAAAAAGTAAAAATAAAAAATTAGCGTGCCAAGCATGGTGGGTCACACCTGTAATCCTGGCACTTTGGGAGGCCAAGGAGGAAGGATCACTTGAGCCTAGGTATTCAAGACCAGCCCAGGCAGCATGGCAAAACCCCGTCTCTACAGAAAACAAAAAAAAAATAAAGTAGCTGGGGGTGGTAACATGCACCTGTGGTCCCAGCTATTGGGAGGGTGAGGTAGGAGGACTTATTGAGCCTGGGAGGTGGAGGCTGCAGTGAGCTGAGATGGTTCCACTGCACTCCAACCTGGGCAATGGAGCGAGACTCTGTTTCAGAAAAAGAGAGAGGAAGCCAGGCGTGGTGGCTCACGCCTGTAATCCCAGCACTTTGGGAGGCCGAAGCGGGTGGATCACCTGAGGTCAGCAGTTCAAGACCAGCCTGGCCAACATGGTGAAATCCCATCTCCACTAAAAACACAAAAATTAGCCGGGCATAGTGGCATGCACCTGTATTCCCAGCTACTTGGGAGGCTGAGACAGGAGAATCACTTGAACCAGGAGGCGGAGGTTGCAAGTGAGCTGAGATTGTGCCACTATACTCCAGCCTGGGCGACAAAGTAAAGCTCTGTCTCAAAAAAAAAAGAGAGAGAGAGAGGAAAAATAAATTAGCCAGGTGTGGTGGTATGCACCTGTGGTCCCAGCTACTCAGGAGGCTAAGGCGGGAGGATTCCCAGAGCCCAGGAAGTCAAGGCTGCAGTGAGCAGTGATTGCACCACTGCACTCCAGCCTGGGCAACAGAGCAAGAGCATATCTCAAAAAAGAGGAAAGAAAAGAAAAGAAAAACATAAAAACAAATGTTCCTTTAGTTTTAATTTTTATTTTTTAGTTTATTATGGCTGTTTTACTCTCCCCCAAGTAAAACAGCCATACACAATTTGCTGAAATTTTCCTTAGTGTACTTTGAAATCTGTGGAACAGAACTGGCAATCGCTAAATTCTATTTGACTCTAGTTCCATTTAATATTAGACTGGTGTGGAAGTAACTGCGGTTTTTGCCAAAACCGCAATTACTTTTGCACCTACCTAATAGGTATAAAATATGTAACTTCACTTAATTTTATCCTTTATGTATCTCCCTATATTATGTACCTATGGACATCAAACTTAGTACAGACTGATAAAAGGCTGAATAGACAACTCTGGTTTCAAAAATCCAGCTTCTCACAACATCAGACATACTAGTATACAGCTTTTCTAATTTCACAACACATTTCCATTTTTTGGTCTTTCACAATAGAGAAGATCTGTGTACTTTTGAATACTCTGATCTGTCTACAATCTACCAAAATTGGAAGGTGTTTTTATTATACAGTTTCATCCTTTTAGAAATATAGAAAGATCCTAAGTTTGGGCACAGTAAGACACTCAATATAGATCTACTACTAAACAAGTAAGACCAATTACACAATTAATGTCCTAATACCCCGAGTGGAGAAGTAAAATCTACTTGTTTTCTGTTGACTTGAATGCCTTCTCTTCTTTGTTGAATTAATCAATCTATTTGACTCCAATGTCAAATTAATCAATGTCACTTTAGAATATTAAAATGTACAATTATGAATTACACATTTAATTTTAAAACACATCATTCTGATCTCTGTCTTGATTGATACTAGAAGATTATCTTCCAAACTAAGGTGGAAAAAATGACAGACTTTAGCTATTGGCAATGATAGGTCATTTTTTTAGGGAAGAGGAGTAAAGAGGGCCACCTCCATAGGTCAGATATCCCTTTGTTCTAAGAAGCCACCACCCCTGTTTCTTCATATGAAAAAAACCAGAGGCATCCAGTGGTTCCCAAAACCTTCTCAACTTTACGCTTGAGGAACCCACAGATTTCAAATAATACAACTGACCTAAGACACTCATTTGTTTAACCATTCTTTTTTTAACTTTTTATTTTTTTTGAGAAGGAGTCTTGCTCTGCTGCCCAGGCTGGAGTGCAGTGGTGTGATGTCGCTCACTACAACCTCTGCCTCTCAGGTTCAAGTGATTCTCCTGCCTCAGCCTCCCGAGTAACTGGGATTACAGGCATGCACCACCACATCCCGCTAATTTATTTATTTATTTTTTTTTAGTAGAGACGGGGGTTTCACCATGTCGGTTGGCCAGGCTGGTCTCGAACTCCTGACCTCAGGTGATCCACCCACCTCAGCCTCCCAAAGTGCTGGGATTACAGGCGTGAGCCACTGCCCCCGGCCTGCTTAACCATTCTTAAATGTCGGGTGCAGTGGCTCACACCTGTAATCTCAACACTTTGGGAGGCTGAAGGTGGGCAGATTGCTTGCGTTCAGGGGTTCAAGACCAGCCTGGGCAACGTGGTGAAAACCCCATCTCTACAAAAAATACAAAAATGAGCCGGGCTGTTGGCAAGCGCCTGTAGCCCCAGCTACTTGTGGATGCTGAGGCAGGAGGCTTGAGCCTGGGAGGTCGAGACTGCAGTAAGCCAAGTATCTGTGCCGCTGCACTCCAGCCTGGGTGACACAGCAAGACCGTCTCAA